>NC_000019.10:37543904-37846934 GCF_000001405.40 Homo sapiens | reverse complement strand
ATGCATTCTATTTGTTTTTTTTCTTTCTTTCTCTCTCTCTTTTTTTTTTTGAGATGGAGTCTCGCTGTGTCACCCAGGCTGGAGTGCATTAGAGCGATCTCGGCTCACTGCAACCTCCACCTCCCAGGTTCAAGTGATTCTCCTGACTCAACCTCCCGAGTAGCTGGGACTACAGGTGCATGCTACCATGCCCGGCTAAGTTTTATATTTTTAGTAGAGGTGGGGTTTTGCCATGTTGGCCAGGCTGGTGTTGAACTCCTGACCTCAGGTGATCTGCCCATCTTGGCCTCCCAAAGTGCTGGGATTACAGGCATGAGCCACCATGCCCGGCCTCTGTTTTTGTTTTTTTTCTTTATGGTAGTTTCCTTAACATTTTTAATATACACATATAACAGAATGTTAAATCTGACTTTCCGTGTTCTGGGAGTTTTATTTGAGATCAGTAGGTGTTTGATAACATATGAAGAGCATGCTAAGAGATTGTGAAGGATTTTTTTTGTGACTCTTAAATTATTATCCTCTTGGGTATAAAAATTAAAATGATGATTTCTCCAGAGAGAATTGTTGATGTGCTCTGTGGTGTTTCTCCTTCTTTCTTTTCTCCCTTGTCAGTCCAAGTGAGGGACATGTCAGAGAATCATTTGGAGAACGTGATAGGTATCCCTGTGAATTTGGGGTATGCCTGGATAAAAGTTTAAAGAAGTGTAAGCTTTCAGGAAGCTGGTCATGAGTCAGCTCTGTCTGTGGAAGTCTCTCTCTCTGAGGTTTGTTTTTGTCAAGCATTCCAGTGCTTCATGGAAGGGTTTTAATTCCAACTCCCTATCATTGGCCCGAGTCCTGGGTCTTCTCTTTACCAGGGCAATACTATCCAAGCCACTAGCCATTGTGGTCATTGATATTTGTGGTCTTTATGGGCTCTGGTAACTACACCTTCTCAGGACCAGCACAACAGTAGTCAGCACTTGTTGCTGTGGGTTACCCTCTACTTCCCTAGTTTCTGGTTCCTGAAGCTCAGGTACTTGTTATTTTACCCAGAATTTCTCGGATTTTGTAGTGTGAGGCTTTCAGGTTATTTTAGCCTGGCATCTTGTCATAATTGGATATCTATATGAACTTGTTCAGTGCCTGTCTTCTATGCTAGACAGTAAACCCCATCCAGGCAGATACTCATTCTTCTTCCCTGCTTCATCTCTAGCTCTCAGCACAGTCGGCATATAATGAGCCGTGAGGAAATATTTGTGGAAAGTGGGTGACTTTTACATATATGAGGACTTCCGTAGGAAAGAAGGATGATGGTTAATAAATATAATTATGTCCACAAATATTAGATTCCTAATAAAGAGAGCTAAGGGAGGGCTAGGCCCCTGCATTATTTCAGCTAAGCTACAGCTGGCTCACCTAAACTCACCTGAAAGCTTTACTTAATGTATTTTTTGTTCTGTTTCTAGACTATATAAAGCACCCACTTCACTCTATTCTTTTTCTTTTTTCTTTCTTTTTTTTTTTTTTTTGGTTTGTTTTTTGAGATGGAGTCTCGCTCTGTCGCCAGGCTGGAGTGCAGTGGTGCAATCTTGGCTCACTGCAACCTCTGCCTCCCAGGTTCAAGCGATCCTCCTGCCTCAGCCTCCTGAGTAGCTGGGACTACAAGCGTGCACCACCATGACCAGCTAATTTTTTGTATTTTTAGTAGAGACAGGGTTTCACCATGTTGGCCAGGATGGTCTCGATCTCTTGACGCTGACCTTGTGATGCGCCTGCCTCGGTCTCCCAAAGTGCTGGGATTACAGGCAAGAGCCACTGCACCCGGCCTTTTTTTCTTTTTCTTTCTTTTTTTTTTTTTTGAGATGGAGTCTTGCTCTGTTGCCCAGGCTGGAGTGCAGTGGCGCAATCTTGGCTCACTGAAACCTCCGCCTCCCGGGTTCAAGCGATTCTCCTGCCTCAGCCTCCCTAGTAGCTTGGATTACAGGCATGCACCACCACACCCGGCTAATTTTTGTATTTTTAGTAGAGACGGGGTTTCACCATCTTGGCCAGGCTGGTCTTTAACTCCTGACCTTGTGATTCACCCGCCTCGGCCTCCCAAAGTGCTGGGATTACAGGCATGAACCACCACGCCTCGCTTTTTTCTTTTTTTAGGACAGGGTCTCGCTTTATCATCCAGGCTGGAGTGCGGTGCCATGATCACAACTCACTGCAGCCTTGACCTCCCAGGCTCAAGCACTTGTCCCGCCTCAGGTACTCGAGTAGCTGGGGCTACAGGTACTTGCCACCACACCCGGCTAATTTTTGAAAATTTTTTTAGAGAAAAGGTCTCATTATGTTGCCCAGGCTGGTCTCAAACTTCTGAGCTGAAGTGATCCTTCCGTTTCAGCCTCCCAAAGTGTTAGGATTACAGGCATGAGCCATTGTGCCAGGTCACTCTATTCCCTCTTAAAAATGAAATTAAGGCCGAGTGTGGTGGCTCACACCTGTAATCCCAGCACTTTGGGAGGCTGAGGCAGGAGAACTGCTTGAGGGCAGGAGTTTGAGACCAGCCTGGGCAACATAGCAAGACCCCACCTCTACAAAAAATAAAACATTAGCTGAGCATGATGGCATGTGCCTGTAGTCCAAGCTACTTGGGAGGCTAAGGCAGAAGGATCCCTTGAGCCCAGGAGTTGCAGGTTACAGTGAACTTTGATTACTCCAGTGCATTCCAGCCTGAGTGTCAGAGCAAGACTTTCTAAACAAACAAATAAAATCAAATTTATTTAGGTATAATTTTCATGTAATAAAGTATACCATATTTTTTTGATGAGTTTTGACCAATTTCTATACCCATGTAACCACTACCAGAGTCAAGATACAGAACATTACAAGACTACAAAAAGTTCCCTTTCATCCCTTCCCACTCAGTCCTCCTAAATCTTTGCCCCATGTAACCACTGATCTACTTTCTGGCCCTGTTGGCTAGATTACTTTTTTTTTTTTTTTTTTTTTTTGAGACGGAGTCTCACTGTGTCACCCAGGCTGGAGTGCAGTGGCATGATTTTGGCTCACTGCAACCTCCGCCTCCCAGGTTCAAGCGATTCTCCTGCCTCAGCCTTCTGAGTAGCTGGGACCACAGGCACACGCCATCACGCCTGGCTAATTTTTGTATTTTTAGTAGAGATGGGGTTTCACCATGTTGGCCAGGATGGTCTCCAACTCCTGACCTCGTGATCCACCTGCCTCGGCCCCCCAAAGTGCTGGGATTACAGACGTGAGCCACTGCGCCCGGCCTAGATGACTCTTTTCTAGAATTTCATATAGATGGAATCATACAATACGTGCTGTTTTGTGTCTGCCTTCTTGTACTCAGTATTAAGTTTTTGAGTTTCATCTATGTTGTTGCAAATACTAGTAGTTCATTTTCATTCCTATCTTTTTTTTTTTATTATACTTTAAGTTTTAGGGTACATGTGCACATTGTGCAGGTTAGTTACATATGTATACATGTGCCATGCTGGTGCGCTGCACCCACTAACTCGTCATCTAGCATTAGGTATATCTCCCAATGCTACCCCTCCCCCCTCCCCCCACCCCACCACAGTCCCCAGAGTGTGATATTCCCCTTCCTGTGACCATGTGATCTCATTGTTCACTTCCCACCTATGAGTGAGTATATGCGGTGTTTGGTTTTTTGTTCTTGCGATAGTTTACTGAGAATGATGGTTTCCAATTTCATCCATGTCCCTACAAAGGACATGAACTCATCATTTTTTATGGCTGCATAGTATTCCATGGTGTATATGTGCCACATTTTCTTAATCCAGTCTATCATTGTTGGACATTTGGGTTGGTTCCAAGTCTTTGCTATTGTGAATAATGCCGCAATAAACATACGTGTGCATGTGTCTTTATAGCAGCATGATTTATAGTCATTTGGGTATATACCCAGTAATGGGATGGCTGGGTCAAATGGTATTTCTAGTTCTAGATCCCTGAGGAATCGCCACACTGACTTCCACAATGGTTGAACTAGTTTACAGTCCCACCAACAGTGTAAAAGTGTTCCTATTTCTCCACATCCTCTCCAGCACCTGTTGTTTCCTGACTTTTTAATGATTGCCATTCTAACTGGTGTGAGATGGTATCTCATAGTGGTTTTGATTTGCATTTCTCTGATGGCCAGTGATAATGAGCATTTTTTCATGTATTTTTTGGCTGCATAAATGTCTTCTTTTGAGAAGTGTCTGTTCATGTCCTTCGCCCACTTTTTGATGGGGTTGTTTGTTTTTTTCTTGTAAATTTGTTTGAGTTCATTGTAGATTCTGGATATTAGCCCTTTGTCAGATGAGTAGGTTGTGAAAATTTTCTCCCATGTTGTAGGTTGCCTGTTCACTCTGATGGTAGTTTCTTTTGCTGTGCAGAAGCTCTTTAGTTTAATTAGATCCCATTTGTCAATTTTGGCTTTTGTTGCCATTGCTTTTGGTGTTTTGGACATGAAGTCCTTGCCCACGCCTATGTCCTGAATGGTAATGCCTAGGTTTTCTTCTAGGGTTTTTATGGTTTTAGGTCTAACGTTTAAATCTTTAATCCATCTTGAATTGATTTTTGTATAAGGTGTAAGGAAGGGATCCAGTTTCAGCTTTCTACATATGGCTAGCCAGTTTTCCCAGCACCATTTATTAAATAGGGAATCCTTTCCCCATTGCTTGTTTTTCTCAGGTTTGTCAAAGATCAGATAGTTGTAGGTATGCGGCGTTATTTCTGAGGGCTCTGTTCTGTTCCATTGATCTATATCTCTGTTTTGGTACCAGTACCATGCTGTTTTGGTTACTGTAGCCTTGTAGTATAGTTTGAAGTCAGGTAGTGTGATGCCTCCAGCTTTGTTCTTTTGGCTTAGGATTGACTTGGCGATGCGGGCTCTTTTTTGGTTCCATATGAACTTTAAAGTAGTTTTTTCCAATTCTGTGAAGAAAGTCATTGGTAGCTTGATGGGGATGGCATTGAATCTGTAAATTACCTTGGGCAGTATGGCCATTTTCACGATATTGATTCTTCCTACCCATGAGCATGGAATGTTCTTCCATTTGTTTGTATCCTCTTTTATTTCCTTGAGCAGTGGTTTGTAGTTCTCCTTGAAGAGGTCCTTCACATCCCTTGTAAGTTGGATTCCTAGGTATTTTATTCTCTTTGAAGCAATTGTGAATGGGAGTTCACTCATGATTTGGCTCTCTGTTTGTCTGTTGTTGGTGTATAAGAATGCTTGTGATTTTTGTACATTGATTTTGTATCCTGAGACTTTGCTGAAGTTGCTTATCAGCTTAAGGAGATTTTGGGCTGAGACGATGGGGTTTTCTAGATAAACAATCATGTCGTCTGCAAACAGGGACAATTTGACTTCCTCTTTTCCTAATTGAATACCCTTTATTTCCTTCTCCTGCCTGATTGCCCTGGCCAGAACTTCCAACACTATGTTGAATAGGAGTGGTGAGAGAGGGCATCCCTGTCTTGTGCCAGTTTTCAAAGGGAATGCTTCCAGTTTTTGCCCATTCAGTATGATATTGGCTGTGGGTTTGTCATAGATAGCTCTTATTATTTTGAAATACGTCCCATCAATACCTAATTTATTGAGAGTTTTTAGCATGAAGGGTTGTTGAATTTTGTCAAAGGCTTTTTCTGCATCTATTGAGATAATCATGTGGTTTTTGTCTTTGGCTCTGTTTATATGCTGGATTACATTTATTGATTTGCGTATATTGAACCAGCCTTGCATCCCAGGGATGAAGCCCACTTGATCATGGTGGATAAGCTTTTTGATGTGCTGCTGGATTCGGTTTGCCAGTATTTTATTAAGGATTTTTGCATCAATGTTAATCAAGGATATTGGTCTAAAATTCTCTTTTTTGGTTGTGTCTCTGCCCGGCTTTGGTATCAGAATGATGCTGGCCTCATAAAATGAGTTAGGGAGGATTCCCTCTTTTTCTGTTGATTGGAATAGTTTCAGAAGGAATGGTACCAGTTCCTCCTTGTACCTCTGGTAGAATTCGGCTGTGAATCCATCTGGTCCTGGACTCTTTTTGGTTGGTAAACTATTGATTATTGCCACAATTTCAGCTCCTGTTATTTGTCTATTCAGAGATTCAACTTCTTCCTGGTTTAGTCTTGGGAGAGTGTATGTGTCAAGGAATGTATCCATTTCTTCTAGATTTTCTAGTTTATTTGCGTAGAGGTGTTTGTAGTATTCTCTGATGGTAGTTTGTATTTCTGTGGGATCGGTGGTGATATCCCCTTTATCATTTTTTATTGTGTCTATTTGATTCTCTTCTCTTTTTTTCTTTATTAGTCTTGCTAGCGGTCTATCAATTTTGTTGATCCTTTCAAAAAACCAGCTCCTGGATTCATTGATTTTTTGAAGGGTTTTTTGTGTCTCTATTTCCTTCAGTTCTGCTCTGATTTTAGTTATTTCTTGCCTTCTGCTAGCTTTTGAATGTGTTTGCTCTTGCTTTTCTAGTTCTTTTAATTGTGATGTTAGGGTGTCAATTTTGGATCTTTCCTGCTTTCTCTTGTGGGCATTTAGTGCTATAAATTTCCCTCTACACACTGCTTTGAATGAGTCCCAGAGATTCTGGTATGTTGTGTCTTTGTTCTCGTTGGTTTCAAAGAACATCTTTATTTCTGCCTTCATTTCGTTATGTACCCAGTAGTCATTCAGGAGCAGGTTGTTCAGTTTCCATGTAGTTGAGCGGCTTTGAGTGAGATTCTTAATCCTGAGTTCTAGTTTGATTGCACTGTGGTCTGAGAGATAGTTTGTTATAATTTCTGTTCTTTTACATTTGCTGAGGAGAGCTTTACTTCCAACTATGTGGTCAATTTTGGAATAGGTGTGGTGTGGTGCTGAAAAAAACGTATATTCTGTTGATTTGGGGTGGAGAGTTCTGTAGATGTCTATTAGGTCTGCTTGGTGCAGAGATGAGTTCAATTCCTGGGTATCCTTGTTGACTTTCTGTCTCGTTGATCTGTCTAATGTTGACAGTGGGGTGTTAAAGTCTCCCATTATTAATGTGTGGGAGTCTAAGTCTCTTTGTAGGTCACTCAGGACTTGCTTTATGAATCTGGGTGCTCCTGTATTGGGTGCATATATATTTAGGATAGTTAGCTCCTCTTGTTGAATTGATCCCTTTACCATTATGTAATGGCCTTCTTTGTCTCTTTTGATCTTTGTTGGTTTAAAGTCTGTTTTATCAGAGACTAGGATTGCAACCCCTGCCTTTTTTTGTTTTCCATTTGCTTGGTAGATCTTCCTCCATCCTTTTATTTTCAGCCTATGTGTGTCTCTGCACGTGAGATGGGTTTCCTGAATACAGCACACTGATGGGTCTTGACTCTTTATCCAACTTGCCAGTCTGTGTCTTTTAATTGGAGAATTTAGTCCATTTACATTTAAAGTTAATATTGTTATGTGTGAATTTGATCCTGTCATTATGATGTTAGCTGGTGATTTTGCTCGTTAGTTGATGCAGTTTCTTCCTAGTCTCGATGGTCTTTACATTTTGGCATGATTTTGCAGCGGCTGGTACCAGTTGTTCCTTTCCATGTTTAGCGCTTCCTTCAGGAGCTCTTTTAGGGCAGGCCTGATGGTGACAAAATCTCTCAGCATTTGCTTGTCTGTAAAGTATTTTATTTCTCCTTCACTTATGAAGCTTAGTTTGGCTGGATATGAAATTCTGGGTTGAAAATTCTTTTCTTTAAGAATGTTGAATATTGGCCCCCACTCTCTTCTGGCTTGTAGGGTTTCTGCTGAGAGATCCGCTGTTAGTCTGATGGGCTTCCCTTTGAGGGTAACCCGACCTTTCTCTCTGGCTGCCCTTAACATTTTTTCGTTCATTTCAACTTTGGTGAATCTGATAATTATGTGTCTTGGAGTTGCTCTTCTCGAGGAGTATCTTTGTGGCGTTCTCTGTATTTCCTGAATCTGAACGTTGGTCTGCCTTGCTAGATTAGGGAAGTTCTCCTGGATAATATCCTGCAGAGTGTTTTCCAACTTGGTTCCATTCTCCGCATCACTTTCAGGTACACCAATCAGACGTAGATTTGGTCTTTTCACATAGTCCCATATCTCTTGGAGGCTTTGCTCATTTCTTTTTATTCTTTTTTCTCTAAACTTCCCTTCTCGCTTCATTTCATTCATTTCATCTTCCATTGCTGATACCCTTTCTTCCAGTTGATCGCATCGGCTCCTGAGGCTTCTGCATTCTTCACGTAGTTCTCGAGCCTTGGTTTTCAGCTCCATCAGCTCCTTTAAGCACTTCTCTGTATTGGTTATTCTAGTTATACATTCTTCTAAATTTTTTTCAAAGTTTTCAACTTCTTTGCCTTTGGTTTGAATGTCCTCCCGTAGCTCAGAGTAATTTGATCATCTGAAACCTTCTTCTCTCAGCTCGTCAAAGTCATTCTCCATCCAGCTTTGTTCCGTTGCTGGTGAGGAACTGCGTTCCTTTGGAGGAGGAGAGGCGCTCTGCGTTTTAGAGTTTCCAGTTTTTCTGTTCTGTTTTTTCCCCATCTTTGTGGTTTTATCTACTTTTGGTCTTTGATGATGGTGATGTACAGATGGGTTTTCGGTGTGGATGTCCTTTCTGTTTGTTAGTTTTCCTTCTAACAGACAGGACCCTCAGCTGCAGGTCTGTTGGAATACCCTGCCGTGTGAGGTGTCAGTGTGCCCCTGCTGGGGGGTGCCTCCCAGTTAGGCTGCTCGGGGGTCAGGGGTCAGGGACCCACTTGAGGAGGTAGTCTGCCCGTTCTCAGATCTCCAGCTGCGTGCTGGGAGAACCACTGCTCTCTTCAAAGCTGTCAGACAGGGACATTTAAGTCTGCAGAGGTTACTGCTGTCTTTTCGTTTGTCTGTGCCCTGCCCCCAGAGGTGGAGCCTACAGAGGCAGGCAGGCCTCCTTGAGCTGTGGTGGGCTCCACCCAGTTCGAGCTTCCCGGCTGCTTTGTTTACCTAAGCAAGCCTGGGCAACGGCGGGCGCCCCTCCCCCAGCCTCGCTGCCGCCTTGCAGTTTGATCTCAGACTGCTGTGCTAGCAATCAGCGAGATTCCGTGGGCGTAGGACCCTCCAAGCCAGGTGTGGGATATAGTCTCGTGGTGCGCCGTTTTTTAAGCCGGTCTGAAAAGCGCAGTATTCGGGTGGGAGTGACCCGATTTTCCAGGTGCGTCCGTCACCCCTTTCTTTGACTCAGAAAGGGAACTCCCTGACCCCTTGCGCTTCCCAGGTGAGGCAATGCCTCGCCCTGCTTCGGCTCGCGCACGGTGCGCACACCCACTGGCCTGCGCCCACTGTCTGGCACTCCCTAGTGAGATGAACCCGGTACCTCAGATGGAAATGCAGAAATCACCCGTCTTCTGCGTCGCTCACGCTGGGAGCTGTAGACCGGAGCTGTTCCTATTCGGCCATCTTGGCTCCTCCCCAAGGCCTCTTCTATTCCTATCTTTTTTAAAACAAAGGAGTTTCTCCTGTTTCTAAGGGAGCACTTCTTTTTTTTTTTTTTTTTTTTTTTTTTTGAGATGGAGTCTCGCTCTGTCGCCAAGGCTGGAGTGCAGTGGCGCAATCTCGGCCCACTGCAACCTCCTCCTCCCAGGTTCAAGCGATTCTTCTGCCTCAGCCTCCCGAGTAGCTGGGATTACAGGCACGTGCCACCATGCCAAGCTAATTTTTGTGTTTTTAGTAGAGATGGGGTTTCACCATGTTGGCCAGGCTGGTCTCAAATTCCTGGGCTCAAGTGATCCACCTGCCTTGGCCTCCCAAAGTGCTGGGATTACAGGCATGGGCCACCGCGCCTGGCTTCTAAAGGAGTACTTCTCTAATTTATCTTGCTGCCCTTCCCTCTTTCCCAATTCCCTTAATTTCCGTTCTAACATTAGATGTTGTTGATTAAGAGACCTTTACCTTCCACAGGTTCTGTAATCCAAGATGTCTGTAAAGAGCTGGGATATCACTAGGAAATCATCTTCATCCAGACTTATTCCTGAGTGGAAGAACTTGAAGTTCCTCATAAATAAGATCCTGAAGGACATAAAGGTGATGTGTATGAGAGCTGTGCACATGGTGGCCCTGGACTAATTATTCCTGCCAAGGCAGGCTGTGGCATGGGCAAGACATAGGCAACTTAGGAAAGACCCTTCCACATCCCCCAATAACTTCCCCTGCTAAATTAAGATGATCGCATTAGGTAAGTTAGAACACTTTCTGCTGCAATAACAGAAAATGGATTTATATGGATTAAACAAGTAAGAGGCATCTTTGTCCTACGTGTTGTCAAGGACCTGCATTCTTTTTCTTTCTTTTCCACCATTTCTATTATGTTAGCTTATTATCCTAGGCTTACAAGATAGTCGTTGCACTTCCAGGTATCAGCCTCAAATTGCAAGTAGATAGAAGATAGAAGAGGGAAGCTCAGAGAGCCACAGGGCCATGCCAGCCTTGGAGTACTATAGTAGTACTCTATGTTGCTGAAGTTTCTGGGTCCATGATCGCCCTAAGCCAAATCAGAATTTCATTCGGATGGAAGGAGGGGGAAGAGGAAGGAGAAGGATTTGATGTAGAGTAGGTAGCAGTAATATCAGGCAGATACATTGCGTTAAGATATTCTTAGTTTTTTTCCATAGCAAAGCGTTGATCTCATTTAATGAGTGAATGAATTGTTTGTACATAAAGGCTGGAAAGGAGAAAAGGAATGATGATTAACTAATGGAATAAGAGGTATGTAAATGAGCTTTCTGATTAAGAGAGATGAGGGGTTGGGAGCTCAGACACCAGGGTCCTTTCACTCAACTCTGCTACTGCTACTGAATCAGCAATGACAATGGTGCTGTAAGCTCTTGAGATCTGAAAATAAGAAATACAGGTAGGGCTGGGCATGGTGGCTCACGCCTGTAATCCCAGGACTTTGGGAGGCCAAGACAGGAGGATCACTTGAGCCCAGGAGTTCAAGAGTAGCCTGGGCAGCATAGCGAGACCCCATCTCTACAAAAATAAAAAAAATTATCCAAGTGTGGTGGTGCATGACTATAGTCCCAGCTACTCAAGAGGCTAAGGTGGAAAGATTGCTTGAGCCCAGCATTTTGATGTTACAGTGAGCTATGATCACACCATGGCACTCTAGTCACGTCAACAGCAACAGAGCAAGACTCTGTCTCTAAAGAAAAAAAAGAGAGAGAGAAAGAAAAAAGAAATACAGAAAGAAGAGAGATTCTAAGTTGTAGATAGATATTGGCCTCAGTATAGTCTCAAATCCTTTGTGGATGCAGGAAGCAGGTATGATGGACATTATAAGTAAAGTTGTTTTAATACTTCAGTTGATTTAGTATTATACCTTCCAACTTAGTTGGTCAGAGCACAAATTCTGATGCAGAGAAACTTGGAGAGTTAGATCCATGGGGCATTGTTCAGGAGGTGGGTATAGTTCAAGTAGCTACTGAGAAGGGTGACCCCAGAAGTAAACTTCATGAACTCAGTTTTGGCTGATCAGCATGAGGACTTCATGTACATACATTACAGACATCTGCTACATCACTGGAAGGTGGCATGTATTGTATATGTTCTACTGTGTAACCTATTACAAGGTATGTAACTCCCTTGATAGGTACATATATATACACACACCCCACATGGCCAGAAGAGCTGACACACAGCTAACTCCATGTTGTAAATAGCACACATTCCCCTTGGGTACACATAAGAATAGTGACAGAATGCAGAGCACAGTGGCTCACGCCTGTAATCCCAGCACTCTGGGAGGCTGAGGTGGGCAGATCACTTGAGGTCAGGAGTTCGAGACCAGCCTGACAAACATGGCAAAACCCTGTCTCTACTAAAAATTCAAAAATTATCCGGGCATGGTGGCGGGCGCCTGTAATCCCAGCTACTCGGGAGGCTGAGGCAGGAGAATCACTTGAACCCAGGAGGCAGAAGTTGCAGTAAGCCAAGATCGCGCCACCTTAGTCCAACCTGGGCGACAGAGCGAGACTCCATCTAAATAAATAAATAAAGAAAGAATAGTGACAGAGGTGCATGCGACAAGGTCTGCCACACATGGTGGTCATCCTATTACATACTGTGAAGTATGAGTTTCCCAAAGGCAGTGTATCGTGTGTGCAATTCTAATAAGAGTGGTCCTTTTGGTGTAGGCTGGAACTTAAAAAAGTTGTTCCAACTGTGACAGGTATACATATTTGCCATGGTTGGGTTCCTCTGTCATACAGAATTGTATTCCTTTCTTTTTTTTTTTTTTTTTTTTTTTTTTTTTTTTGAGATGGAGTCTCGCTCTCGCCCAGGCTGGAGTGCAGTGGTGCGATCTCAGCTCACTGCAGGCTCTGCCTCCTGGGGTTCACGCCATTCTCCTGCCTCAGCCTCCCGAGTAGCTGGGACTACAGGCGCCCACCACCACACCCAGCTAATTTTTTGTATTTTTAGTAGAGACGGGGTTTCACCGTGTTAGCCAGGATGGTCTCGTTCTCCTGACCTTGTGATCCTCCCGCCTCGGCCTCCCAAAGTGCTGGGATTACAGGGGTGAGCCACCGTGTATTCCTTTCTTTGTAAGCATTTACTTGTTTTGTATACTCAGTTGTTAGTTATTTGTTTAACGTCTGTTTCCCCTCTGACTCATCTTCTTAAGAGCCAGAGCCATGTCTGTTTTGCTCAGCACTGTACCCTCAGAATCTTTCATAGAACCTGTCAGCCTTTCTCAACTGTGGCTCTTCATCTGAATCATGGAACACAGAACATGATTTGAGGGGCTACTTTCTCATTTCTCTCAATGCCTCATAACTAGTAGCATTCTAGATGACTAGGAAAGAAATCAATTCATTATGTAGATTGGATACTTTAGGACATGAGGGCTTACTTTTTTTTATGGAAACTTGGTTGAGAAAGTGTAGAAGAGACCAATTGATACAGATGTATTCTGTTGCAAACTGAGGGTGAGGGAGGGATGACCCCTCCAGTGCTGCTTTCCAGTAGTAGGGTAAACGTTGGTTAGCTCAAAAACAACAAATGACCACTCATCTCTCAGTAAATATTTATTTATTTATTAAACTTATTGAGACAGGGTCTCGCTGTGTCACCCATGCTGGCGTGCAGTGCTACAGTCATGGCTCACTGTGGCCTGACCTCCTGGGCTCAAGCGATCCTCCTGTCTTACTTAGCCTTCCGAGTAGCTGGGACTACAGTCATGCACCACCATGCCCAGCTAATTTTTGTATTTTTTGTAGAGATGGGGCTTTGCTGTGTTGCCCAGATTGGTCTCAAACTCCTAGGCTCAAGCTATCTGCTTGCCTTGGCCTCCCAAAGTGTTGAGATTACAGGTGCAAGCCACCACACCTGGCCAGTAAATATTTCTGAAATGAGTGAATGAGTGGGGACTCAGAACTCTTAACTCAGGTCATTCTTCTCTCTCAGAATGATGAAGAACCAAAGAATGATGTGGTTCTACTGAGTGACTGGCCTGAGACTCTATACCGGGAGTCTCACCATCCACAGAACAAGCCTTTTGTCTGCTTCTACTACTCCATCAAGGTCAACTGTTTTGTCTCCTTAAACTGGATGGAACCCTGTGGAAAAATGCAGGTAAAGCCACCTCGTTTTTCCCCCTCTCCTTCTTAATTCAATTTACATGCATCACACCTGAACTGCCCTCATTTTAGAATGATGGTAGTGACTGTGAATTAGCTCATTTTAGTACCCATCTCCATATCCCAGTTTGACTGGATGCAGTGATCCTTCTTCACCTCATGTTATCAGGCCCTCAGAATTCATATTCTCCATCAAGTAGACTGAAGGCCAAGAAAAGGGCCTTGAACATGGTGCTTCTATCACATACCCAATTCCTAGTATAATAGTCCCCACGAATTCATGGGGGATACATTCCAAGCCCCCAGTGGACATCGGAAATTGCAGATAGTACCAAACCTGACTGCCATCAATTGGAACATGTTTGTGTTCATGTGGCTCACCTACAAATTTTGTGCTTTTTCCCTCATAACTAAGTGCTATCATGCACTATGTCCATAATGCGTGCACTTGAGGTGCAACAGCAAAACTAGCATGAATTTGTCTTTCCTCCTTCACAATTTCACAGAAGATTCATTCTTTTTTTTTTTTTTATTTTTGAGACAGAGTCTCACTCTGCTGCCCAGGCTGGAGTGCAGTGGCACGATCTTGGCTCACTGCAACCTCCGCCTCCCAGGTTCCAGTGATTCTCCTGCCTCAGCCTCCTGAGTAGCTGGGATTACAGGCACGCACCACCATGCCCGATTAATTTTTGTATTTTTAGTAGAGACAGGGTTTCACCATGTTATTCAGGCTGGTCTCGAACTCCTGACCTCGTGATCCGCCCGCCTTGGCCTCCCAAAGTGCTGGGATTACAGGCGTGAGCCACTGCACCCGGCCAAGAAGATTCATTCTTACTATAGATGGTAGCAACCTCAGCATACAATTGCTTTCCTTATTAAGTCAAGAACCTTCACCTTTTCACTTAAAGGAAGCATTTTGTGGCATCTCTGTGGCATATCTGAATTGCCAGTATTACTATTCTTGTGCTTTGGGACCATTATGAAATAAAATGAGGGTTTCTTGAACACATGCACAGCGATACTGCGACAGTTAATCTGATAACTGCAATGGCTACTAAGTGACGTAACAGGCAGATAGGGTATGTAGTGTAGATAGGCTGGACAGAGGGATAATTCAAGTCCCAGGCAGGATGGAATGGGACTGCCTGAGATTTCATCCTGCTACTCAGAACAGCATGCCATTTAAAACTTATGAATTGTTTATTTCTGGAATTTTTCTTTTGATATTTTTGGACTGCAGTTGACCACACAGGTAGTTGAAACCACAGAAAGGGAAACCATGGGTAAGTGGGAGCTGCTGTACTAGGAGATTCCTAAAGTCAAGCTGTCTAGTCTTTCCTTAGTCACACCAGAGGGAACAGGGATCTGAATATTCAGCCTTCCCTACCCCACACTTTGGAAAATGATCCACCTCCACAGTCAGGCTTTCATCTCTCATCCTCTTCTAGGCAGTACTTTGGATACAAAAAAAGGGTACAGAAATGAAAGGAATGGTAGAGAAGATGAGGCTTCGCATGATGGATCAGTGGCCGCCCATTCAAGCAATGGTCCACACAGGTTCCTACCACATGTTAATTGCTTACTGTGGTGACATGCGCCTGAGGCTTTTTGGAGATCACCGTCGAACGTTCAGATTTCTGGGTACAGTGCCCTGTCATTTCTCCACCAGCTGCCTCTTCTATGATCCAGAAGCTGAGTTGCTGCTCTCTGGTACCCTGGGGGCTGTGGTTACCTGGTTTATCTTACCAAATGGCATGGGCATCGAGATGGCTCAAATAGTACCTATGGCTGATCATGAGCTTGTACAGGGATTTTCCCTGAATGGCCCCCAGGGATCCCTGTTGGCTCTGTGTGAGGATACAGTGAGGGTCTTCATTCACCGGGGTCAGGGCCAGCTGGAAGAAGTGAAGTTCACTCCTGTCGCCAGTGGCTCTTCCATCACTTGCTCCTTTACTTGTGTCTCTCAGGGCAATTTCTATGCTGGAAACAGGGCTGGAGAGATCCACGCTTGGGGTTTAGACCAAGGTAACTTCCTCCACAGCTTTCAAGCCCATTCCTCATCAGTGATATGTATCCATAGCCGGCCAGAGATCCACACCTTACTAACAGCAGGCAGTGAAGGCATAGTGAGGGAATGGAATCTCACTTATGGGAACTTGCTGCGGCAGCTGAATATTGACGAGGATCTTCAGAGACTGCAGTTTATTGATAATACCACTTTTTTCTGCCAGACCACCTACAGTTTTTCATTGCATCACCTGCCCTACTTTTATAGCCTCTTCAATGTCTGTGGTTCTGCTCCCCAGCAAGTGCAGCGGGTCTGCTGCGGCCATAACTGGACTCGGATTCTATGTGCCACTGAGGATGGTTTATTGCGCTTCTTGTCTCCAGTAACAGGGGATCTCCTGGTTATCACTTGGCCTCTACTTGTTATGGATAAGGCTTTGGCTTGGGCCTATGACTCAGAGAGAGAGGAACTCTTTGTGGCAATAGGCAGTTCAGAGGTGCTGGTGTTTGATGCAACACGCTCTCCTTGTACAGCCAAGTATCTTGTGTGCACTTCAGCAGACCGTAAGGATACAGTAAGATGCTTGGCCTATGGGAGGTCCCATCTGCAAAAAGGCCTAGGAGGATTGATGTTCTGTGGGCATGAGAGTGGCATTGTGAGAACCCTTTCCCACTATAGTTGTGCCCGAATAGAGAAGACTGTTCACTCTGGGGCAGTATTGGCATTGTCTACCCTGGAAGGCCCTCAGGGAAACGCCTTGCTCTGTTCCTATGGCACGGATAACATCATACACTTGACAGAGGCCGTGCTTCAGGTGAACAAGGTAGTCCTTCAGCCTGTCAGCAAAATCCTCTGTGGCTGCCCCCTAAAACGTGTGATACTCTTGCCAGGTTCTGTGGGTGCCATCACTGAAAGCTACTGCTGGTGTCTCTGGCACTATGAAGGCTTTCTGACATCTTCAGAATCAAAACAGAGCTTTGTGTGGAGAGAGACAAAATGCCTGCATGAGTGTGACATCACTTCATTTGATGTCTGCCTTCCCCTGAAACTTTTTGTCACAGGTGGCATTGATGGCTCAGTCCGGATCTGGGACTTCCACGGTAGACTTGTAACCGAGTTCGACTCAGCCCTGCATTTTGGACCACTCTGCTTTGCCAGTAATCGAAGTGACCTGTTGTTGACTTTCAACCAGCGTATCTACATAGTATCTTGCTTAAAGCTGCTCCCTCCAGCTCAGCTGGTTCACCTGCGTATCCTAAAAAATGCAGATGAAATACAAGAAGTCCCTAAACCCTTCCTTCCTAGCTTCTTCTTTATGTTTGAAACAGTATTTGTACCCAGATTTGTCTACCTTGGAAAAGGGCGGCAGGAATTACAGGGGCTAGAGACCCTTGTCAACAAACGGTTCATTGCTTTTGACAATACTGTGCCTCATGTTGTAGAAGAAGAGAGAAGCATGTCCCTTGTGATTCAAAAGACCAAATTTCCTCTTTTGGAGGATAAGGATATTGATTTCTCTACTCTTGATTCCAAGTATAATCGTCCCCGACATGAGGTTCCTGCTCCGTTGCAGCTGGCTGGCTGGGATGGATTCAATGCCTACCAAATGCCACAGTGCTTCTTTGGTCAAGGGCGGCAATGGCCCTTTGCTCCTGATGGCCATCCCCAACTCAGTGATCCGTGCTCGCCCTTGGCCTGAGGGTACCCCAGTCTTCCTATGCTGTGATCTGTATTCATCCTACCAAGTTAAGGACTGGGACTTGTCATCTATGACTCTAGTAGAAGAGAAAATTTCAAGGAGTCAACAAAAGGATAAATCCAAGGTGCGAAAAGGAACTTCCCTTGATATTCTTGAAAGCATGGCAAACCAAAATTGGATGAGAAGAAAATATAGTGGAAGGCTTATGGATGATTTAATAGAGGCCATCCTCAACCTCACAATTTACTGCTCTGTAGAGGAATACAAGAGATATTTTAGGGTACTTAAACGTATTTTTGCCACTTGCCAGATATCTTCAGAGTTGGTTTCTAAGACTGCCCATCGCCTCCTACAAGACACAATCCATTCCAATCCACGTATCCGTGAACTACCCTGGGAGGCGCTGGATAGGCTAGGCCTCATGAACCATCATTTTGCTATTCCACTGGCTATGGGATTGATGGACAGTGATGAGAATGTGCAGGCTAAGGCCTTATACCTTATGGTAAGAGTCACAGGCATCCAAACCAAGACCAGGCTGGTACACCTGCTGAAGAAACACGAAACTCTCCAGAAAATGCAGTAAGTTGGATGGTGACCTTCTCCTCTTCTGGTTCCTTCCATCTCCTATCCTCCAAAATCTGTTTCTTCCCATTTCAAAAATGCTTTTTAAATTCTATTCCTTCCAGGCACAGTGGCTCATGCCTGTAATCCCAGCACTTTGGGAGGCCAAGGCGGGCAGGTCACCCGAGGTCAGGAGTTCGAGACCAGCCTGGCCAACATAGTGAAACCCTGTCTTTATTAAAAATACAAAAATTAGCCGGGTGTGGTGGTGCATGCCTGTAGTCCCAGCTACTTGGGAGGCTGAGGCCCAAGAATCGCTTGAACCCGGGAGGCGGATGTTGCGGCAAGCTGAGATGGTGCCACTGCACTCTAACCTGGGCAACAGAGTGAGACTCAGTCTCAAAAAAATAAAAATAAAAATAAATAAATTCTCTTCCTCCCTCTTTGTTCTTTGTTTCAATTTGCTCTTTTACCCAGCACCTACCCCTTTCCTTCTGACCACTGACTAGCCTGTCTTTCCATCATTTCTTCAATTTCTCAAGATTCCTCAAGACTCATGTCCACAAATCTCCCAACCAAAGAAGCATCATGTGTCCCACTGACTACAGGCATATTTTGGAGATATTGTGGGTTTGGTTCCAGACCACTGCAATAAAGTGAATACTGCAGTAAAGCAAGTTACATGGATTTTTTAGTTTCCCAGTGCATATAAAAGTTATATTTACCCTCGACTGTAGTCTATTAAGTGTGCAGTAGCATTATATCTAAAAAATCAATGCACAGGCTGGGCGTGGTGGCTCACACTTGTAATCCCAGCACTTTGGGAGGCCGAGGCGGGCATATCACCTGAGGTCAGGAGTTCAAGACCAGCCTGGCCAACATGGTGAAACCCCGTCTCTACCAAAAATATAAAAATTAGCTGGGCGTGGTGCTAGGCACCTGTAATCCCAGCCACTAAGGAGGCTGAGGCAGAAGAATCACTTGAACCCGGGAGGCGGAGGCTGCAGTGAGCTGAGATTGCAGCACTGCACTCCAGCCTGGGTGACAAGAGCAAAATTTCATCTTAAAAAAAAATCAATGCAGATACCTTAATTAAAAACACTTTATTGCTGAAAATTGCTAATGATCATCTGAGCCTTCAGCGAGTTGTCATTTTTTTTGTTGTTGGTGAATGGTCTTGCCTTGATATTGATAGCTGCTGACTGGTGGGTGCTAAAGGTTGAGGTGGGTATAACATTTTATTAAAATAAGACAAAGAAGTTTGCTGCATCAGTTCACTCTCCCTTTCATGAAAGATGTCTCTGTAGCATGTGGTGCTGTTTGATAGCATTTTACTCAAATAGAACTTCTTTCAAAACTAGAGTCAATCTTCTCAAACCCTGCCACTGCTGTATCAACTAAATTAATGTAATATTTTAATATCCTTGTCCTTTCAGCAATGTTCAAAGCATCTTCACCAGGAGTAGATTCTTAATCCATTCAAGTTTGATCATGAGGTTGCAGCAATTCAGTCACATCATCAAGCTCCACTTCTAATTCTATTTCTCTTGTTATTTCCACCACAAGTAACTGCAGCAGTTACTTCCTCCACTGAAGTCTTGAACCTCTGAAAGTCATCCGTGAGGGTTGGAATTAACTTCTTCCAAACTTCTGTTCATGTTGATACCTGACTTCTTCCCATGAATCACAGGTATTCTTAATTGCATCTAGAATGCTGAATCTTTTCCACAAGGTTTTCAGTTTACTTTCCCTAGATCCATGAGAAGAACTGCTATCTATGGCAGCTATTGCCATACAAAATGTGTTTCTTAAATAAGACTTGAAAGTCAAAATTAATCCTTGATTCATTGGCTGAAGAATGGATGTTGTGTTAATAGGCATGAAAACCACATTAATCTCCTTATACATCTCCATCACATCTCTTGGGTGATGAGGCACATTGTCAGTGAGCAGTAATATTTTGAAAATGATCTATCTTTCTTGGCAGTGGGTCTCAATATTGGGCTTAAAATCTTCAGTGAACTATGCTATAAAGAGATGTGCTGTCATCTAGGCTTTGTTCTTCTACTTATAGAGCACAAGCAGAGTAGATTTAGCACCCTTCTTTAGGATCCTAGGACTTTCATTACGGTAAATACACATGAGCTTTGACTTAAAGTTACTAGGTGCATTAGCCCCTAACAGGAGACATGGCATTTCCTTTGAAGCTTTGAAGCCGGCCATTGACTCCTCTCTAGCCATGAAAGTCCTAGATGGCATCTTCTTTGAATAGAAGGCTGTTTTGTCTACAATGAAAATTTGTTATTTAATGCAGTCACCCTCATCAGTTATTTCAGCTAGGTCTTCTGGATCACATGCTGGAGGTTCTCCATCAGCACTTGCTGCTTCACCTTGCACTTTTATGTTCTGGAGACAGCTTCTTTCTTTCAACCTCATGAATTATTCTCTGCTAGCTTCAAACTTTTCTTCCACAGCTTCCTCAACTCTCAGCCTCCATAGAATTGAAGAGCATTAGGGCCTTGCTCTGGATTAGGTTTAGGCTTAACAGAACGTTGTGGCTGGTTTGATCTTCTATCCAGACCACTAAAACTTTCTCCACATCAGCAATAAAACTGTTTCGCTTTCTTGTCATTGTGTGTTCACTGGAGTAATACTTTTAATTTGCTTCGAGAACATTTCCTTTGCATGTGCAACTTGGCCTGCTGTTTGGCACAGGAGACCTCGCTTCCAGCCTGTCTGGACTTTCAACATGCTTTCCTCACTAAGTTTAATCATTTCTAGCTTTTGGTTTAAAGTGAGACACATGTGACTCTTCCTTTCACTCGAACACTTAGAGGAGATTGTAGGGCTATTAACTAGCCTACGTTCAATATTGTTGTGTCCCAGGGAATAGCGAGGCCTGAGGAGAAAAGATGGGGGAATGGCTGGTTAATAGAGCAGTCAGAATACACACAACATTTATTGGTGAAGTTCACCATCTTACATGGGTGCAGCTCACGGTGCCTTGAAACAATTACAATAGTCACTTCGAAGATCACTGATAACATATCACCAAAATGGATACAATAATAATGATGAAAAAGTTTGAAATACTATCAAAATTAGCAAAATGTGACAGAGACAAGAAGCAAGCACACGTTGTTGGAAAAATGATGCTGAGAGGCTTGCTCTAGGCAGGGTTGCCACAGACCTTCCATTTGTAAAAAACACAGTGTCTGTGAAGCATAATAAAGCAACGCACAATAGAACGAGTTATGTGGCACTACATTCCTTGCCATCCCTCAGTCTTTCTTTTTTCTTTTTTGAGACGGAATCTCGTTCTGTCACCCAGGCTGGAGTGCAGTGATGTTATCTTGGCTCACTGCAGCCTCTGCCTCCCAGGTTCCAGTGATTCTCCTGCCTCAGCCTCCCGAGTAGCTGGGATTACAGGCACCCACCACCATGCCCAGCTAATTTTTGTATTTTTAGTAGAGATGAGGTTTCGCCATATTGGCCAGGCTGGTCTTGAACTCTTGACCTCAAGTGATCCACCCACCTTGGCCTCCCAAAGCGTTGGGATTACAGGCGTTAGCCACTGCATCCAGCTACATTCTTTCTTCTTTAACCAGACTTTACTTCAGCCTGTTCTAAATTACTACTTTATCCCTCTCTTCCATTGTAACTTTTTCTTTTTTGAATTTTGTTCTATCACTAGCTTAGTACTGTACTTCTTTTCCCTTGACTTATATAGGCAAGAAATTATCGGAGAAATCACTCTGGGCCAACTGCTGAATATTCAAGCTGAAGATATACAGTCCCTGCTTATTCATGTGGAGCAGCAGCTAAATGAAAACTTGACCTTGTTACAAAGAGAAAAGTCATTTACTTTTTCTTTTGATATACCATGGTCTGAAGAACTTAAGGTCTTTTCTGAAGACATGTGCATACCTTTGTCAGAACCTGTAAAGATCACCAAACCAAAGAAAAGAAAGAGACATTTTCAAGCAAGGAGCAGAAAGCTTAGTATGTATAGGGTGATATATGGGGCATGTTTGGGGCCAACCTCAGGGCCCCAAAAGGCAGGGTGGGTAAGGCCAAGGTATATGAAAGGATACTAGTGAGAATGGAGTTCAGTGGGAGAATCTTATTCACAGAAAGTGACATTCCTGAGAAAGATCTACCCCACAGCAAATACCAAGCTCTTATTTTGTTAGAATATGGATGGTGGGATGAAACCGAGCATTTCCATATCATAAAGCCTTAGTCCCCCTGCTTTGTATCTCTTATGGTAGCTCAATGAATTAGATTTTACAAAGGATCTTACTCAAGACCTCTGTGTTTCTGTTAACTGTTTTTCTCCCAATATCTCTGCAGTTAAAAAGGACCTGAGAGTTGCCAGGAAGCACAGAAAGACAAAATTGGAAATGTCTAGTTCCATGTTGATGCCTTCAGAAGATGCAGGTGAACAAAGAGAGGCCGGGAAATCAGAGCTAGTTGAAACCCAACATGTTACCTTAGAGCCAGAGCTACCACTGAGTTCTCTAAGCACAGTCAAATCCCAGGATTATGCTGAAACAGAGCAGGAGGTCATTTTACAAGCTATAGAGGCCATGGAGGCCACAGAAGCCCTGGAGGCCACAGACGCCATGGAAGCCATAGATCAAGGTAGCATGAAAGATTATGGAGATGTGATCTCTAAGCTGGAAAGAAAAGAACACATTAAAAGGCTTTGGAAAAAGTCAATGAGAAAAGGCAGAATTGCAGATGTGCTGTGGAAAGAGAAAAAAGATTTGAAGGATATTTCAGAGGTGACTACAGAAGAACCTAAGGAAGACATCGTAAAAATTGATGAGCAAGAAGAAGGTAAAAGCAAGAAAAGTGAAAAGAAGAGCCGGGGTTTGGCTGGGACTCCTGGACGTGCAGGTAGACCAGACACCAGATCTTGGAGGGATGGCATTTGTTCTTTTGTCACTTCAAGGATAGCAAGTTCCCATCCAGGAATGTTAAGGTGAAGGTGAAGCTCACTGGGTAGCTTATGCAGAGTATTTATCTTCCTTATAAATCACACACCTTTTCTCTGCTGTGAATGGAGATTTCCAACTAACATCCCAAGTGTATGTCTCTTCCCTGACCACACAGGTTGTTATTTACACAGATGGCTTCCCACAGTCAGACTTATTTTTACCTGTACACCATCTTCCTTTTTCTTCCCTTACAATCATCCAGGGCTCTTTTCCTTGCTCCAATGATGTAATTACATCTGGCTTAGAAAAGTCATGTCCTGCTTACAAAGAAAAAAAGGCCACTTGATATAGAAACATACTTTGCTGTCAAAATTACAATTGTAATAAATCAAGGATCAAAATGAAACTGAATAAGGTTTTTGAGAGGATGAGGAAATTAAAGAACAAGAAATCAGTTAGGTTGGGTAAGGATTTTAAATATAACCTACACACCCATATCTTTTTTTTTTTTTCCTGAGAGTACACATAATACCATGGTTGAAAATACAGACTCTAGAGCCTGGTATCAATTCCTGCCTTTACCACCTCCCAGCTGTGCATGACCTTCAGCAAGTCATTTAAATCCACTGGGCTTTAATATTCTCAACTGGAAAATGAGGATATAATAAGATTGTCGAATTTAATAAGGATTAAATTGGTTGAGACATATATGTGAAATGCTTAGAACACTACCTTTAATAGACACAGTGTTCACTACTAAGGTTATTATTGATATTGTTGTTTTGTTAAGAGTATACAAGAAAAGATATTTATAGGATATTCATTCCATTTAAAATGTAATGTTTATAGATGACAACTTTAAACCACAACTTTCAACCACGAATAAGTTAAAATTTGCTTAGGAAATAGAATGTGTTTGCTTCAGTTTTAAATGAATTCAATTTATCTAATCCAAAGCTATATACATTATAAAGGTTCTTTTGATAATTAGAGCAATTCAGGATCCTATGTCAAGGTAATCTGCAAGTGGATCAGATGCTATAATGGAGTATCCACAGTAATTCGGAGCATAAAGAAATAGGAAACCTGGATCCTTTTACAATGGTTATATAATATAGGCTGCTGAATCCTAATCTAGCCCTTCCTTATAAAAGAAGAAAGACAACTGTAACTATGACCAGAGAAAAGTTTGAACATCACTGAGGGACAGGGAAGATGAGTATGTCTAGTGAAGCTGTCACTTCCTACCCAACAAAGCCCAAACCACTTCTTTGGGGAAAAGGGAAAAGAAATTTAACTAGTCTCTTGAAAGACAGCCCTAAAAATCACAATGAAAAATCATCCTAGAGAGCAGATTCAAAGTTATCCTAAATTGTCTGAGGCAGAAAACATACCAAGTTACTACAGTTCTCCATCATCACATCCCAATACAAGGTCTTCTGAACATGGTCGAGACATTCCCACTCCTGCTGCGAGAAGTCTATGGCCACATCCCTGAATGTCATTGATGCCCGAAATGGCAAACCCATAGTGTTACTGGAGAAATTAAAGGAATACTTTCAAGATGGATGGAGGGGAAATAAGGACTGTATTGCAGGAAGAGAGCAATGTAACAAGCATGTTGTCTACAAATTTACAGTATGAGGGGGACTGAAGTGGAATGTATACGTATTTTTGAAAAAGACTGCTGGCATATAGAAAACTATGTGGCATACTCTAAAATACTTGCACCATTTGGGAATAAATAAAATAATAATGTTTGCCTATGAAAGTAAACAGTGAATATAAGCATAATGTCTGATTGGTATCTGCCATATAAATTTTTAAATACATATGAGTTGCTGGGGAAAATTTTTGCTTTTAAGAGGAGCAAAAAATTTAATCAGATATTTTCCCCAAATGAAGTATAAAGTCTTGATTATTATTATTTTTAATAGAGACAGGGTCTTGCTGTGTTGGCCAGGCTGGTCTTGAACTCCTGGTCTCAAGCAATGCTCCCATATCAGCCTTCCTAAGTGGTGAGATTACAGGTGTGAACACCTGGAATTACAGGGATTACAGCACCTGGCCTTGATTTTAGAAAATAGGGTTTACATAAAATTAAGAATTCTCTCAAGCATTAAATACTTCATTACATCAGATCTCACCATAAGCATTTTTCTCTTGTTTTGACAAATCCATGTATTTTGGGGGCACATGAGAATTATATCTTAGGGCAATATCAGACTTACTTGTTTACAATGCAGTTAGGATACACAACATTTTTAAGGTCTTCCCCAGTTCTAGGATTCTGTGTTCACTTGCTACTTATAATGACATTCTCTTTTGTGGCTCTCTACCATCTCTCACTGAGCACCTGGCTTGCTATATAGGTTACCAAAGATCCCCATCCGATAGTATTACATGCTTGTGTAATCTCCTTCCCTTGCACGTGGGCTGAACCAAGTGACTTGCTCTTAATAAGCAGAATAGCTACAGTGCTGAAATGTTACTTCAGCACTTTTTCTGTATTTCTCTCCCTCTCTTGATGTCTCATTTGCTCACTGATTAAAACACAGCCACCATGTTTTAAGCTATTCTATGGACAGACCCACATGACAATAAACCAAGAGCAGCTTCCAGGCAACAGCGAATGAGGAACTAAGACTGTCAGTCTGAAGCCTGTGAGAAACTGGATCCTGTTAACAACTAGTTGAGTGAGCTTAGAAAAAGATCCACCCCAAGTTAAGCCTTAAGATGACTGTAGTCCTGACCAAAACCTGGATCTCCTTGTAAGAGATCGAGAGCCAGAGAGGCAAGCTAAGCCATGTCTGGATTTCTGATCCAAAGAAACTGTGAGATAAATGTTTGCTGTCTTAAGCCATTAAGTTTTGGTCTAATTTGTTATGTAATAATAGATAACAAATGCATTGAGTTAAAGAATACTAAGGAAGAATAATGAATTATATACATGTCATCTAAATTTAGTAGGTTCCATCCAACATCAGAATAGTCCTGATATTTATTCCTGAGGGGTTTCTTGCCAAAATCCATAACCTCCAAGTTTGCAAGTCCCCAGTCATTTACTGAACCACACAAAGCATGAGATTTCACCCAATGAATGACTGAGTTTGATCATTCAATACCAAATTTTCATCTTCACTTCCTGGAAATCTCCAGTCGGTGATAATTTAAGTTTTGTTATGGATGGTCAAATACAACCATTGACTCTATCTTACCAAACTAGACTTGACCCAAAAAGCACAAATCTTTACTTAAAAGGACTTAACTCCACCACTGCCCTTGATAGAGGGCTCTTAAGACATGCTGAATAATTTGCTCAGTAATTACATGAACAAAGGAGGTTTATAATGGGACATATTGGGTGGATGCTGGGAACTGGAAGAATAAGAGCTGGAAGCATGTTATTTGATGAGCCTCTCCTGGTAGGAAATTTCAGGAAAATTAATAAAAATACCTTCATGACCTAAAAACACACACATATTTCTTTTTTTTTTTTTTGAGACCAAGTTTCGCTCTTGTCCAGGCTGGAGTGTAGTGGCACAATCTTGGCTCACTACAACCTCTGCCTCCCAGGTTCAAACGATTCTCCTGCCTCAGCCTCCTGAGTAGCTGGGATTACAGGCATCTGCCATCATGCTGGGCTGTTTTTGTATTTTTAGTAGAGACAGGGTTTCACCATGTTGGCCAGGCTGGTGTCAAACTCCTGACCTCAGGTGATCCACCCGCCTTGGCCTCCCAAAGTGTTGGGATGACAGGCCTGAGCCACCGTGCCTGGCCAACACACACATATTTCAACAAGGAGAAAAACGTGAACTTACATGGGCCATGGTTTTAGAACTGCAAGAGTAGATCAGTCCTCAGGGTTCCTCTACCAGAGAAGCACAGATCCAGAAAGCCAGAGCTGGAGGAAGAAGAAAGACCTTGAGACCAGTTTTGCATTAGTGTTCCTGACAGACCTTAAGTTACTTAATATTGCTGTGATGCTCTTCCATTCCAGGTCTCAAACTATTTCCCATCATACATAATTCGGGCAAATTGGGGTTCTGGATAAATCTATTTCCTCCCCCAAATCACAGAGGTCTCCACTGAACAAAGTCATAGAAGCGAAGCATTTCTGGGGCCAGGCACGATGGCTCACGCCTGTAATCCCAGCAACTGGGGAGGCTGAGGCAGGAAGATCGCTTGAGGTCAAGAGTTCAAGGCCAGCCTGGGCAACATAGTGAGACCCAGTCTCTACAAAATAAAAATCAGCTAGGCATGATGGCGCATGCCTATAATCCCAGCTACTTGGGAGGCTGAGGCGGTAGGATCGCTTGAGTCCAGGAGTTCAAGGCTGCAGTGAACTATGATTGTGCCAGTGCACTCCAACCTAGGTGACAGAGCAAGACCCTGTCTCTACAAAAACAAAACAACAACAAAACAGAGGCATTTCTGCATCACAGACAAACTATGATGTTAGCAGGGAGGTTTCTGGCCACTGTATTATTTTGGTGAGGCAGATGTAGACCTGAGATTGGGCAGCAGGGTCCTGGTCTGGGTAGATCCTCTTCTTTCTATTCCCATCTTAGAAGATTGAAGGCCCACATCGTCCAGAACTTCTTCTGTGGCTTTTGAACTGAGCAAAGACACTGGGGACAGAAAGGCAGCATTTAGTATTTTGGATCTGACAAAGCTTACTAGATATGGCAGACCATCGTACATGTAAAATGGGAAGCTGTGAAAAATACTTAAGGACACAGGAAATATTTCAGATATACTGTCAATAGAAAAATCAGGTTGGCCAATATAATCATTATTATAAAACATGACTATCAATACAGAGAAGCAGACGATTACTGAAATCAGTAAACAAAAACTTGGAAGGTTATATGGCCACCTATTAACACTATTTTTCTTTTTGTTTGACCTTGATTTTAATTTTTAAAGCCTTGTTCATAATTATTCCAATAATAACAATAGGTTAACTTGAAACACATGTGGGCTTTTTTAGTTTTTGTTGTTGTTGTTGTTGTTAACAGGAAGATGTTCCCCCAAAAGAAAGGGACTTGAGACAATGTCTTTGTTCTCTACATTTACGTTGTTATACTAAATGTCTTATCTTTTGTTTCCTTTGGATCCTATTATCTGAACTTACTTGATCATTTCTTCTCAGGTATGACAGAATTCTGTCTTGAAAAAATGGGGAGTAGTCCCTGAGTAATCTTTTGAATAAACTGATGGCGGTCACCACACAGCTTTATTTCAGATCTTCTGGACAAAAAGGCTTATTTTGTTTCTAAGCC
The DNA here is from genome assembly GCF_000001405.40 of Homo sapiens. NCBI lineage: Eukaryota > Metazoa > Chordata > Mammalia > Primates > Hominidae > Homo > Homo sapiens. Next base: position 37,818,842 of record NC_000019.10, on the reverse strand, counting down.
TGTCAGATAAGTCATGTCCCCTCAGACAGCTTCTGAATTATTATTATTTTGTTTTATTTTTATTTTTGAGATGGAGTCTCGATCTGTCGCCAGGCTGGAGTGCAGTAGCGGGACCTCGGCTCACTGCAAACTCCACCTCCTGGGTTCAAGCGATTCTCCTGCCTCAGCCTCCCGAGTAGTCCCAGCTACTCGGACTGGGCGCACGCCACCACGCCCAGCTAATTTTTGTATCTTTAGTAGAGATGGGGTTTCACCATGTTGGCCAGGATGGGCTCGATCTCTTGACCTCGTGATCCGCCCGCCTCCACCTCCCAAAGTCCTGGGATTACAGGTGTGAGCCACCACGCCCGGCCGAATTACTTTATTCTATTATAATACTTTCATTTTGCATCTAACCTAATTAGAAGGAAACTGTGAGCCACGAAAGTTACAGCACAAAATCTATTTATTGCCATAGATTCAACAGGATTGGTATAATTTGTTCATATCCTGTTGTGATAGACAGACTGAAGTGTATTTCCAGCGAATTCACGAGGTAGGATCACACACTGCCTAACACATATTAATCCTATTCAGATATTACCTTCACTGACAGATAATAAACATTTTAAAGGACGCAATAATGTCTTTTTAGTAACTGTATTGTCCCAAATACTACAAATTCCAGAGTCACCACAATGTAGAACATTTATGATCTTACCCTTCAAGGCTCCACTTGCAAGTACACTCTGCCGCAATCCCCAGGAGGGAATCCTATCCTAGAGTCTATCTGTTACCAGGACCCCATCTCAGGGCAATTCCTGATCCATAATTCCCATCCTAACAGCAAGTCCGTACCTTCTTGCTGGAAACTCAGGTAGGACTCAATATCTGATTTCCTGGATGGGACCATTTCTCTGTGGCAGTCATACTTGACTGAGAGGAGGACAAAGGAAACAGCAGGGAAGGGTTGCTGACGCCACGGAGCCACAGCAACGCACGCTTTGCAAAGGACACGCACTGCACATCCAGGTTACGCAAGGTCGACCACGCACCCCTCACAGTCCCACAGCTGCACCCACGTCACACAGGCACGCCCGGCCCTGTCGCCGCTGCGCGGTCTCTCACACTCCCCACCTGTCTCCCAAAGATGAGCCCCCACCTCGGCAGCTCCAGCACCCCCGGGCCTGAGGAGGCGGGAGAGAGCCCGGCCCGCGCCTGGGGCCTCCGCGCTCTGAACGCCTCCAGCAGCCCCACTCTCACAGCCCTGTAGGGTGCCACGTGGGCTGCGGGCTGGGGCTGTAGGGGCTCCCGCAGCGACCCACGCCGCCCTCTTGCTCAGGTGACTGCAGGTCACGCGCAGCGCGGAGCCAAAGGACCAAGTTTTCTCCGTCGTCAGTGGGAAACGTAGTCCACGACGGAATATCCAGACCCGCAGTCCCTGTCGGGAAATGAAGTCTAGGGGCGTTAAAACCTCTGAGAAAAGCCGTGGTGACCACGGCGACCGCCCGCCACGCCCACCGCCGAGTCCCGGAGGCTTCGGGGAGTTGCAGCCTGGGCTAGGAGTGCGCATGCGCAGAGCGGCCAACCCGTGAGGGAACGTTTCTGACGCTAGGTCAAGGGCGGTGTTCCTGTGTTCTTAGGGCCCCAGGAGGCGAGTCTGAGTGGAACCTGGCTGGGGTAGGCTGAAAGGTGACTTCGACGCTCTTCTGAGGCCTCAGACGTGTGTGATGACTGCCCTGTAGAATCAGTGCTGTGACCCCGAGTAACAACGCGCGCTTGAGTTGGTATAAACTCCTGAAGGTAGGTTTATAATGTACAATTCTGTACGCTTGTGTAATACTTTTTGTATTTTGCATGGATGGGCTTTGCTGCATTTTAAAGCCCATAGACTGGAGAAACATCTTTCATTGGTAATGCCTGGTCATGAGATCCCAAGACAGTGAAGATAAATTGTGGCCAAACGCCCAAAATCTGGGTAGAAGGTGCTGTCAGAAGAATTGAGCCAGGCGTGGTGGCTCATGCCTGTAATGCCAGCACTTTGGGAGGCGGAGGTGGGAGGATTGCTTGAGCCTGGGAGTTCGCCACCAGCATGGGCAACATAGCAAGACCCTGACTCTGCAAAAAATAAAAAGGTTCGAACCTGTGGTCCCAGCTACTCAGGAGGCTGAGGTGGGAGGACGGCTTGAGCCTGGGAAGTCGAGGCTGCAGTGCCACTCTAACCTTGGTGACAGAGGGAGACCTTGTCTTAAAAAAAAAAAAAGGAACCAAGGTTGTGTTTATATGTATTTATGTTCATGAGGACATTGAGCAAATGGGAAACATACTCATCAAAGGATGCCTATGTTTTAGTCATCAGCATTATTACGTATTTTAAATATGTAATACATACATAGAATAACAGTTCAATAGGTATGAAAAGGTTTAAGTAAAAAGATAAGCAGCCTTTCCTTCCACATAGTCCAGTCATACAGTAGCTAACCTTAGAGTCAACATTTTTATTTTGGTATATATCCTTCCAGAGAAGGTATTTTTATATAAAAATATGCACATATACACACACATACAAATGTATTTATATCCATATATAATTCCAAATATACATATATGTAACATGCGTTTATTTCGGGGGAACCAGCCCCCAATATTTCAACGTAGGTTCTTTTCCATTTTCCCTAAGTGTTAGCCGGTGTGAGAAATAAAGAGAAAGAGTACAAAGAGAGAAATTTTACAGCTAGGCCTCTAGGGGTGACATCACATATCGGCAGGTTCCGTGATGCCCCTGAGCCGCAAAACCAGCAAGTTTCTATTAGGGATTCTGGAAGGGGAGCAGATGTACGAACAGGGAGTAAGTCACAAAGATCACATGCTTCAAAGGGCAATAAAAGATCACAAGGCAAGGACAAAATTAGAATTACTGATGAGGGTCTGTGTCCCACTATGCACGCATTGTCTTGATAAACATCTTAACAGGAAACAGGATTCGAGAGCAGACAACCAGTCTGACTAGAATTTACTAGGCTGGAATTTCCCAATCCTAGTAAGCCTTAGGGTACTGTAGGAGACCAGGGCATATTTCAGTCCTTATCTCAACCACATAAGACAGACATTCCCAGAGTGGCCGTCTATAGACCTACCCCCAGGAATGCATTCCTTCCCCAGGGTATCAGTTATTAATATTCCCTGCTGGGAAAAGAATTCAGCGATATTTCTCCTACTCAAACGTCCATTTATAGGCTCCCTGCAAGAAGAAAAATATGGCTTTATTCTGCCTGACCCTGCAGGCAGTCAGACCTTATGGTTATCTCCCTTGTTCCCTGAAAATCACTGTTATTCTGTTCTTTTTCAGGGTGCACTGATTTCATATTGTTCAAACACTCATGTTTTACAATCAGATTTCATATTGTTGAAACACACGTTTTACAATTTGTACAGTTAACACAATCGTCACAGGGTCCTGAGGTGTCATACATCCTCAGCTTACAAAGATGACGGGATTAAGAGATTAAAGTAAGATGGCATAAGAAATTATAAAAGTATTAATTTGGGGAACTAATAAATGTCCATGAAATCTTCACAATTTATGTTCAGAGATTGCAGTAAAGACAGGCGTAAGAAATTATAAAAGTATTAATTTTGGGAACTGATAAATGTCCATGAAATCTTCACAATTTATGTTCTTCTGCTGTGGCTTCAGCTGGTCCCTCCGTTCAGGGTCCCAGACTTTCCACAACACATATATAAGTACATATTTCGTTTTCTTCATGTAAACATAGTTCCAAATCAGTACGTAAGGAATGTCATTTTCAACAATGCCAAAGGCCCCAGTATGGCTGCATCCTAGTTTAAGAAACATGCCTTCTCCTACTGTATATTAAGGAATTTCCTATGTTTTCTTTCTTTCTTTCTTTCTTTTTGAAACATAGTCTTGCTCTGTCTCTTAGGCTGGCACTGTTGCAATCCCAGCTCACTGCAACCTCTGCCTCCTGGGTTCAAGCTATTCTCCTGACTCAGCCCCTCTAGTAGCTGGGATTACAGGCATGCACCACCACACTTCGCTAATTTTTTTGTATTTTTTAGTGGAGACGGGGTTTCACCATGTTGGCCAGGCTGGTCTCAAACTCCTGACCTCAAGTGATCTGCTCATCTTGGCCTCTCAAAGTGCTGGGATTATAGGCAGGAGCCACTGCACCTAGCCCCTATGTTTTCTTAAAAGCAATGCTCCAAACAATATACTTGTGTAAACATTAGTTTACATATTTGTACGTTTTTATATCAATTCTCAAAAGTAGGTTTGCTATGTGCATTTTAACTTGTGACATTGACAAATTTCTCATCATGATTGTACCATTTTACATTTTCACACCAGTATCTGTTTCCTGAACCAACAAAATTCATTTGACTCAATTCTTTTTACTCTAATAGTCCATTTTCTCTTAACCTGAAAAGTCATCTCAAACAGTCCTTTTCCCTGTAAATCAAGGCTCAATAGAGATTCCACACCTTTAATTTTTTTGCCTGATCTCCCTTACAAATAGGACAACACTAAAATAATATTCATTTTAGGTTTGTATGCTTAGCAAAATGAAATTTCAGCCACAGACACTTTTCCAAAATTATTTTGAGTAGCTCAACTTCAGACCATGCATTAAACTAGACTGAGAACATGATTTAGTGCCTTATTTGAAGTTTGAGTTTTATAAAACCATGCACGATGGATACTGAAAGCTCTGAAATGGAAGTAAAAATGAGTTGGAGCCAGGCGTGGTGGCTCATGCCTGTAATCCCAGCATTTTGGGAGGCCGAGGTGGGTGGGTCAATTGAGGTCAGGAGTTTGAGACCAGCCTGGCCAACATGGTGAAACCCCAACTACTAAAAATACAAAAATTAGCCGGGCGTGGTGGCAAGCACCTGTAATCCTAGATACTTGGGAGGCTGAGTCGGGAGAATCACTTGAACCCAGGAGGCAGAGGTTGCAGTGAGCCAAGATCGTGCCACTGCACTCCAGCCTGGGTAACAGGGTGGCACTCCAGCCTGGGCAACAGAGTGAAACTCCATCTCAAAAAAAAAAAAGAATTGGAAAGTGTTTTGCCCACCTCTTTTCCCTTGTGGTGACAGAGTCTTGCCCTATGGTTCTGGAGGTATCTGACACATGACACCTGGAAACTGGACAGATGAGATTGACAGCAGCTTATTAATCACATAAAAATGCATATCCCAAAGAAAGAAAGTTAGCACCTCTGCAGGAAGATTGCACTTGGAAGTAGACTACCTCAGCAGGGGCTGTGAGAGGCAGGTTTTATAATAGTAAGAGGATGAGGCGCCCCCTGGTTTCCATGGGAGAATGAGATTATCTTGCTTCATTGGTTTCATGGGCTGGCAGGGAGATGAACTCCATTAGCTTGAGGACCAGGTGGGATATAGCTGGTCTGGCCTTCGAAGGAACTAACTGGCTGGGAGCCTTTCTTGCTGGGTAGGGGGCATATCTGATGAGAGCAGGGAAACTCATGGTTAGGCCTTTGGGACCCGGTGAGGCTCAAAGGTGTTAAGATAACAGATGAAATTTTAGGTCTTACAATATAAGAGAAAAACAGGACCTGACAAGAAATCCTTGTTCTTTAGTAATTTCCTTATAAAAATTAATAATATCTGAGAAAAATTGGAAATAAACATAAAGGAGAGACATCATCCATAATACCTTTGTACAGTAAAAACCAATGTGAATATTTTGGCTGGGTGTGGTGGCTCACACCTATAATCCCAGCACTTTGGGAGGCTGAGGCAGGTGGATCACTTGAGGTCAGGAGTTCAAGACCAGCCTGGCCAACATGGCAAAACCCTGTCTCTACTAAAAATACAAAAATTAGCTGGACGTGGTGGTAGGTGCCTGTAGTCCCAGCTACTCAGAAGGCTGAGGCAGGAGAATAACTTGAACCCGGGAGGCGGAGGTTGCGGTGAGCCGAGATTGCGCCATTGCACTCCAGCCTGGGAATGGGCAACAAGAGTGAAACTCCGTCTCAAAAAAACAACAACAGAAAAAGTGCCAGGTGGCACCACGGGCGTGGTGGCTCACGCCTGTATTCCCAGCACTTTGGGTGGCCGAGGTGGGTGGATCACGAGGTCAGGAGATGGAGACCATCCTGGCTAACACAGTGAAACCCCGTCTCTACTAAAAATACAAAAAAGTTAGCTGGGCGTGGTGGGAGGCGCCTGTAGTCCCAGCTACTTGGGAGGCTGAGGCAGGAGAATCACTTGAACTTGGGAGGCAGAGGTTGCAGTGAGCCGAGATGGCGCCACTGCACTCCAGCCTGGGTGATAGAGCAAGACTCCGTCTCAAAAAAAAAAAAAAGTAGGAGACTCTGGCTGCCCCCACTTTCTTTGTTCTGACCAAGAAACAGAATGCTTTGACCACTATGACCTGACCAGCTGCATGTTTTCAGCTTGAGCCTAAACCCAAACCAGGGCCTTGCACATTCCTAAGAACTGATTTAGTTTTAGGTTGTTGCTTGATGCACTGAAAGATTAACCATGTTGCTAAACACGTATACTAGATCCTGGGCCAAATATTTTAACTGTCATGTAAACTCCATGACCCAATCCCTTCATTAAGGACATTACATGGGTGGCACATCTCTCTTCTCGTTATCCCTCTCAGGCCGCGGCCCTGTATATTTAAATTCCCCTAGTAAACACTTTGCACTGATTGCCCGGACTTTCAGTGCTTCTGTCTTTAGGATCCCAGCTGGCTCCATCTTGGGATGGAATTCCTTCTGAGAACTTCCCTGCTGCCACTTTTGGGGTGACTCCAGCCCTGCTTAGGACAGAACAGATGTCATGAACTCTATGAGCTCTGTGACAACCCGATTATTCTGAATTTGAACAGCATAAAATTTTCAAATTATGGAAATATATTTTGTCATCATTTCTATTTTTATTTTTCTGAGACAAGGTCTTGCTTGATCACTCAGGCTGGATGGAGTTCAGTGGCACAGTCACGGCTCACTGCAGTCTCTGTCTCCTGGGCTCAATCAGTCCTCCCACCTCAGCCTCCTGAGTAGCTGGGATCATAAGCATGCACCACCACATCTGGCTAATTTTTTCATTTTTTGTAGAGACAGGGTCTCACTACATTGCCTCGGCTGGTATTGAACCCCTGAGCTCAAGCAGTCCTCCCACCTTGGCCTCACAAAGTGGCAGGATTACAGATGTCAGTCACCCTGCCCAGCTGGAAATTTATTATTTTAAACCTGCCTTCCTCGGTGATTCTTCTTGCATATGTTTCTTTGTTAGTCTAGGTTAAAATCAATATGATTAACAATGTTGAGACAGACACAGTGGCTCACGCCTGTAATCCCAGCACTTTGGGAGGCCAAGGCAGATGGATCACTGGAGCTCAGGAGTTCAAGACCACCCAGGGCAACATGGTAAAACCTCGTCTCTACTAAAAATACAAAAAAATTAACCGGGTATGGTGGCACGCACCTGTAGTCCCAGCTACTTGGGAGGCTAAGGCAGGAGAATCACTTGAGCCCCAGAGGCACAGGTTGCAGTGAGCCGAAATCATGCCACTGCACTCCAGCTTGGGCTACAGAGTGAGACTCCATCTAAAAAAAACAAAAAACAAAACAAAAAAAATTGTATTTGTTGTCATATAGCAGAGCCGAAGTAATTAATGTGTTGCTGTTAGATTTTTGTTTTAAATGTTTGGTTATCAAAAATACATTTTGAACATCATTGTACATGCATTTTATGTATTTTTACTAGTGCAGTCATAGGCTATAATGTTTCAATGAACAACAGATCACATATATGGCAGTGGTCCCATAAGATTATAATGGACCTGAAAAATTCCTGTTGCCTAGTGATGTGGTAGCTGTTATAACATCGTAGCACAATGCATTCATCACATTTGTGGTGATGCTGGTGTAAAACATACTGTGCTGCCAGTTGTATAAAAGTATATAGTTACTTTGATAATATGTACTGTACATATATAATACTTTGATAATAAATAACTATGTTACTGGCTTATGTGTTTACTATACTCTTTATCATTATTTTAGAGTGTAGTCCTGCAATTTACAAGAAAAAGTTAAGTGTAAAATAGCCTCAGGCATGTCCTTCAGGAGGGATTCCAGAGGCATTGTTATAGACGATGACAGCTCTGTGTGTGTTATTGCCACTGAAGACCTTCCATGGGACGCGATGTGGAGCTGGAAGTCAGTGATATTGATGATCCTGACACAGTCCTAGGATAAGGTGTGTGTTTGTGTCTCAGCTTTTACCAAAAAAGTTCAAAAAGCAAAAAAAGATTTAAAAATAGAAAAAGGTATATGAATAAGGACTTAAAAGAAAATATTTTTATACAGCTGTATAATGTGTGTTTTAATCTGTCTTATTACAAAAGTCAAAAAGTAAAAATTAAGTTGCAAGTTATAGTAGGCTAAGATTCTTATTGGAGAAAAACATTATTGTATAAATTTAGTGTAGCCCAAGTGTACAGTGTTTACATGAAGTCTGCAGTAGTGTATAGAAATATTTTAGGTCTTCACGTTCACTCACCACTGAATGGCTCACTTAGAGCAACTTCCAGTCCTGTAAGCTTCATTCATGATAAGTGCCCTACATAGGTGTACCATTTTTTATCTTTTATACTATCTTTTTTTTTTTTTTTCTCTTGAGACAGAGTCTCGCTCTGTTGCCCAGGCTGGAGTGCAGGGGCACAATCTCGGCCCACTGCAGCCTCTGCCTCCCGGGCTCAAGTGACCCTCCCACCTCAGCCTCCTGAGTAGCTGGGACCATGGGCGCCTGCCACCAGGCCCGGTTAATTTTTCTGTTTTTTGTAGAAATGGGGTTTTGCCATGTCACCTAGGCTGGTCCTGAACTCCCGCATTCAAGCAACCCCCCTGCCTCAGCTTCCCAAAGTGCTGGGATTACAGGCATGAGCCACCACACCCAGGCTGTGTTTTTCTGTTTTGTTTTTTGAGATGGGATCTCATTATGTTGCCCAGCCTGAACTTGAACTCCTGGCTCAAGCAATCCTCCAGAGTGGCTGGGATTGCAGGTGTGCACCAGCACACTTGGCTATATACTATATTTCTACTGATCCTTTTCTCTGTTTAGATATGTTTAGACACACAAATACCATTGTGTTACAGTTGGCTACGGTATTCACTACAGTAACATGCCGTATAGGTTTGTAGCCTAGGAGCAATAGGCTATACCATGTAGCCTGGATGTGTGTGTAATCGGCTATACCAAAGGTTTAAGTACATTCTGTGATGTCTGCACAGTGACAAAATTGCCTAACCACACATTTCTCAGAGTGTATCCCTGTTGCTAAGTGAGGCGTAATTGCATTTCCTTAAGCGAATTCCTAGAAGTATAATTTGCCTACAGGTATAAGTGCTTATAGTGTAACAGACCTTGCAATCATAGCATTTGAGGTGGTAGACTAAAATGACATAGTTGCTAAGGTGTCTTTTATTCTAGTAAAATAAACTCTGACTAGGAATCAATGTATTAAGGACCACTATCCAGATTCAGGTGATGTGACAGAAATCTTAGAGGAGGTTCAGCTATGAGGAAACTGAAGGAAACACAAGTAATTCAGCAAAAACAATCCAAATTTATTGTTTTTCTGTAAGATCAAGTAGAGATGGTTTTATTTTTTATTTTTTATTTTTTATTTTTATTTTTATTTTTTTTTTTTGAGATGGAGTCTTGCTCTGTTGCCCAGGCTGGAGTGCAGTGATGCGATCTCGGCTCACTGCAAGCTCCGCTCCCCAGGGTTCACGCCATTTTCCTGCCTCAGCCTCCCGAGTAGCTGGGACTACAGGCGCCTGCCACCTCACCCGGCTAATTTTTTGTATTTTTAGTGGAGATGGGGTTTCACCGTGTTAGCCAGGATGGTCTCGATCTCCTGACCTCGTGATCCGCCCGCCTCGGCCTCCCAAAGTGCTGGGATTACAGGCGTGAGCCACCGCGCCCAGCCGAGATGGTTTTAAAAAGTGAACGTTCTGCTTTTGAGAGTGTAGGTTTCCGCTTAAAACACACACACAAAAGTTTACATACATATATTTCAAGTAAGGCATGGCAACTGACCAAAAATTATGATATATTTAACCAAAATACCCCAAGATCAAAACAAAAAGATAAACGCTGTTAATATACGGGTGTATGATATTCTAGACTTTTTCAGTCTAGTTATATATAATGGCCTGAATCCTATATTGAAATATGTGTATGTTTTACAAATAATATCATGTTCTACATGTGGCTTGTAACCTGATTTTTTTCAAAAATAATATTTCTGAAATATTTTTTATATCCTTAAGATTTTTCCCTATCTATCATTTATTACATGGGTACTTTAGTAATCAGGTTCTCTGAAATAAGAATGCCCAAAACTGCCTGACTGTGCAGGAAAGGGTTACCTCAGCAGGCCTGTGGTGTTCAACCCTTATACATTCCAATGAAAAGCCTGTGTTCAGGAGGACTGGCCCTTCACTGGCCCCTGGGAGATAATCTCTGAGTACTTGGACTATCGTGCTTCCTATGCTGTATCACTGTCACCACAAAGTTTATGCAAAAAATGTGACTTATGATGAATGGCTATTTTGTGTGCCCAAGGCCCATGCTATATGAGCTTGACTTCTGGAAGGCTGGAGACTGAGTAAATTCAGGAGTTAAGTTCAGTCACCCAGGCACCATGGACACCAGCATTCAGACGAGATTACCTGTTTGGCACTACTTTGCACATGCTGGCACACACCATGGTGGGAAGAATTAAGTGCTGTTGCCATGCAATTCTAATGGAAGGGGAAAACTGGAAGCTTGTGCCTCGTCTCTCCTGGACTTTGTCCAGTGCCTTCTCCCATTGTTCATTGTTGCCTGCATCCTTCGCCTTGAGTTTGAGTATGGCAGCTCTTCTGGATCCCAGGAGTCCTTCCAGCAAATCATTGAGCCTGAGTGGTCCTGGAGACCAGTGGCACACCTTTGTTCAAGATAATGGTTCACTTCTCAATCAATAAAAATGTACTTGTAGACGCATTCATTGCTTTTCACTGGTGGGAACAAAACTGTTTGAAACGGTACTATTTTGTTTACTAATCACTAGGCTCTAATTCTTCTGTTGTATTAACTGTTGCTTTGTATTGGCTTAGGGTTTATCAAGTTTATCAACGCCAGCTCATTAACAGGTATTGAATGGGTTCTGGGGATAGAGTGGTGAACACAAATTCTGGCCTTTACTCTTCGTTTCCTGTGTGCATTGAAGGGTATTAAATTCCCAAAAAGGTCTGGCAATATCCCCATGTTCTAATATACAGGCCTTTAATTATTATTACTTTCTGAAGAGGCCCTGATTTCCATTTTTAATTCCATATTTAATTAAGGATTTAATTAATTATAGATTTCTAAATTATAGATTTCTAAAGATTTCTAAAAGGATGTTGCTTTTAGATTTCTAAAAGGATTATAGATTTCTAAAAGGATGTGACACAATATCCCTGAGATTAATAACTGTAAAATGGCTCTTTATAATGGGGCTCTATTCTGGAGAGATCAAGCAATCACCACTATAACCAAGTGATGACACTTAGCATCCTTAGTCCTGGAAAAAATCAAACATTATACGCTTTTTAGTGTGCACATCATCTGTGACATATTCTTGCTGAAAATTCTTAATCATAACCTAGTAAACCTCTTGGTTTAACTTCAAATATACTAGAACTATGAGGACTAAGATAAAGAAAAATAAGACTTCACAATGAAACAATTTTTAAAATCCACAGTTGGGTGTGATGGCTCATGCCTGTAATCCACTTTGGGAGGCTGAGGTGGGAAGATCCCCTGAGCCCAGTAGTTCCAGACCAGCATGGGCAACATAGAGAGACCCTGTCTCCACAAAAAAATAAAGTTAACCAGGTATGGTGGCACACACCTGTGGTCCCAGTTATTTGGGAGGCTGAGGTGGGAGGATTGCTTAAGTCCAGGAGGTCAAGGCTGCAGTTAGCTGTGATTGCACCATGGCGCTCCATCCTGGGTGACAGAGCGAGACCCTGTCTCAAACGAAAAAACAAAACCACACACACACAAAACAACCCAGAATGTTCAGCATTCTATTAGACAACTTTCCTGTGGTCTTCAAAAAGCCAAACTCATGAAAAAAAAAAAACAGTAGAGATATTGTTCTAAATGAGTTGGCAAATGTTCTCTAGAAAGGTCATGATATTATATACAGTAGGTTTTGTGACCATTGCAAATGGTCTCATTGCAATGACATCTCTGACGTGGTAGTAAGAAGAAAACATGTAAACAAGTGAATGTGGTAGTGTTGCAATAAAACTACAAAATCCACTGGCAGGTTGCAATTAGCCTGTAGGCCATAGTTTTCCAGCCACTATTCTAAATTAAAAGTGAGTAACGCTTTATCATAAAGGCATAAACTAGAGCAAATACCAGTTTGAAAATGACCAAAAAGATATAACTTGGATAAATTTTCAAAATTTGAATACAGGTTAGGCATTAGAATATGAAATTATTATTATTATTATTTTTGAGACAGAGTCTCGCTCTGTTGCCCAGGCTGGAGTGCAGTGGCGCGATCTCGGCTTGCTGCGAGCTCCGCCTCCCGGGTTCACGCCATTCTCCTGCCTCAGCCTCCCAAGTAGCTGGGACTACAGGCGCCCGCCGCCACACCCAGCTAATTTTTTGTATTTTTAGTAGAGACGGGGTTTCACCGTGTTAGCCAGGATGGTCTCTATCTCCTGACCTCGTGATCTGCCTGCCTTGGCATCCCAAAGTGCTGGGATTACAGGCTTGAGCCACCGCACCCGGCCAAAATTATTATTTTTCTTATGTAATTAGAAATCTGTCTCTTGGCCGGGCACGGTGGCTCATACCTGTAATCCCAGCACTTTGGGAGGCTGAGGCAGGTGGATCACCTAAAGTTGGGAGTTCAAGACGAGCCTGACCAACATGGCAAAACCCCGTCTCTACTAAAAATACAAATTTAGCCAGGCATGGTGGCTCATGCCTGTAATCTCAGCTACTCAGGAGGCTGAGGCAGGAGAATCGCTTGAACCCGGGAGGCAGAGGTTGCCGTGAGCCGAGATCGTGCCATTGCACTCCAGCCTGGGCAACAAGAGCAAAACTCCGCCTAAAAAAAAAAAGCAAAAAAAAAGAAATCTGTCTCTTTGGGGGATTCATTTTGATATATTTAAAACTGAAACATCATGATGTTTACAACTGTCCAATGATGCAGCAAAATATACAAAACAGAAAGGTCATATGACATAATATTAACATATATTTGCTGTACTGTTTTTCAGCTTTTCTTTATGTTTCTAATTTTTCATAAATTTGGGGGAAATGGCAAAATAGATATCCTTTGGCCAATTTCTAATCAATTTTGAAATGTGGAAGTGGAATGTAAATCATTGGCTAATTTAACATTTTTTTACACTTTCTAAAAGTATAAATATAAATTTCATTCAAGGATTAAGTGTTTGATTCACCTTAAGACCTCAGAATGAAGATGCTCTCAGGTTTTTTACATTCTATTAGAGTAGTTCAGAAAGAAAAAATTCACATTAAAAAAGGGGTAAGCAGTTACATGAAATGTTCCTAAATTCTTAGACCCATAAGAGTTTCATCTCAAAACATAAATGGTATTAGAAACAGTCGCTAATGTTTATCGAACATGAACTATTATGTCAAAAACTTTCCCATGTTTTCCACATAAATGAACTGATTTAGTTCTAACAGCCACTATAATGTAGATATTATTAGTATTGCCATATACGAATGAGAAAAAACAAGGAGTGGAAAGACAATTAGAATGGTTAAGATCATACAAAGGCTAAACGCTTTCCTACGTCTGTCTGTTACATTAGCAGAGGTTTTCTGTGATATGAATTTACTCAAGTTTAATAATGATTTGTGCTGGAAAGCTTTTATACATAAAACAAATAAACAAGGTTTTGTGTGTTCTCTTAATATTCCTTTAGTATAAATATTCTGAGAATCCATAAATAGTGTTGGGAAAGGCCGTCATGCAGTCTTTCAGCCCTCACATGGCCACATAAGACTGAGCCTTGGGCCTGGAACACTTCCCTACCATGAGATTCAAAAGCCCTCATAGCCTGTGCTGGGATTATTGACTTGTGTGGGACTGTATTTCCCTGTTTTGGACTTATTGTATACTCTTTTGTTCTGCTTAAGCACATCTGTCAGTGGCCTTGAAGCACATTCCCAGCATTATGTATTTCAGACCCGAGGCGGGGAAGGGATGAAGTCCTGTCACTGCAGCACAAAGTGGGGTGTGTGCAGTTGCTAGTGTCTTCCATATCAGCTGCACAGTGGAACTGCTGGCTAGGGGGACTGACACATTGCAAGCGGCACGATCTTATGCACTCTTTCTCCTCTCTAGCTTTAAGTAAATGCTGAACCACTTGAGCCTGGTGTGCTTGTAGTCTGTCTTCCACAACCTCAAACCATGTACCAGTCTCTTCCCTGGGTGGCACTTACCTGCCTTTTAACCTTGGCTGCACAGTCTGGCCACAGATTGAACAGTGAAACATAGAGGAATGCCATAAAATACTTTCTTTTATAAAATACAACATAAATACTCTGAACACTTGAGTCATAAATTAAAAACTTCAAATATTTATATTCCAAAAGAGTTCATACCAGTATAGATTATTTTACGTCCTGTAAAAACTGATCCATGCATAAAAGCCTTCTCACATTTTCTTCATTCAACTGTTTCTCAGTGGTATAATTCATTCATATACTGTGCATTGTCTATTATATGTATATGCCATAAAGTATTTCACTGGTATGAATTCTGTGATATACTTGAAGGATTGAACTAAACCTAAAGGACTTCCCACATTTGTCACATTCAAAGGGTTTCTCACCAGTATGCATGCTCTGATGTACTTTGAGACTTGAACTGAGCCTAAAGGACTTTCCACATTTGTTACATTGAAAGGGTCTCTCACCACTGTGAATACTCTCATGCTGACTCAGTCGTCCATACACACTAAAAGCCTTCCCACACTCCTTACATTCATAGGGTTTCTCCCCAGTATGAAATCTATGATGTATAGTAAGTTGATGGTTACTCCTAAAAGCTTTCCCACACTCTTTACATTCACGGGGTTTCTCACCAGTATGAATTCTTTCACGTCTAACAAGATGTGACGTGTGACTAAAGGCGTTCCCACATTCTTTACATTTGTAGGGTTTTTCACCAGTATGAATTCTGTCATGTTGTGCCAGGTTTGAGGCTTGACTGAAGGCCTTCCCACATTCCTTACATTCATAGGGTTTCTCACCAGTATGAATTCTCTGATGTTTCCTAAGTCTTCCAACTTCACTAAAGGCCTTCCCACATTCATGACACACATAGGATTTCTCACCAGTATGAACTCTTCCATGTTGAGCAAGGTTTGTGGCACGACTGAAGGCCTTCCCACATTCTTCACATTCATAGGGTTTCTCACCAGTATGAATTCTCTGATGTACTCTAAGGTCTGTAAGACGACTAAAGGTTGTCCCACAGTCTTCACATTGATAGGGTTTCTCACCAGTGTGAATTCTTTTGTGGATTCTAAGGTCTGTATGATGACTTCCCACATTCCTGGCAATCACAGGCCTTCCCACATTCCTGGCAATCACAGGGTTTCTCACCAGTGTGAATTACTTGATGTACTCTAAGGTCTGTATGACGACCAAAGGCCTTCCACATTGCTTACATTCATAGGGTTTCTCTCCATATTGAATTATCTGATGGAGAGTAAGAAATGAATGTTTTCTATAAATGTACATGTTCCCGTAGTTGATTATTTCATACCTCGAATCCAAATCTAAAAGAAATAAGAAAAACACTTTGTTTCCTTGACCAGAAAAAGTAAATGTTGTATGGTAGAATTAAGAGAAAATTGATAATCTCATCTATTAGATATGATATAAAGAACTCTAAAATACAGTTATATGGACAGAGGGTTCTAAAAGATGGTAGAGCAGGAAGCACTAGGAATGTGTCATCCCACCTAGACAACAATTGTACTGGCAGAATCTACCTTATGTGACCATTTTGGAACCTGAATATATTCAAAGCTTGTAACTTCCAGGGAAAGGCATGGATGGCAAACTGTGGTTAATTTCTGCTAATTTCAGCTCCAGGCAGCAACTCATCCCCCAGCCATGGGGCAAGCAGCCATGCATATCTGGCAGCTTAAGGGAGCCAGGGTGGGCAGCAAGGAACCTGTCCTCCAAAACTTGGGTATCTGATTTCTCATTGCTATTTCTGATCTTGGCAGTGCAGACAGATTAGCAGTCTGCCATTGCTGCACCCTTCTGCTCCAGTATTCCAAGCCCCTCTTGCTCCAGCTGAAGCTACTTCCAGGTGATTTAAAGATCCAATTCCCTTCTTTCCTCTTTGTTTTTCTCTTTTTTCCCTTCTGGGGGCCAGACATTCAAACTCTAGGATGGGGTCCCCAACCCATAGTACTGGTCTGTGGCCTGTTAGGAACTGGACCACACAGCAGGAGGTGAGCAGCGGGCGAGCAAGTGAAGCTTCATCTGTATTTCCAGCTGCTCTCCATTGTTCACATGACCGCCTGAGCTCTGCTTCCTGTCTGATCAGCGGTGGCATTAGATTCTCATAGGAGCATGAACCCTACTGTGAACTGTGCATGTGGGGGGTCTAGGTTATGCACTCCTTATGAGAATCTAATGCCTGATGATCTGTCACTGTTTCCCATCACCCCCAGATGGGACCATCTAGTTATGGGAAAACAAGCTCAGGGTGCCCACTGATTCTACATTATGGTGAGTTTAATAATTATTTCATTATATATTACTATGTAATAATAATAGAAATAAAGTACACAATAAATTTGACACACTTGACTCATCCTGATATCACCCCACCCCCTCCCCGGGCCCATGGAAAAACTATCTTCCAAAAACCAGTCCCTGGTGCCAAAAAGATTGGGGACTACTGACCTAGGAGATTTTATTAAAAACCAGACACACCGGGGAATTTAGAGAGTCACGGTGCATGCCCAGAAAAGGATGCAGGCTTCAAGAAGATCTGAGAAGACTTTAAGCTTACATCTCCGGGTAATCCATGACACAGGGAGCCTACAATGATCAAAAAACAAAAAAATTCACAAACACCAAAAAAGGAAGAACCTGATTTCCAGAGTTACTATATTATTGGAGTCAAATATCTAGCTTTCAACAACAACAACAATCACAAGGCACACAAATAAATAAGAAAGGCTCATTCAAAGTACAAAAACCATCAAGCAGACCAGCATATGCTCTGTAGAAATTTCAGTAGGAAAAGAGAAAGGACCAGAGAGATTATTTCAAAAATTAATGCCTAAAATTAATGCCTAAAACTTCCCAAATTTGATGAAAGATATGAATGTAAACATCCAAGATGCTTAATGAACTCCAATTAAGATGAACTCAAAGACATCCATTCCAAGACACATCAAACTGTTGAAAGCCAAGGCAGAGAGATTCCTGAAAGCAGCAAGAGAGAAGAAACCAACTCATCACATTCAAGGGATGCTCAATAAGATGATCAGTAGATTTCTCATAAAAAAACTTTGGGCCACACAGCATTGGTGGAGACATGGCTGGTTTGGAGCAGGAGCAGCTTGGCAGGCTGGCTTGACAGGGCGGCTGGAGCTGCAGCCTCTGGGTACAGGGTCTTAGAGCACGTCTCCTGCAGATAAGGGAGGCCTACTATATAACGTTTCTTTCTTTTTTCTTTAATTATAAAGCATTCTCCTTTTGAAATATAACAATTTGCCACAAATATCACTTCAGGTATAAAGATATTAAGATACCTTTATAGTAGATAAAAAGTTAACTAATTCTTTGTTAAGAGTTATCTTCCATTATATAAGCATTTAAGATATTAAAGTACTTTTGCAACCAAAAATAATGCTTCTGTAAATATTCTTTTACTTCTATCTTTATGAGATTTTACTTCTGCTGAAACAGATTGCACGAGGAAACAAACGTATGCGTATATAATGTAATATATATGTATATACAATTTAATATATACACATACATACAATAACATATACAATTTTTTGTTTTTTGAGATGGAGTTTCGCTCTGTCTCCCAGGCTGAAGTGCAGTGGCGCTATCTCAGCTCACTGCAACCCCCGCCTCTCGGGTTCATGCGATTCTCCTGCCTCAGCCTCCCGAGTAGCTGGGATTACAGGCATCTGCCACCGTGTCCAGCTAACTTTGTCTTTTTAGTGGAGATGGGTTTTCACCATGTTGGCCAGGCTGGTCGCGAACTCCTGACCTCAAGTGATTCACCCACCTTGGCCTCCAAAAGTGCTAGAATTACAGGCGTGAGCCACCGTGCCGAGCCTAACATATACAATTTAATTTATACAAAAAAAATAACAGGTTGGGCGCAGTGGCTCACTCCTGTATTCCTAGCACTTTGGGGAGCTGAGGTGGGGGATTCCTTGAACCCGGGAGTTTGAGACCAGCCTGGGCAACACGATGAAACCCCCTCTGTACAAAAAACACAAAAATTAGCTGGGTGTGGTGGCACGTGCCTGTGGACCCAGCTACTCAGGATACTGAGGTGGGGGGATAGCTGGAGCCTGGGTGGTCAAGGCTGCAGTGAGTTGTGATCACGCCAGTGCACTCCAGCTCAAGTGACAGAGTGAGACCTGTCTCAGACAAAAACAAAAACAAACCAAATAAAATGTCTACGCACTACACACTCGATTTCTTTCCGGAGGTTTATATAACACTATACTTTCACCAGCAATATATGAGACTACTCATTTCCTACATACTCACTATCACTTGTGTGCAGTCAAGGAAACTTAGTAGGCCTGAATTGTCCAAACCCCGCACACTCCAAAGAAAGGTTTGACTCTAGCCCAGCTCCTGGAAAATAACCTCTAACTCCTTGGAATATCCTGCCTATATAGTCCATGTTAACAATGTGATTTATTGTGGGGACCTTGGACCATGCAGTGTCAGCTTGACCTTGGGAAGGGTGGAGACAGAGAAACTAAGGTCATCCAAATGGGTGCTCTTGTCCATGTGACCAACCTCCAGTAAAACCCTCAACACCAAGGCTCAGGTAAGCTTTTTGTTGGGGAGTATTTTCTGTACTTTCTGCCACATATCGCTGGGTGAATTAAGCACTGTCCACATGATGCCGCTGGGAGAGGACAACTGGAAGCTTGCGCTTGGTCTCTCCTCAACTCTGCCCTATGCACCTTTTTCTGCTGCTGATTTTAATCTGTACCTTTTTGTTGTAATAAACTATAACCATGAGTATAACAGCTTGACTCAGTTTTGTGAGTTCTTCTAATTAATCACTGAACCTTTGGGACCCCAGAACACAACTTTGTTTCTTCTTTAATTGAATTTTACATGTTATGTAAGAAACCTATGTGCATCATTGAAAAATCATACACTAAGAAAGAGCTTTCCATGCAGTCTACTCCCCCACCTTATTTCTCCAATGCTCCCAGGTCTACTCCCTGAATAATCAAATGTTTAAATTTTCTAAACTATTTCTAATCTATATATCTGAGTGATTATCTCTGTGTTATATAATAGGTAGATCCTGCTCCTTCTCAATATATCAACTTGATATATTACCTGATGACTTCCTGTTCTCACAGGTGATGACTTGGCTGACACTCACCCCAGTGCCTGGACCACTTTCCAAATACGGTACTCTCACTCTTTTTTTTCTTTCTTTCCTTCCTTTCCTTCTTCCTTTCCTTTCCTTTCTTTTTCTTTCCCTCTCTCTCTCTTTCTTCCTTTCGACGGAGTCTTGCTCTGTCACCGAGGCTAGAGTGCGATCTTGGCTCACTGCAACCTCCACCTCCCGGGTTCAAGTGATTCTCCTGCCTCAGCCTCCCGAGTAGCTGGGATTACGGGTGCCTGCCACCATGCCCGCTAATTTTTGTATTTTTAGTAGAGATGGGGTTTCACCATCTTGGCCAGGCTGGTCTTGAACTCCTGGCCTCGTGATCCACCCACCTCGGCCTCCCAAAGTGCTGGGATTACATTCATTAACCACCATGCCTGGCCACTCTATTTTCAATGGCTCTGTTGGTTACATTTCACAACGTTCAGCAATTAGACTTATACCTCATTTATTTATTTATTTTTAATTTTTTCTATTTTTAGGTTTAACGGATACATGTGCAGGCTTGTTATATGGGTAAATTGCATATCACTGGGGTTTGGTGTACAAATGATATCATCACCCAGGTAGTGACCACAGTACCCAATAGTTTTTTGATCCATAGCCTCATGCCACCCTTCCCACTCAAGCAGGCCTCAGTGTCTGTTGTTCCCATCTCTGTGTCCATGTGTACTCAATGTTTAGCTCCCACTTATAAGTGAGAACATAGGGTATTTGGTTTCCTGATGCTGCATTAATTCGTTTAGGATAATGGCCTCCAGCTGCATTCATGTTGCTGCAAAGGACATGATTTATTTTTTTTACGCCTGTGTAGTATTCCGTGGTGTATATGTACCACATTTTCTTTATTCAGTCCACTGCTGATAGGCATCACATATGCAGCTTCAAACTATACTACAAGACTACAGTAACCAAAACAGCATGGTACTGGTACAAAAACAGACACATAGACCAAAGGAACAGGTTAGAGAACCCAGAAATAAAGCCACACACCTACAACCATCTGATCTTCGACAAAGTCAACAAAAATGAGCAATGGGGAAAGGACTCCCTATTCAATAAATGGTGCTGGGATAACTGGCTAGCCATATGCAGAAGATTCAAGCTGGGCCCCTTACCTTTCACCATATACAAAAATTAACTCAAAATGGATTAAAGATTTAAATACAAGACATCAAACTATAAAAATCCTGGAAGACAACCTAGGAAATACTCTTCTCAACACGGGCCTTGGCAAGGAATTTTTGGCTGAGTTTCCAAAAAAGCAGCAAAGACAAAAATAGACAAGTGATACCTAATTAAACTAAAAGCTTTAACACAACAAGACAAACTACCAACAGAGCAAACAGACAACCTACAGAATGGGAGAAGATACTCACGAACTATGTATCCAACAAAGGCCTAATATCCACAATCTACAGAGAACATAAACAAATGGAACTTAAATGTAAACAGAACTCTTACTACGTAGCAAGTTCTATATGCATAAGCCTGTCTTTATTCTTTTTTTTTTTTTTTTGAGACGGAGTCTCAATCTGTGGCCCAGGCTACAGCACAGTGGCACGATCTAGGCTCACTGCAACCTCCATCTCCCAGGTTCAAATGATTCTCCTTCTGCCCTAGCTTTCCAAGTAGTTGGGATTATAGGCGTGCACCTTCATGCACGGCTAATTTTTGTATTTTTAGTACAGATAGGGTTTCACTATGTTGGCCAGGCTGATCTTGAACTCCTGACCTCAGGTGATCCACCCGCCTCGGCCTCCCAAAGTGCTGGGATTACAGGCATGAGCCACTATGCCCAGCCTCTTTGTTCTTATTTGGTTGGCCTTTGTTTATTTATACAAAGAGCAATAACTGATATTCCCCATAAATCGTGGCTTTGAAAATGGTCACAGGAACTTATGACACTTGGAAGAACTTTGCATTTATGTTAGTGGAGTAGTGGCAGTATATGGGGCAGGAACATTTTGTTGTAGATGATGATGCTAAATTTAATTGTGGAAGAAAGGTGTATGTTAATGATGAGATGTCAAAAGATACAAGATAAGGGCCGGGTGCAATGGCTCATGCCTGTAATCCCAGCACTTTGGGAGGCCGAGGCAGGCGAATCATGAGGTCAGGAGTTCGAGACCAGCCTGACCAACATGGTGAAACCCCGTCTCCACTACAAATACAATGATTAGCTGGGCGTGGTGGAGCACACCTGTAATCCAAGCTGCTCGAGAGACTGAGGCAGGAGAATCGCTTGAACCTGGGAGGCAGAAGTTGCAGTGAGCCGAGATCATGCCATGGAACTCCAGAATGGGCGACAGAGCAAGACTCTATCTCAAAAAACAAAACAAAAAGATACAAGATAGGAGGCATTTATTCTGTTTTTCTGACCACTCAGTACCTTTTGAACATTTTTAACTTTTTTTTCTGAGACAGGGGCTCACTCTGTTGCCCAGGCTTGAGTGCAGTGGTGCTGTCGCAGCTCACTGCAGCCTGAGACTCCTGGGCTCAAGTGAGTACAGTCCCACAGTTGCCTGAGAAACTAGTCCCTGAGGCTTGGCAATGCAGGAGCCCTCCGTTCCGGTGCTTGGGTGTGAGGACCCTGAGGCTCTGGCTTGACCTCTCCAGGGTGTTGATGGGATGGTCTCCGGATGCCATGAGTGGCGGAGTTAGGACCAGGATGATGAAACCACAGGCAGAATCCGGGAGGAGCAGCGTGGCATCCCAGCCTCAGGCCTGCCCGGACGGTGTTCGGGTGAGTCTCCCCAAAAGTCATGCCCTCCATGACCTCGAGGACAGGTCTGCCTGTGTGCCTGTGGGCTGCTCTCTCACCCGAGAGTCGTTCTCCTGGAGAGCGGAACCCCGCAGCCTATATGGGTTCTATAGGCAAGCGCTCCCATGCCCAGCTAATTTTTGTATTTTTTGTAGAGACAGGGTTTCACCATGTTGCCCAGGCTGGTCTCAAACTCCTGGGCTCAAGCGATCTACCCACCTCAGCCTCCCAAAGTGCTGGGATTTTACAGACATGAGCCCAGCATAAATTATTAATTCTGAGAGGATATCTTACTTCATAATTTGTGACGTCTTGAGTGTTAAATGATGTTTTTAGTATCTAAAAGGCGTAAATACGTAGTTGTTTTTCACCTCAGGTGGTCCCTGGTACTTCCCTATCCTCCTAAGATACACAGATATATGGAAACCCACGTCAAAAGACAAAGTTACAATAAATTGACTTTAGATCTCATGGGCTTTTATTTGGGATTCACAAACGGGGCAGCCTCCATTGTATAAAATAGAATGAGAGCCCTTGCCCAATGCAGTGGGTTTTGTGTAAGGTGGGAACAAATAACAGAACTAGAGAAAAAAGAACTGAGGCCTGGTGACGGACGTCTGTAGTCCCAGCTACTTGGGAGGCTGAGGCGGGAGGAACGCTTGAGCCCGGGAGTTTGAAGCTGCAGTGAGCCATAACCACTCCACTGCATTCTAACCTGGGTGACAGAGTGAGACCCTGTCTTTAAAAAAAAGTTTTTTAAATTAAAAATAAGAAAGGAGTGGTGAACATCAATTATTTAGACTGGAATCTCTTGTTTTCAGGAAAAACAGGTTTTTTTTGAGATTTATCTGCTCCCTTAAAGTTTCAGTTTGATAATGTGGCATTTAGCATGAGTGACTTCATTTTGGTTTGGTGTGGTCTGTTGGAGCCTAGTGCAGAAGCTCAGTCCAAAGCAATACCATACCATAATTTTGGTTTAACAGCAACAATTGAGGTAGATTCCATTTTCGAACTAACAGTTGGAGTCTTTGTGTCTCTATTAATTCTCTTCTGCAATGACAAAACTACACACAAATGTTCATACATGAAAATTAGAAACACATACACCAAAATATGTAAAGTGATTTTCTCTGGGCAGGGGGGATTTGGGGTTATTCTTTCTTCTTCATAACTTCCTTAGGTAATGAAATTTTTGCAATGAGCCTGCCTTAATTCCATCATTACAAATAGAACATCAATACATTCCAAAGCATTAAACTTTTTAGAAGAGGGTACATTTTTGTCATGAAAAGAAACCTAAGTACTAGGACTAGAATTAAAAAGTATCAACGTGTCATGTAACATGTGTCCTCTTGAATAGCCTTTAGCTGTGCCACTTCTACATAATTAGAAACATTTCACTATTAAGATTCTTCCCTTAATGAACAGGGAAATGGTCTTTGCGCATTAAATGAGAAAAGATACAGAAAACAGACCACATGATTTGGGTACACATTAGATGTTCAATAAATGTGGCCTCTCCCCTTCTATTCTTCTCTGAAAAACCAATTGAATGGTCATATTAGATACAATCCTTGCAAAAGGTTTTGGAAACTTCCATTTTTAAAAAATGGGATGCATATACAGTTTTTGAGAACTGTGATCTACAACTGTGAATACTGTTTAAGGTTAGATCACAGTCATTTTTCCGTTAATGACAAATTCTTATTATTTTTTGTTTCCCTGATATCTGGTATGCAGCTAATAACAAATTCTTTATAAACATAAATTTTATTATCAGTATAATGTCCAATCCCATGGATGTTGTATGATTTTCTTAACCATTCTCATAATCTTGATCATTAGTTTTCTGCAAAACCATTCAAAGGTATAACACTCTGATTCCAGGTCTAAAGCTCAAGTCTAAATAATTTGGAAGATGGAACCCTGGAAAAATGCAAATTAACAAACATGTATATAAAGTTTCAGGGGGATTGTGGTGCCCTGTATGCCCGTAAAAACAGACAATGGACCCAATGACTAAGAATTCCTATTTTGGGGCACTTAAATTTCCGGCTCACTTCCTTCATTTGCACGAACACATCACAACTGAGTTCATATTCCTATTGCTTTTGATCTACAGAAATCCAAAACGGAACGATCCAAAAACTCCTCGAAATAGTGTTTCTGTTTCCCCCTCCAAGGCTACAGGTGCATAATTTCATACACATAACCAGAAGGAAGTATGGTAGGTGAAATCTCTAGTCATCCTTCACTGCAGGTTCTTAGAGTCAGAATTCAAGAAGGCCGTGATTCTTTTTTTTTTTTTCCAGGATCTTTAACTTTATTAGCAGCTACTGAGCTACAGAATACAAACCAACTGAAAACATTAAAGAAAGGCTTCCTGAAACAGGTATGTACAGGTATACTACACAGAAGCAAAAGCTGTATAATCCAATCCCAAAGCCACCCCTGTGGGGAAGGATGACCTTAGCTATGGGCCAAAGGAGTATAGAAGTTATGACATAAGAGTCCCATCCATCCAGGAAAGCAGTGGACAACTACAGCCACATTTGCACCAAAAATTTATCTGAGATTAGTTTTAAAGTTTCCATGAATCAAAGTTTTCAAATGAAAACAGGTACCCCTTTTTTCCTGTAGGCTTTCCAGCTCACTACCCAAAAGACTTGAGTACTTCTATTAAGGCAGCTGGAAGCCCACCCTAGACTTCAATGGCAATTTGTCCTTTCTCTGCCAGTAAGGCAATCCAACACAATATGCTACAGGAAAAACAGAATTTCCATGGTGCTGCCCTCTGGTACAAGGGAAACAGCACTCAGAGCAAAAGGCCACAGAGGACTCCCTGAGAATCCAGTACAACTAAGCGAGGCCTTAAACTGTCGAGACAAACTTTGCAACTGGATCCCGGTGGGACAGTGCCCTGCGGCGAGGAGTAGTGTATATGCCAATGAGAGGGCCCAGCTTCCAGGAACCGTTACAATGGCGTCCTGAGTCATTTTCTCTCTCCCACTTGCATTCGAGTGCGAAAACACACACCGTGGCCTTGATTCTCACTCACCACAATCCCCCTGTACAGAGGGGTTTGTTTCTAAGTCTGGAACCTCAACACGAGGCTGGGATGCTTCACGACGTGCTCTCTCCCACTGTCCAGCCATCTTTGGTGGTCTCCCCATAGTGCTTTCCCATCCTCTTATGCTCCTGTGGAGGGACCATGGGACGGGCCAGGAGGAAACCTGGGATCACTCTGACAGAAAAGGGACAAGCACAGCTGCCAGGAGCCAGTTGCTCCAGCCTCAGTCTCCGGTTGTTAGTCTCAGGATCAACAGAGAACTGGAAAGCAGCAGAATCTGGAGGAGCAGGCAGAGAGCCCAGAGGAGGAGTGTTGTGCTCAGTGACGGTTAACAGATGAAAAGGAATTTCATGGAGATTCTTTGTTACAAGGAGAAATTGCTCAGTCTCAACTCCCAGAATATGAAAGTTGCCTGGTTTAAGAGACCTATATTTTCTTTTTCAGCTCTTCAAACCTCTGGGAAAGATCATCAAAGTCAATGTCTTCAGATGCTGAGGTGCTGGCACCAGCAAATGCAGTTGGTAGTGTGTCTGGCACAGATGGCAACTCTGGTAGGACAAAGTTGTCATAGTTATCCGCAGGTCAGGAAGGAAGCTTTGCAGAGGCTTCTGGCTTGGGTCCAGGACCAACAATCTGTGCAGAAGAGATATTCTTATCAGCATTAATGTCATCTACAGATTCATATGATGGGGGAGTTGCTGGTATCTGAGATGGATAAATATTGGGAAAGGCCTGGTAAGTCCCCATTGGCAGTCCATTGAAATCTGATGGTCCCTTTGGCAGTGGATATGAGAAAGGAGTATTTGCAGATAGCATGGGCATAGGCATGGGCATTGGCACCATTCCATCAGGTCCACCAACTGGTGCTGTGAACCCACCACCCCCTCCTCTTCCAGGGCCTCCTTTCTTCACATCATCTGTGAATCCAACATCAATAAGATCTGTCTCTACCCCAGAAGGAGCTTCTGCCATGACCACAGAGTCAGGTTCATAGGGTACATTGTAATTCTTCGCAATTTCAATCAGGTATCTCTCCACCAGGATTTTGGATGGGGCTTCCACACTCAGATTGTGCATTAGCCTGTCATTCACAGTTCCAATCTGGTTGGTCCTACATAGCTTGCCATATTACTTGCTATACTTGGCACAGAGCTGATCAGCAACTATTTTCAACTCAGCCACTTCTGACTGGAGTCGAGGAGCAGCCCAGATCAATGTAGACACAGATTCAGCCAGACCAGAATCTAGTTCCTTCATAGACTGGATAAGGCCAAACCGAGCCAGCAGCAGATCACAGTACAGCTCCAGGATCTCCATGGCCTCCACGAAGTAGTCTTCCCGGATAATGTGCTCCACACGGATCCGAGCTCGTTCATCTTTCCCAGCAGCCAGATAGTCAGCAATCTCCTTCCTTGCTTTCTGGGCCAGTTCTGTTTTTTTTTTTTTTCCTCCAATAGTTCAAGGCGATTTATGACTAATCTCAAATTCACTCTTAAGTGCTCAGCTTTAAATCCAGAGCCCAGCATGCTGTGCTGTTCCTCCTAACCGAATCCTGCCATGAACACAGCAGACACCGACTTCAGAATCAGGGTTCACCATCCACGTGATTCTTAAACACGTAAATGAAACTCCAAGAACCGGGAGATGGGGGCGGAGTGTACAACCCTTCCAGGAAGGAATCCTACACAAACCCTGCGTGACCAAACTTTACTCAGGCTCTTACACCTTCCCCTGGGCCCATCTGTACACTTCATTATAAAATCCAACAATAACAAAGGCCCCTTTTAAGTCAGTTTAGCAAGAACCCTCTGCCCCCCATCTTCATCCTCCACTATCCCCCAGGCGATGATGTCTTATCATCCAGGTCTCTCTCTTCAGAAAGAATCCCAACAGGTGCGTTTAGCCAGAATCCTACTTATCCCAGACATTTCCTCTTAGTATTTTGTCATCCAGTGATCCCTAACCTGCTCCTTGACTATAAATTCCTACTCGTTCATGCTGAATTTGGAGTTGAACCCAATCTCTTGTACCCATTGCAAAATCTCACTGCTGTGCTTCCAATACCTATCACGATGATCCTGAATAAAGTCTTCCTTTGCATGCTTTAACGAGTGTTAAAGACTGAATATTTTTTCTTTAAAAGAGTCTATCACACCGTCTTAAGGGAATTCCTGCTCTAAGCTTCCCATCCTATCCGTTTCTTCTCACTGGAAAACTTCATCTAAGGCTCAGTATCTGATTTTGCGCTTAGATCATTTCTCTGTGGCAGTCATACGAGGCTGAGAGGAGACAGGGAAACTGAGACCCTGACCCACGGGTCAGTGACACCACAGAGTTATAGCAAAGCACGCTTTCAAAGGACACTCACGCTATGTCCCGGTCACACAACACATTCACGCACCCTTCTCAGTCTCCACGTCACAAAGGAGACGTTCTCCACCTGTCTCCCTAGAGATGAGCCCCTTCCTTCGCAGCTCCAGCACCCCAAGGCCTGAGTAGGTGGGAGACAAGTCCGGCCCGCGCCCGAGGCCTCCGCGCTCTGAGTGCCTCCTGCAGCTCCACTCTCACCGCCACCCAGGGTCCCGCGCGGGCTGCGGGCTGGGGCTGCAGAAGCTCCGGCAGCGACCCGCGCCGCCTTCTTCCTCAGGTGGGACCAGGTCACGGGCAGCGCAGAGGTCCAGGAGACGGAGCCAGAGGTACAAGATTTCTCCGTCGCCCGTGGAATATGTAGTCCAAGACGGAACAGTCAGGACCGCAGGCAACCCTGAGAAGTGGAGTCCAGAGTCCTAAAAACCTACAGGAAATACGGATGTGACCACGAGGACCGCGCGCCCCGCCCACCGCGCGAGCCTGGGACACCTCTGGGAGTGGCCACCTGGCCTAGGAGTACGCAAGCGCAGATCAGACAAATGCTGGGGCCCCCGACCTGAGGCTAAGGGTGGAGTCGCTGCGTTCTCAGCGCCAGTAGGAGGCGAGTCTGGGTGGAACCTGACTCGGGTAAAAGAAAAGGGTTAGGTAAATGGACTCAGGTCCTATAGGAGTGACTTAAGTCCCACCACATTCTTCAATACATTATGTTCTTCACCTTTGGACACGAATACATATGATTAAAAATTTTATTTAAAAACATCCAAAGAAATAAATACTTTCATTATTTTTGTTTTGGAATAGGCTTGTTTGCTTGTTTGTTTGTTTTAGGGACGGAGTCTCACTCTGTTCCACAGGCTGGAGTGCAATGGCGCGATCTCGGCTCACTGCAACCTCTGCCTCCCGAGTTCAAGTGATTCTCGTGCTTCAGCCTTCCAAGTAGCCGGGATTACAGGCATCCGCCACCACACCTGGCTAATTTTTGTATTTTTAGTAGAGATGGGGTTTCACCATGTTGGCCAGGCTGGTCTCGAACTCCTGACCTCAGGTGATCCGCCCACCTCGGCCTCCGAAAGTGCTGGGATTACAGGCGTGAGCCACCGTGCCCGGCTGGCCTGGAATAGGATTTTTTTTTTTTTTATGGAGTCTCGCTTTGTTGCCCAGGCTGGAGTGCAGTGGCGCGATCTCAGCTCACTGCAACCTCTGCCTCCCGGGTTCTGCCTCCCGGGTTCACGCCATTCTTCTGCCTCAGCCTCCCGAGTAGCTGGGATTACAGGCGCCCGCCACCACGCCTGGCTAATTTTTTTTTTTTTTCTGGTATTTTTAGTAGAGACAGGGTTTCATCATGTTAGGCAGGATGGTCTCGATCTCCTGACCTCATGATCCGCCCACCTCGGCCTCCCAAAGTGCTAGGATTACAGGCGTGAGCCACCGCACCCGGCCATCTTCTTCTTCTTCTTCTTCTTTTTTTTTTTTTTTTTTTTTTTTGACACGGAGTCTCCCTCTGTCGCCAGGCTAGGGTGCAGTGGCGTGATCTCGGCTCACTGCAACCTGCGACTCCCTGGTTCAAGCCATTCTCCAGCCTCAGCCTCCCGAGTAGCTGGGACTACAGGCGCGCGCCACCACGCCCAGCTAATTTTTGTATTTTTAGTAGAGACGGGGTTTCACCATGTTGACCACGATAGTCTTGATCTCTTGACCTCATCATCCCCCGGCCTCAGCCTCCCAAAATGCAGGTATTGTAGGCGTGAGCCACAGCCCCCGGCCTGGAATAGGCTTCCTAAACGTAACAAAGGGAAAAAATATTTTTTAAAATTTAGAACCTTGATATGGTAATTATTTATCTTGGTAGATATCTATAAACATTCCATATATCTGAATGGTAAAAAAAAAAAACAGTTTAAACAAAACAAAACGAAAAAAACCTTTTTACTTCCCAGGCTGAAGTGCAGTGGTGCGATCTCAGCTCATGCAACCTCCGCCTCCTGGGCTCAAGGGATTCTCCTGCCTCAGCCTCCCGAGTAGCTGGGACTACAGGCATGCG
The DNA here is from genome assembly GCF_000001405.40 of Homo sapiens. Classification (NCBI taxonomy): domain Eukaryota; kingdom Metazoa; phylum Chordata; class Mammalia; order Primates; family Hominidae; genus Homo; species Homo sapiens. The sequence continues at coordinate 37,788,886 of NC_000019.10, read as the reverse complement.
CCACCGTGCCCGGCTTTTTTTTTTTTTTTTTTTTTTTTGAGACAGAGTTGCGCTCTTGCTTCCCAGGCTGGAGTGCAATGGCGCAATCTCAGTTTACCGCAACCTCTGCCTCCGGGGTTCAAGCTATTCTCCTGCCTCTGCCTCCCAAGTAGCTGGGATTACAGGCATGCGCCACCACGCCTGGATAATTTTTTTTTTTTTTTTTTTTTTTTTTTTGAGACCGAGTCTCGCTCTGTAGCCCAGGCTGGAGTGCAGTGGCGCAATCTCCGCTAACTGCAAGCTCCGCCTCCCAGGTTCAGGCCATTCTCTTGCCTCAGCCTCCCGAGTAGCTGGAACTACAGGCGCCCGCCATCATGCCCAGCTAATTTTTTGTATTTTTAGTAGAGACGGGGTTTCACTGTGTTAACCAGGATGGTCTTGATCTCCTCACCTCGTGATCCGCCCGCCTCGGCCTCCCAAAGTGCTGGGATCACAGGCGTGAGCCACCGCGCCCGGCCAAAAATTTTGTATTTTTAGCAGAGACCAGGTTGCTCCATGTTGGTCAGGCTGGTCTCTAACTCCCGACCTCAGGTGATCTGCCTGCCTCGGCCTCCCAAATTGCTGGGATTACAGGTATGAGCCACTGTGCCTGGCAGCCCGGCTAATTTTTGTATGTTTAGTAGGTACAGAGTTTTTCCATGTTGCCCAGGCTGGTCTTGAACTGCTGACCTCAAGTGATCCTCCTGCCTCAGCCTCCTAAAGTGCTGGGATTACAGGCATGAGCCACTGCGCCAGCTAAAAAACCCGAAAACTTTAGATAAGTGAGTTTGGAAGAAATATTTATAACAGATAAAATGGACAAATAGATAATAATTCTATTTACTGTCTCTCTGGCTTAATAAAATTATTAGTCAATACCCTAAGAAGAAAGAAACAAAATCTAAACTTCGCCATTCACAAATACAAATAGTCAACAAATAAAGTCAAAACCTAAGAACTTGTTGTTGACCACTTATTTCTTCTCTGAAATTGGCTCTTGAATTTGTTGAACATGCATTGACATGGGATTAGGACATTTTAAAAATATTTTTTAAAGTTTTGCTTTTCGGAATTTAAAATTAATCCAAATTATTTAATATTCAACATTTGGAATTTATCAATCAATATTCTATCATTTTATTTTTCACTCTTCAAATAATTCCTTGTTCAAGAGTTTAAAACGTTTTTTAAATTAATAGATTCTGCAGGCTGGGCAACATAGGGAGACCCTGTCTCTACAAAAAATTTAAAACAATTATTTTTAAAATATATAGAAAATATATATTTCTTTATATATTGTTAAGTATATAAAACATATTTTAAATTTTTATTTTTTTTTGCCGGATAGTATGGTAAGCTTATGTTTAGTCTGGCAGGAACTTGCAAAACTGCCTTCCACAGTGGCTGTACCATTTTGCATTCCCAGCAGCAATAGATGAGAATTCCTGTCGCTCCGTATGTTCACCAGCATTTGGTGTTGTTGGTGTTTGGATTCAAGCCAGTCTAATAGATGTGTAATGGTATCTCATCATAAATTTAATTTGAATTCCCTAGTGACATATGGTGTTGAGCATCTTTTCAGATGCCTACGAAATGTGCCGTGCATGGTGGCACACGCTGGTGGTCCCAGCTACTCAGGAGGCTGAGGTGGGGAGGATTGCTTGAGCCCTGGAGGTTGGGGCTGCAGTGAGCCGTGATTGTACCACTGCACTCCAGCCTGAGTGACAGAGCGAGACCTTGTCTGCAAAAGATAGATAAATAATTGACTTAATTTTTAGAACAGTTGTAGGTGTACAGAAAACAGAGCAGAGGGCATATTGAGCTCTAATATCCCCCTCACACCATAGTACACACACTTCCTCTATTATCATCTTGTTAGTATGGTACATTTGTTATCCTTGATGAGCCAATATGGATATTATTAAGTTCACGGCTTATATTAAGATTCACTCTTTGTGTTGTACCATTTATGGGCTTTGACAAATGCATAAGGACATATGTCCACCATCATAGGGTCACACAGAAAAGTTTCAGAACCCTAAAAATCTTCTGTGCTCCACCTATTCATCCTTCCCTCTGCTCAAGCCTCTGGCAACCACTGAACTTTTTATACCATCTGCCTAGTTTTGCCTTTTCTAGTATTCCATATAATTGGAACTCTACACTATGTGGCCCTTTTGCATTGGCTTCATTTAGAAATACGTGTTTAAGATTCCTCCATGTCTTTCCATGCCTTGGTAGTTCATTTTTTTTTATTCCTGAATAATATTCCATTGTATGATTGTTTCAGAGTTAGTTTATGCATTTCCCTATTGTAGGATATCTTGGTTACTTCCAATCTTTGTTGGTTATGTATAAGCTGCTGTAAACATTCATGTGGAGGATTTGAGTAGATATGTTTTCAAGTCATTTGGGCATATACCAAAGAATGCAATTGCCAGATCATATGGTAAGCATATGTTTAGTTTTGCAGGAATTTGCAAAACTGCCTTCCACAGTGGCTGTACCATTTTGCATTCCCAGCAGCAATCAATGAGAGTTCCTGTTGCTCCATATCCTCACCAGCATTTGGTGGTGTTAGCGTTTGGATTTGAGCCAGTCTAATACATGTGTAGTGGTATCTCATCGTTGTTTTAATTTGAATTCCCTAGTGACATATGGTGTTGAGCATCTTTTCAGATGCCTATTTTTGCTACCTATATAGCAAAGGGCAGACACAGATGATGGACTGCAGGAAAAGAGCTTGCTGTGATGATAGGAAGCTGCAGGCAGAGATGATCTTAGGGTTAATTGGGCATCAACTGTGCCTTCTCCTGTCACATAAAATGTGGTCTACCTGAGTTTTGACTGGAAACACAGAATAATACCTGGTTATCCATAAATATTTCTGACTGAGGCTTCAGGTTTATGTATGTTTTAACTGAAAGGTGATATAAACCCAAAATATAAACGGGTTGGGGTACAACAGGCAATGACTGTCAGATATGTTGAGAGTCTACACTGAATCGATGGTATCATTGGCTGCCCATGTCTTTCTCATTATGGACTTTCACTTTTCATTTGCCACATGAAAGACCACTGAGATAGGCTACATCTGATTTTTCTCCTGAGGGTCTCTATTACTGAGAAATTTCTGTATTCTGGGCTACGCTGGGTTCATAATCTGACTATCTATATCATGTGTGTTTGTTCCTTCCCTAAAATGCTCAGTTCAGCTGCAGTTCTAGAGGTAGATACTACTATGTTTGTATTTCAGAGAGTTGAAGATCTGAGGTCTGGAGAGGTTAGTGTGTAGAAAGTTATGTTGAATAAGTGGCAAGGCCATGTGGCCAGGTCAGATAAGCTGCCTTCAGATTTTACTCTTGAACTTCTACTGGATAATGTCTTTTCATTATAGAAAAGAGGAGAGTGAACTTTGGTGTTTTGTTCAAAATCAATGACTGTAGGAGTTCTTTCAAGATATGATGAAAAGCAATAATTGTCTCATTTTACATTACCTATAATTATTGCTCACCAGAAATTGATTATCGATGCAGCAACCTTTTACATTCCTCTCTGCTTTATTATGCATGGCCGGGCTTTACTGTAACTAAGAGGGTCCAAGATTCAGAAATATCTTTAACTTGCAATGCTTGGTCACAGGTATCCAACTGAAAAATATTTTGCTCATTAGCCATAGGGACACATATGGCAAACTACAGCCAGAGACACAAAATATGGAAAGAAGAAAGGGCTATAAGAGTCCTGTGGCTCCTTAAATTTTGTATTTCTATTCATATGCATCTAGAATCATAAGGAAGTTGAGCAAATGGGAAATGCAAAGTCCTAATCAAAGCATACCCACATTTCAGTTATCTGCATTATTGCACATTTAAATTTATAATGCATACATAGGATTCAATTCAATAGGTATAAAAATGTTAAGTAACCTTTTCTCTCATGCACCCCCGTCATTCAGTAGCTCTTTAGAGTCAACATTTTAATTTTGTTGTGCATCTTTTCATAATTTTGTTTTCTTTTTCTTTTTTCTTTTTTCGAGACGGAGTCTTGCCCTGTTGCCCAGGCTGGGGTGCAATGACGCAATCTCGGCTCACTGCAACCACTGCTTCCTGGGTTCAAGCAGTTCTCCTGCCTCAGCCTCCCAAATAGCTGGTATTACAGATGTGCGCCACCATCCCTGGCTAATTTTTTGTATCTTCAGTAAAGATGAGGTTTCACCATGTTGGCCAGGCTGGTCTCGAACACCTGACCTCGTGATCCGCCTGCCTCGGCCTCTTGAAGTGCTGGGATTATAGGCATGAGCCATCACGCCTGGCCTCTTTTTCTTTTTTGATAGCGATGGGGTCTCACTATGTTGCCCAGGCTGTTCCTGAACTCCTGGGCTCAAGCAATCCTCATGCCTCAGCCTCCCAAAGTGCTGGGATTACAGGCATGGGCCACCACACCCAGCCAAAACTTTTTCTTTTTTTAAATGTATTTTATTCTATATATTTAAGGTACACAACATGATGTTATAGGATACATATACATAGTATAAAGGGGTTACTATAGTGAAGCAAATTAACATCTCTATCATCTCACAGATACCCACATTGTTTGCGTGTGGCAAGGGAAGCTAAAATCTACTCATTTAGCATGAATCCCAGCCTTATTATGTATTTTTTATATGCCTAAAGTATAGTCTGATTTTGCCTGGTTTCTCTCTTACATAATTGGAGTAATAGTCTGTATCCTGCTGCATCTGGCTTCTATTACTCAATATTAAGTATTTAATATTCACATTTAGCATCGATTCTGCATTCCATTAAAACAGTACACCAGCTAGGTGTGGTGGCTCATGCCTGTAATCCCAGCACTTTGGGAGGCTGAGGCAGGCGGATCATGAGGTCAGGAGATCAAGACCATCCTGGCTAACACAGTGAAACCCTGTCTCTATTAAAAATACAAAAAATTAGCCAGGTGTGGTGGCACGCACCTATAGTCCCAGGTACTCGGGAGGCTGAGGCAGGAGAATCGCTTGAACCCGGGAGGCAGAGGTTGCAGCGAGCCAAGATCACACCATTGCACTCCAGCCTGGGCGACACAGTGAGACTCCGTCTCAAAGCAAACAAAGAAACAAAAAACCAAAAGTTAGCCGAAAGTAGTGGTGCACACCGGTAATCCCAGCTACTCGGCAGGCTGAGGCAGGAGAATCACTTGAACCTGGGACGTGGAGGTTGCAGTGAGCCCAGATCGTGCCACTGCACTCCAGCCTGGGCAACAGAGTGAGACTGTGTCTCAAAAAACAAACAAACAAACAAAAAACAGTACACCAGTGTGTATCCCTTCATGGTTGGTGGACATGTGGGTTGTGTTCATTTTTTCAGTTACAAATGATGCCGTTGTGAACATTTTTGTATTTCTATTTGGTTACCATTAGTGTGTATTTATGTACAGTATAAAGCAAGAGGTAAAACCATAGGTTACATGGTAAACATATCTTCAGTTTTACTAGGTATTATTGGCTTCATCCCAATGTTAACACACCAACTGACAGTCTTACAATGTCTGATAATTCCCAAATCTTTGCATTCTTGCTGACACTTAATTTTGTCAAAATTTTAATTTGAGTTTTTTGGTGGTTATGTGTCAATGACTGTAGTATTAATTTACTGGACCTTTTCTTCTCTGTAACAGGCCCTGTCAAGATATATGTGTGGTACGGCAGGGGTAGGATGGCAGCGGTAGGAGCCCCTAGAGGTAGAAGGGGCTCTGGAATCCTTCATCGTCCTATGTGAAAAAGTTTGTGGCAGTGATTTTTTTTTTTTTTTTGAGACAGAGTTTCGCTCTTGTTGCCCAGGCTGGAGTGCAATGGCGCCATCTCAGCTCACTGCAACCTCTGCCTCCCAGGTTCAAGCGATTCTCCTGCCTCAGCCTCCCGAGTAGCTGGAGTTACAGGCGTGCGCCAACACACCCGGCTATTTTTTTGTATTTAGTAGAGATGGGGTTTCACCATGTTAGTCAGGCTGGTCTTAAACTCCTGACCTCAGGTGATCCACCTGCCTCAGCCTCCCAAAGTGCTGGGATTACAGGCGTGCGCCACGGTGCCCTGATATTTCCTGTGTACAGTGGTGTAGCCAGGGTGCAAAGCCGCTTCCTAATGATTCTGTGATCTAAATATTATATCTTCTTGCTTCCCTTTAAGATATGTTCATTCCTCCATACAATTAAACAATCTCAATTACTCTTGAGGGAGCATAAAATCCTCATTGTCTAATCATGGGTCCTTCCAAATTATTTGTTGGCTTGTGTTTAAAATATGAAAAAGATAATGTCGATTTTGTTTTATTCTTACTGCTTAACCTGAACAAAATGTCATAGATACCTCCTGGCCTGTTGCTCAGCCAAGGAGAGTCACTTGAATAATGAACAAGACTGGAGGGAAACCACATTGATAATTTATCATTACACCGTCATCACATACATGGAACTCATCAATGATGCTTACAAAAAAATTGGGTCATTTGTGGAAAAGTGTAAAGAGAATATAGGAGATGTCTCAACTGAAGACAAAAAGCTACAGAAAATAATTGCAAAAAAAAAAAAGTGTTAAGATGTGAACACAAATTCAGAGATTCAGAAGCACAAAGTGCTAAGTTAAGGGAAAAAAAGAGTTATCAATACTTTCTTCCTTATGGAGAACAGGATGAATTCTTAAAAGGGCAAGTAATTGTGAGTCTGATATATCTGAAGATAATTAGTATTTCTAATGTTGTAAATGGTTGTGAATTTATAGTCACTATTCCTATTTCCTTTAGACTAGTGACCGTGACTTTGATCAACAGAAACACACCGGGTTAGTACTGTTATCTATGTCTCTCATCATACTATGTGTTAAAATAAGTCGATCAATTTTTGTCTTGTATTTGTTTTCATTTCACTTTATTTTAGTTTCTCTGGAACAGGGTCTCACTCTGTCGCCCAGGCTAGAAGTGCAGTGACACGATCACAGCTCACTGCAGCCTCGACTTCTCCAGGCTCAGGTGATCCTCCTGCCTCAGCCTCCCAAGTAGTGGGGACTACAGGCATGAGCCACCCCGCCTGGCTAATTTTTGTATTTTTTTGTAGAGACAGCGTTTTGATGTGTTGCTCAGGCTGGGCTCAAACTCCTGGACTCAAGCGATCTCTGTCTTGGCCTCACAAAGTACTGGGATGACAGGCATGCACCATGGCCCGAGGTCTGTTTTAATTTTATTAATTGGCTGATTCATTCAGACACATAATTATCAAGTAAAATCTCACTATTTCCTTAGCATTTCCCTTCAATTTAGCTTAGAAAATCTATTCCTAAGTTAATTTTTTAAAACATATACAATTAGCCAGGTGTGGTGGCACATGCCTGTAATCCCAGCTACTTGGGAGGCTGAGGCAGGAGAAGCACTTGAACCCGGGAGGCAGGAGAAGCACTTGAACCCGGGAGACAGAGATTGCAGTGAGCCGAGATCGCGCCACTGCACTCCAGCCTGGGCAACAGAGCGAGACTCCATCTCAAAAAAAAAAAAAAAGGTTTTCTCCAGATCATTTTTACATTTAATTATTCAGTCTGTTTTGACTATACCTTTAAGAATTAAGTAAATATAACTTTACTTCTACACACTATTAGTCAATGTACCTAACACAATTTATTGAATAAACCAGTCCATTCACAACAACATCAAAAGTACGTACATTTCCCAATGTAAATTAATACAGCCATGATGGAAAATAATATGGAGATTCATCAGAAACTAAAAATAGAATTACTATATGTTCCAGCAACCCCACCGGTGGGTGTATAGCTAAAGGAATTGAAATCAGCATGCTGAAGAGATAACTGCACTACCATTCACTGCAGCATTATTCTGCATTGGATACGGAAGCAACCTAGGTGTCCAGCATGTTATAAGTGGATAAAGAAAATGTTACATATTATATATATTATGTATATAACCTTATACACATATATATATGTATATATAAAGGAATACTATTCACTTTTTAAGAAGAGGAAAATCGGCCGGGCACAGTGGCTCGCGCCTGTAAATGCAGCATTTTGTGAGGCCAAGGTGGGTGGATCACCTGAGGTCAGGAGTTCGAGACCAGCCAGATCAACATGGTGAAACCCTGTCACTGCTAAAAATACAAAAATTAGCCGACGTGGTGGCGCATGCCTATAATCCCAGCTACTTGGGAGGCTGAGACACAAGAATCGCTTGAACAGGGGAGGCAGAGGTTGCAGTGAGCTGAGACTGTGCCACTGCACTCCAGCCTGGGTGACAAGAGCGAAACTCCGTTTCAAAAAATAATAATAAGTAAATAGATTTTTAAAAAATAAATAAAAAATAAAAATAAAACAAGGAAAATTCTGTCATCTGTGACAACATGGATAAACCAGGAGGACATTATGCTAAGTGAGAGAAGCCAGTAACAGAAAGATAAATACCAAATACCACATAAGTGGTATTTGTGGAATCTAAAAAAGTCTAACTCTTAAGAGGCAAAGAATGGTGTTTACCAGAGACTGAAAAATGGGGAAAAGGGAGATGTTAATTAAAACAGTACAAAATTTCAGTTAGTCAGGAGAAATAAACTTTGTTAATCGATTGCATAGAATAGCAACTACATAAATAATGTGTTGCATGTTTCAAAATTGCTAAAAGTAGATTTTAAATGTTTTCACCACAAAAAAGTGAGGTGATGGATTTAATTAGCTTGATTTAATCATTTCGCATTGTAAACATAGATCAAAACAGCATATTGTACCCTATCAGTATATAAAACATACAATTATTATTTGTCCATTTTTAAAAAGTTACTTTTCTCATACCTTATAACAAGACTGGACTTCCTCAGGGGACACAGAGCAGAGTCCCCGCCCTCGGGAGCTCATAACCGATCCCCCACGCTCGCCCTCGCGGCCACACTTTGAAAGCCCTCCCCTACCGGCTCTACACTCAAACAGCCCGAGGCTTCGGGCAGCCTCGAGTTCGGATTCCACTTCTCAGCCTTCTGGGGTCACTGAAACCCTCAGAACTCCGAGGACAAGTCGGACACGCCTTCGCCTCAGCCATCTTCGCCAGCGCAATAAGTCTCTGTGTCTTCACACTCCTGGTAGAGGGAAAACTAAAACCTCCGGGAGCCAGCGTCCGGCGGTGCCTGCAATCTAACCGGGATTTGGGGTTCCGAGCCACTTTTCCCACAAGCCACCGCGGTCATGGAGCTTTAGGCTTAAACTACATTTCCCAGAGGGCAACGGGAACACCCAATCTATGGCTTCCCTTCCGTTTTCGCGTGGTTCTTTTGCAAGGTGGGTTGAACTCATTTCAGTATATAACAGGCACAGAGTACTCGCAGGGAGGGCTCTGGGCAATCAAGTTACGTTGGAGCCCAACCTAAACCAGCCGGGGTGGTGGAGGAAGCCCTTTAACCGTGGAAGCCTCTAGTGTGGACGGCCAGTTGTTATCGGAATCTCAGGCCCGTGGGTGCATGAACAGCAGAGGAGGGTATTTGAGTGCGCACGTGAGAGAATGTTGTATATGTCAGATGGGGAATGTTTGAGAGTGTGTGACAGAGAAACTGCGTGTGAGAGGCTGGGATGTGCCTCCTTGACGGTGGGTGCGGTTGTGAGGCTGTGACAGGTGAGTGAGTGGCTGTGCTTGCGTGACGGGGATATGAGGTGCTTGTCCTTTTCATGTACGTTGATTGCGGTGGCACTGCGGTGTCACTTTGAGTCTTGGCTGTAGGTTCCCGGCTGCTGCTTCTCTCCTCCCTCCTCACAGCTGCTTGCGGCTGACACACACAAAAAATGTCTGCAAGAGGGAAGTTGGATACTGAACTCTACATCAAGTTTTCCAGCAAGAAGGCATTGACTTGCTGTGAGATTGGAAACGCCTGGGAGGTTATTTCTTTGTGAGCTCTGAGAGCGAGCTACCTGTCTCAGAACCTCGTCTTTCCCAGAGCTCTGACCCCAGGAACCTGCTGTGAACTCATACCCAGATTCCAGCCTCTCTCCTACCTCCATGTGTTAAAGTGTGTGAACAGGGAAGGCGTGGAGGGTATTGTGTAAGGAGGCATTCCGTGCTTCAAGGAAAGGCCTGATAACTCATGATTTTTTTCTCCCTCCCTGGTCCTGCTATTCCTCAAAAGGACTCTAATGAGGAGGAAAAAAATTCTTTCACATCTAAAACTCAATGTTTAGGCTAGTTGGCTTTTTTCTTTCCTAAGGTTACTGGTTTTAGAGTATGTTTTACTTCATCTGAAATGTGTCTGAATGTCCTAATACCAATCTGCTTTCTTTCCAGTAGATGTTGGGAGCCATTGAGCTGAATCTCATTAACGTTCTCATATTTGGCCGGGTGTGGTGGCTCACGCCTGTAATCGCACCATTTTAGGAGGCCAAGGCGGACGGATCACTTGAGGTCAGGAGTTCGAGACCAGCCTGGCCAACATGACGAAACCCCATCACTACTAAAAATACAAAAATTAGTCTGGCGTGATGGTGCATGCTTGTAATCCCACCATCTTGGCCAGGCTGGTCTCGAACTCCTGACCTCATGATCCACCCGCCTCGGCCTCCCAAAGTGCTGGGATTACAGGCGTGAGCCACCGCACCCAGCCTTATGTGGATTATTTTACTTCATCTTCAGACTATTTTATATGCTAAATGACATTTTCTCCCAATTTACCAATGAGACTTTAAGACACATTTTATTAAGTATCAGAGCTTAAATCTGAAAGTCATATCCTAAAAGACTAACAACAGAATTTGTATTAGTTACTTCAAGAGACCACCTCTTAAATATTACTTTTTTTTTTTTTTTTTTTTTGAGACAGAGTCTCGCTCTGTCGCCCAGGCTGGAGTGCAGTGGTGCGATCTCGGCTCACTTGCAAGCTCTGCCTCCCGGGTTCAGGCCATTCTCCTGCCTCAGCCTCTCCGAGTAGCTGGGACTACAGGCGCCCGCCACCACGCCCGGCTAATTTTTTGTATTTTTATTAGAGACTGGGTTTCACCGTGGTCTCAGTCTCCTGACCTCGTGATCTGCCCGCCTCGGCCTCCCAAAGTGCTGGGATTACAAGCATGAGCCACCACGACCGGCTTTTTTTTTTTTTTTTATGACAAAGGCTTGCTCTATGGCCAGGCTGGAGTGCAGTGGCGCAGTCTCGGTTCACTGCAACCTCTGCCTCCTGAGTTCAAGCAATTCCCCTGCCTCAGCCTCCTGAGATCCATTATATCATTATTATGTCTTTGCATCCTCATAGCTTAGCTTCCACTCATAAATGAGAACATGTAATGTTTGGTTTTCCATTCCTGAGTTACTTCACTTAGAATAATGGTCTCCAACTCCATTCAGGTTGCATCCAATGCTGTTATTTCATTCCTTTTTATGGCTGAGTAGTATTCCATAGTGTATATATATGTGTACGTACACCAAATTTTCTTTATCCACTTGTTGATGGGCATTTAGGCTGTTGCCATATTTTTGCAATTGTGCTGCTATAAACGTGTGTGCAAGTGTCTTTTTCATATAATTACTTCTGTCTGGGTGCAGTGGCTCACACCTGTAATCCCAGCATTTTGGGAGGCTGAGGCCAGCAGATCACTTAAGGCCAGGAGTTCGAGACCAGCCTGGCCAACATGGTGAGACTCCTGTCTCTATCACTGAAAAAAAAATAAAATAATTTTATATAATGACTTCTTTTCCTCTGGGTAGATACCCATTAGTGGGATTGCTGGATCAAATGGTAGTTCTACTTTTAGTTTTTTAAGGAATCTTCATACTGTTTGTCATAGTGGTTGTACTAGTTTTTGTTCCCACCAGTAGTGTAGAAGTGTTCTCTCTTCACCACAACCATGGCAACATCTATTATCTTTTGATTTTTTAAAATTATGGTCATTCTTAGGGAGCAAATTGGTATCACATTGTGATTTTTATTGGCATTTTCCTGATCATTAGTGATGTTGAGCATTTTTTCATATGTTTGTTGACCATTTGTATATCTTCTTTTGAGAATTGTCTATTCATATCCTTAGCCTACTTTTTGATGGGATTATTTGTTTTTTTCTTGCTGATTTGTTTGAGTTCCTTGTAGATTCTGGATGTCAGTCCTCTGTTGGATGTACAGTTTGTGAATACTTTTTCCTATCCTGTGGGTTGTCTGTTTACTCTGCTGATTATTTCTTTTGCTGTGCAGAAGCTTTTTAGTTTAATTAAGTCCCATCTATTTATCTTTACTTGTGTTGCATTTGCTTTTGGGTTCTTGGTCATGAACTCTTTGCCTAAGCCAATGTGTAGAAGAGTTTTTCCAATGTTATCTTCTAGAATTTTTATGGTTTCAGGTCTTAGATTTAAGTCTTTGATCCATCTTGAGTTGATTTTTCTCTAAGGTGAGAGATGAAGCTCCAGTTTCATTCTTCTACACGTGGCTTGCCAATTATCCCAGTACCATTTTTTGAATAGTGTGTCTTTTCCCCACTTTATGTTTTTGTTTACTTTGTCGAAGATCAGTTGGCTGTAAGTATTTGGCTTTATTCTGGGTTCTCTATTCTCTTCCATTGGTCTACATGCCTGTTTTTATACCAGTCCCATGCTGTTTTGGTAACGATTGTCTTGTAGTATAGTTTGAAGTCAGGGAATGTTATGTCTCCAGATTTGTTCTTTTTGCTTAGTCTTGCTTTGACCATGCGGGCTCTTTTTTTGTTCCATATGCATTTTAGGATTGTTTTTTCTAATTCTGTGAAGAATGGTGATGGTATTTTGATGGAAATTGCATTGAATTTATAGATCGCTTTTGGCAGTATGGTCATTTTCGCCATACTGATTCTACCTATCCATGAGCGGGGGATGTGCTTCCATCTGTTTGTGTCATCTATGATTTCCTTCAGCAGTGTTTTGTAGTTTTCCTTGTAGAGATCTTTCACCTCCTTGATTAGGTATATTCCTAAGTTTGTTTGTTTTTGTTTTGTTTTGTTTTGTTTTTGTTTTCTTTTGTGGTTTTTTTTTTTTTTTTGCAGCTGTTGTAAAAGAGGTTGAGTTCTTGATTTGATTCTCAGCTTAGCCGATGTTGGTATATAGCAATGCTACTGATTTGTGTACATTAATTTTGTATCTTGAAACTTTACTGAATTTATTTGTCAGATCTAGGGGCTTTTTGGGTAAGTCTTTAGGGTTTTCTAGGTATATGATTATATCATCGGCGAACAGCAAGTTTGACTTCCTCTTAATCAATTTGGATGCCTTTTTTTCTTTCTCTTGTCTGGTTGCTGTGGCTAGGACTAGTCACTACTTTAAAATGCCAATAATTCAGCAAGGGCCATAAGTTGTAAATAGGAACGGGTAAGTCAGTGTATAGTGAAGACCACTAGAGAGATTCAGGTGATGTGCCTTGGGAATTCATGTGGACGTGGCATTGATTAGATTCTGGTCATCATTGTAACTAAGCTCATGGAATCTATATGGAAGTTAGTGAATATATTCTGTAAGCTTTTACTGTCTAATTTTTTCTTCAAGTGATGTTAGATAAAAAGTGAAACTAGGCCAGGCGTGGTAGCTCATGCCTGTAATCCCAACACTTTGGGAGGCCTAGGAGGGAGGATCTCTTGAGCCCAGGAGTTTGAGACCAGCCTAGGTAACATAGTAAGACCCTGTCTCTAAAAAAATTTTTTTAAATTAGCCAGGCATGGTGGTGCACACCTTTAGTCCCAGCCACTCAGGAGGCTGAGGCAGTAGGATTACTTGAACCCAGAAGCCTGAGTTTGCAGTGAGCTATGATCACACCACTGTACTCCAGCCTGGGTGACAGAGCAAGACCCCCTGCCCCTTAAAAAAAAAAAAAAAAAAGAGAGAGAGTTTAGCAGTAGACTGGATGACACTGTGGCTAAGTGGCAAAATAAACCCACCTTTTAATATACAAATTTGTGTGTGAGTGTATGTGTGTGTGTACACATGTATTTTTTAAGTTAATGTATGAACAGTGTTAAAATGATTATGAAATATATTCAAAAAAGAAAATCAAGATAGCAACTAAAAGAAAAGTAATGGTAACATATGATCATGTTGTAATGTAACAGAATAAATAAACTACCAGACTTTCTCAATGTATTGATGTCCTATAGCCTGTGCCTCAATGCTTGTCTGTCTTTTTAACGATCCAATGATATTGTACATTCTGTTTTCTCATCTTAATTTTCCGTTGACAGTATATCTGAAATTTTTAAATTTTATTAAATACGTTTCCCTACTTAGCATCTGATAGCTTCTTGGTATTCTATTACATGTATATTTTGTATTTAGCAAGGCAGTTTGTGCTCAACACAGAACCAGGCCTAAACATTTCCTCCTGTGATGTGTTCTCTCTCATGTTTTGACCAATTTCAACTGATTCTGATGCCATAGAAGAGGTTCTAGTTTGAGGCCAGGCGCGGTAGCACATGCCTGTAATCTGACTAGTTTGGGAGGCCAAGGCGGGTGAATCACCTGAGGCCAGGAGTTCAAGACCAGCCCCGCCAACATAGTGAAACCCCGTCTCTACTAAAAATACAAAAAAAATTAGCTAGGTGTGGTGGTACGCACCTGTAGTCCCAGCTACTTGGGTGGCTGAGACAGGAGAATCGCTTGAACCTGGGTGGCAGAGGTTGCAGCGAGCCAAGATCTCACCACTGCACTCCAGCCTGGGCAACAGAGCGAGTCTCCATCTCAGAAAAAAAAAAAAAAAAAAAAAAAAAAAGAAGCTTCTAGTTTGAACGATAAGTCCTCTCTCAGCCTTGGAAGGTGGGAATGAAGGCAAGTGAATCTTCTCATGGAGAAACTGAGCAGCCTAATCTCAAGTCTAGATCAGCCTTCCCAAATTGGAGCCTTGTCCAGAAAACCTCTTGCTATCTTGTCTGGATCTGGCTTTAGTGAGCCATTGACTTACTCTAAAACTACCTTTGTATAGCTGGGTTTCCTGGGGTGTGAGGGAGTGCTTAGATTCATTGTCTGTTTTTCCCTAAGTTATATGTTCAGTTGTGAGGGATTAATTTGGAAGGAGAAATAGAGGAGCAGAAAGATTTTATTAAATTAAGTCATATTGGGAACACTAACATCTCTTTTCTTCTCTCAGCTCTGGATTCTCTGGAGTTTGAATGTTTCCAGTATTGGAACCCCACCAAGTAGGACTGATCAGGTCTTACAATTCTAAAACCATGACCTGTGTAAGTTGATTAATTCTGTTTCCTTGCAATATCATGATCATAGGTTATGTGGATGTTTTCATTAACCTAAGGCTTCCTATTTAAGAAGGCCTCCTTCAGTTATCTGTCCCCACTTTCTTCTAATATTGTGAATAGTGATAGCAAATAACTCAGTTTTCTCCCTATGAGTATTTTCTGTCCACTTTTATATTTATTGTCAAATGTATTTAGTACTCATGTGCTTATTGTTCAACCAAAGTCTATGATAGAGCAGTAAAGGAGTGAAGTCTCAACAGGGAACTATTTGAGCTTCCTTTATAGGTCCTTAGTTTGGTGAATTAGAGATGTTGGTCCTATTTGGATACCATAGGTAGGCTCTGACATTCTCCGCAGACCTGAGTTTTCTAGGCAAATAAGATGGGATTTGGTTATCAATTGGTCTGTCTTAGTATGTGATGAGATCTCATATTCTTTGAGAATTTTAGAATTGTTGGAGATATACCATGGATCTTGTCAAAGAATTACTGAGAGACAAGTTTTTATTTTGTGGTTGAATGTGTTCTGCTGAACTTGGGTGACATTTTTTTATTATGAGTCATCCTATATCAGTATCCATTCTGGAACAAGAAAAGTATTAAGTGATGGAAAATGGCGATGAATGAGAATATTATCCTAAGGAGTAAATATGTTGATTTCCAGAACTGGGGAAGACCTTTGAAGTTCTGTCCAACAAAGTATATGAAGGTAGGCTAGCTACGGTGGCTCATACCTGTAATCCCAGCACTGTGGGAGGCCAAGGCGGGAGGATCACTTGAGGCCAGGAGTTTGAGACCCCTTGCAAAAAAAGTGAGACACCCATCTCTACAAAAAAAGTACAAAAATCATCTGGGCATGGTGACTTGCCCCTGTAGTCCCAGTTACTCGGGAGGCTATGGCAGGAGGATTGCTTGAGCGTGGGAGGTCAAGGCTGCAGTGAGCAGTGATTGTGTCACTGCACTCCAGCCTGGGCAACAGAGTGAGCCTGTCTCAAAAAAAAAAAAAAGATTTAAAAAATGTACACGAGGTAAAAGATGGATTAACGACGGAGTAAGTCTGAAATATTCATTATAAAATTGTTGCACAGTCAATAAAAAATATATTTGTCAAAATTAAGAAAAATGCTTATGTGCTCTGACATAATGATGTAACTTGAGACTTGTGGAAATGTCTAAATGTTCTGCAAAAGCTTTTTTTTTTAAATATGGAGATTGGCCAGGTGCAGTGGCTCACGCCTGTAATCCCAGCACTTTGGGAGGCTGAGGCAGGCGGATTGCTTGAGCCCAGGAGTTTGAAACCAGCCTGGGCAACATGGTGAAACCCTGTCTCTACAAAAAATACAAAAATTAGCTGGGCAGGTCCTGCACACCTGTAGTACCAACTACTTGAAAGGCTGAGATGGGAAAATCACCTGGGCCTGGGAGGTCAAGGATACAATGAGCCATGTTTGAGTCACTGCACTCCAGCCTGGGCAGGAGTGAGACCCCGTCCCCAAAAAAATAAATAAATAGCACAAAACAATTAAATATTGGAGATTATTAAATTTGGCAAGGACATCTCATTTTTCTAACTTACAGGAAAAATAGTTTAGAAACTCATGTTTATTGGGAATTTATGCATCACATGACTAGCAGACTATGTAGTTGTGTCTTTAATACTTTATTGAATTTTATTTTATCCATTCCTCAGCAGGTCTGAATTATTGTGGTAACCTTCAACATGCAGAAACATTTGTCTGTGGCAATAGGATCCTTTAGGAATAGGATCCTTTAGGAATAGGATCCTGTGGCAATAGGATCCTTTAGGAATATGTAGACACGTTGCTTTAGTCTGCTACCAGTCATTAGCCACATATACTATATCACTCCTTTTCTCTAATGTGCTCTTGTAATCTCCTATCTTTCCTTCTTTAAAATGTTTTTAAAATTTTGTAATGCATGGGTTTGCAGTTTCAGGAATTAGTGACATTCAGGGATGTGGCCATAGACTTCTCTCGGCAGGAGTGGGAATACCTGGACCCTAATCAGAGGGACTTATACAGGGATGTGATGTTGGAGAACTATAGAAACCTGGTATCACTGGGTAAGTTTATTTGCCTCAAGTAATTTAAAATGTGATCTGTGATATGTTACCTTTCAACACAATGAATTTCAAGGCCATATTTCAAGACATAGTTGAATTTCTCCTTCCTGTTCTTAGAGGAATATTTCAGCTCTGCCTGTTTGACAATGGCTGTGCCACTAAGCACCATCATTTTCTTCATCCTTTAGAGATAGTCACATATTCTCCTGCCCCTTATGATTGCCTCCTTTCCTTAATATCCAAGGGGCTGGGTTAAAATTATATATTATTATTATTAAATTATATATTATTAGTCCATGAATAACCATTGCCCAGGAATCCTGGTTTCCCATTGTGCATATTTCCAGAATTCCTATAGATATGCTGTGTCATCATCTGATCCACCTGCAGGGACAAAAGACGCAGATTCATGATTTACTCTGAGTATAAGAAGAACCCCTGTGACATATAGTGCTGGATTAGATGAACAATATTTATTGGAAACTGAAGAGTCCACATTTCATTTCCTGTAGCCAATTTGTATGATTTATTGTTGAAAGTTATAATTCATGAGCTTTGCATTGAGTTTGAATGAAGATTTTATATATCAGTCGGGATGCTTTTTTTCTCTCATACAGAAATAATAAAATAATTATAATTGGTACAGTTGTGCTCATTATGTCCCCAGCCACTCTTTGGAAGGGAGGGGGAATATATATATATATATATATATATATATATATATATATATAAAATAACTTAATCCTGAAAGAACTGTGTGATAGTGTTATTGTTATTATCTTATTTATTTATTTATTTTTTTCGAGACTGGATCTTGCTCTGTTGCTTAGGCTGGAGTGCAATCATAGCTCACTGTAGCCTCAACCTCCTGGGCTCAAGTGATCCTCCTGCCTCAGCCTCCTTAGTAGTTGGGACTGTAGATGCACCACCATGCCTAATTTTTTTTTTTTTTTTTTTTTTTTGTAGAGATGAGGTCTCGCTCTGTTGCCCGGGTTGGTCTCAAACTCCTGGTCTCAAGTGATCCTCCCACCTCGGCCTTCCAAAATGCTGGGATTATAGGCGTGAGCCACCATGCCTAGCCAATAGTAGTATTATTATGTCCAGTTTATTTGCCAAATTGGAATAATGAGTTGAAGTCACATGGCCAAAGTCACAAGGTTGGTAGATTTAAGAGGAATAATTTGTGCCCCAGCCTTCTGGCTCCAGAGAACTTCACAGCTACTTTGGGGTGGTAATATTTGGAAAGAGACATTTTATAAGGTCACAGGTTAAACTTTCTCCTAAGAGACCACGCGTGTATGAGTTTACATTAAAATAAGGTTTTACTGTGCCTGTTTCATTTCTTCAATCATCTCACCCCTCTTTTATTTGAAGTCCTTAGTTCATTGTAAATTTAATCAAAGCTCAAAGGTTTCTGTTACTTTTGTTTTTATTTTTATACCATGTGGCATTTCTTTTCTTATAAGGAGGACATTCCATTTCTAAACCAGTTGTGGTTGATTTACTGGAGCGAGGAAAAGAGCCCTGGATGATTTTGAGGGAAGAAACACAGTTCACAGGTAAGGAAGGCAGGGGACACCATCAGGGCCGGCCACAGCCCATGTGGTAAGAGAAAGGAGACATTTTTGTGTTGTTTGTGAAACCTTCCTCCAAGGCACCCAGACTTGTGGAGCAAAGGCCTACAACCTGGTTGGGAATAAAGATCGTAGCATAAGCTATGGAAGAAGCTTCAACTTTACCCCATTTACCAATCACCTTATTTCTTTTATATTTCAAACCTGTTTTCAGTGATGGGGCTTTCTTTTTTCTTTTCTTTTTTTTTTTTTTTTTTTTTTTCCGAGACAGAGTCTTGCTCTGTCGCCCGGGCCAGAGTGCAGTGGCTTGATCTCCGCTTATTGCAACCTCCACCTCCTGGGTTCAGGTGATTCTCCTGCCTCAGCCTCCCGAGTAGCTGGAATTACAGGCGTGTGCCACCGTGCCCAGCTAATTTTTGTATTTTTAGTAGAGACACGGTTTCACCATGTTGGCCAGGCTGGTCTTGAACTCCTGACCTCGTGATCTGCCTGCCTCAGCCTCCCAAAATGCTGGGATTACAGTTGTGAGCCACTACACCCAGCCTCGTTTTTCTTTAGTGCAATATTTTACCTGTATTTTGGACTCAACTGTTTTTCCAGCTCCCCTTTTGCACACACACACAACACACATATCAATGTAGTGATCATGAGGAAGACATGTAAGGTCCTTATCCTCATGGAAATTTACATTGTACTAAAGAACACATAAAAATAAACAGGTAGGCTGGGCGCAGTGGCTCATGCCTGTAATCCCAACACTTTGAGAGGCCAAGGTGGGTGGCTCAGGAGGTCAGGAGTTCAAGACCAGCCTGGCCGGTCTTGAATGGTGAAACCCCGTCTCTACTTAAAATACAAAAATTAGCCAGGCATGGTGGCAGGTGCCTGTAATCCCAGCTATTTGGGAGGCTGAGGCAGGAGAATCGCTTGAACCCAGGTGGCAGAGGTTGCAGTGAGCCGAGATCACGCCATTGCACTCCAGCCTGAGCGACAGAGTAAGACTCTGTCTCAAAAATAAAATAAAATAGGCCGGGCGCAGCGGCTCACGCCTGTAATCCCAGCACTTTGGGAGGCCGAGATGGGTGGATCACGAGGTCAGGAGATCGAGACCATCCTGGCTAACACGGTGAAACCCCGTCTCTACTAAAAATACAAAAAAATTAACAGGGCATAGTGGCGGGCGCCTGTAGTCCCAGCTACTCAGGAGGCTGAGGCAGGAGAATGGCATGAACCCGGGAGGCGGAGCTTGCCGTGAGCTGAGATTGCGCCACTGCACTCCAGCCTGGGCGACTGAGAGAGACTCCATCTCAAAAAATAAATAAATAAATAAAATAAAATAAGCAGGCAAACAACTACTATTAGGCAGTGGAATAAGCAATGGTAGAAAGTAAGCAGAGGTTAGGCCATTTTGGATGAGATGGCTGGGGACAGCTTCTTTGGGGCAGTAGTATTTGGAAAGAGACATGGTATAAGGTCACAAGCCATGTGTTTATCTGGGGAAGAATATTCCAAGCTGAATAAAGAGCTTAGAAGGCTAAGGAGATGGCTGAAGCATTGGAGGGAAGGAGTATGGATAGTCAAGGGAGGGTAATAGAGAGAGCTATGTGAGTTTGAGGAGCACCAAAGTAGACCAGAATAGAGATCCTAAGAGGAGAGTGACGAGAAATGAGGTCACATTGTTAGGCGTAGTCAGATCACATGAGGTATTGTTGAATTTGAATTTTTGGGAATAAGAAGGATTAGAACCAATGATGTAATTGTTTTCAAGGCATTTTTAAAAACATTAGACAGATTCAGAGAACAACATATAACACATGAGTAGCTTACTGAGTCTTACAAGTTAAACAATCATGTCACCACAGCCGTGTCAGGAGTTAAAACTTAAAAATTTTTTTTTATTTTAATATAATTTTAGAGTTACAGAAAGGTTATAATAATGACATACAAGATTATTTTATACCCTCCAAGCAGTATTTCTAAACAAGGAGAGAGTTTCTAGTTGATTCTGAAGTCCTCCACATGTCTGCAACCAGTCACAATCTCCTTCCTCCTGCTAAGTGTAACCACTATTCTGATTTTAATGGTAATAAGTTCCTTCCTTTTATTTTTTCTCCAATTTCAAGTCTTTTTAAGTTTTCGCAAGTCTCTAAGTTTTGTCTTCATCTTTCTTTGTGTTCTTAACCCCTTATTTGCTGAAGAAACATCTTCCATTCTATTTTTTGCTGATGCCATCCCTGAGATTTGCTTAAATATGTTCTCTGACCCCTCTATATCCTCTAAATAAGTAGAGGGGTCAAGAGGCTTATGTATCTGAGTCCAGAGCTTATACTGCTCACTGCACAACAGCCAGTAAGTCAAGAGGTAAGGTGTTAGGGCAAGGAACTTTATTTCAGAGAGCCAGCAAAGCGAGAAGATGGCAGGCTAATGTCCTAAAGAACCATCTTAAAAGGCATGAATCTCTGCCGGGCATGGTGGCTCACGCCTGTAATCCCAGCACTTTGGGAGGCCGAGGCGGGCAGATCACAAAGTCAGCAGATCGAGACCATCCTGGCTAAAACGGCGAAACCCCGTCTCTACTAAAAAAAAAATACAAAAAATTAGGTGGGCGTGGTGGCGGGCGCCTGTAGTCCCAGCTACTCAGGAGGCTGAGGCAGGAGAAGAGCGTGAACCCGAGAGGCGGAGCTTGCAGTTTGCCGAGATCGCGCCACTGCACTCCAGCCTGGGTGACAGAGCGAGACTCCGTCTCAAAAAAAAAAAAAGGAATGAATCTCATGCCGTTTTTTATGTTGGCGAAGGGGGAACTAGGAGGAGGTTGAGGTCAGGAGGTGACTGGCGACTACAGATATCTGGGTGTCAGCAGGGGTCCGAGAAGGTTGCACAACGTTGTCCTCGGTCAGGTCACAATGCTCCTATAAATCTTTAACATAACGTTGTTACTTGTATGTACACCCTCCCTATCTCCTTGAGAATTATTAATAGTTTTGGAAAGGGATTATTATCCTTGCTTTAAAGTTATAGTATAAATTAAATACTCCCATAGTTAACTTGGCCAGCGTGCAGTTATGAGCAAACGCCATTAGCTTGTGAGGTTAGAAGTAAGATGGAGTCAGCTATGCTAGATTTATTTCACTGTTACACTTAATCGATTTTGATTCAGTTTATTTTATTTATTTTATTGCAAGACAACTTCCTGGGCAGTATTGTATGCATCATATGTTGGCACTTTTCCTGCTCCCCTCATACCAGACAGAGCTGGGCTTATGGTTTACTGTGTTAAAGGAAAACACCACCTCTGAAGAGCTTTATATAGTATCTCAGAGGCAGAAGGGCAAGGATGGCTTTTACTGAGAATTAAAAGTTTGGTTTAAGGCTGGTCTTCATGCGGGGACTTGATTAGGATTAGGTAAAGATGAAGACACCACAGTGGAGAATTAGTGGAAACAGCTAGGTTAGAATTTTGAGGTTAGGAATTGAAAATTTTCTAGAGTACAAACTGTTGATGTTTGCCATTTAAGAGTTGATGGATCTTTCAGGAACTTCCAGTAATGAACAATGAAGCCATTTGCCTTTGCAAGAAACTTCCAGAACAGTAAAATTGTGCTGAGGAAAACAGTGGGATGTGTTTATGGAGAGAGTAAGCTACCTGTAGGGGGATTGGTAGGTCCACTTCTCTGTTTCAAGGCTGAGTGTGGGAGTGAATGGTTTAGGTTCTCAGCATAAACCTTCTGGTTGTCTCTCTGTGATTTTTAGCAGTCATTTATGCTCAATGCCTGGATGTATTAATTCATCAGACATTCCAAAATGGTCATATTCTAATTCTAACATTTATTTTTCATTTATTATGTACAAATATAAACAATTTTTTACATCACCTACTATTTGGTAACTACTGATACCATTTGGAAAATAAAGGCTGATCAATATTTGGTCTTTTCTCTTTTCTTTTTTTTTTGAGATGGAGTTTTGCTCTTGTCGCCCAGGCTGAAATGCAATGGTGTGATCTTGGCTCATTGCAACCTCCACCTCCCAGGTTCAAGCCATTCTCCTGCCTCAGCCTCCCAAGTAGCTGGGATTACAGGCATGCACCACCATGCTCGGCTAATTTTTATATTTTTAGTAGAGAGGAGGGTTTTGCCATGTCGGCCAGGCTGGTCTCAAACTCCTGACCTCAGATGATCTACCGGACTCGGCTTCCCAAAATGTTAGGATTACAGACATGAGCCACCGTGCCTGGCCCCTAGGATCCTTCATAGGTAACTAGACAGTTTTTGTTTTTGTTTTTGAGACGGAGTTTTGCTCTTGTTGCCCAGGCTGGAGTGCAATGGCACAATCTCAGCTCACTGCAACCTCCGTCTCCCAGGTTCAAGCGATTCTCCTGCTTCAGCCTCCCGAGTAGCTGGGATTACAGGCACGTGCCACCACACCCAGCTAATTTTGTGCTTTTAGTAGAGATGGGGTTTCTCCATGTTGGTCAGGCTGGTCTCGAACTCCCGACCTCCCGTGATCCGCCTGCCTCGGCCTCCCAAAGTGCTGGGATTACAGTCATGAGCCACCACTCCCAGATTTAGACGGTTATTTTATTGCCAGCCTTCTCCCATCTGATATGACAAAGTGTTGCAGGCTTATCTTGTACGTTTCCTGTACCAAGCCTTTAGTCAGCCATAAGTTTGTGAACTATTGGGTTCTTTTAGTGGGAAATGGTATTTTAAGGCCACAGTCTAGCCTCTAGAAGTGCCCATTTTTCTTGGTTGAAGATTGTTATAGGCTTTTTACCAGTTAAAGATAGAAAAATCTGTAAGTGACTGGGTGTGGTGGCTCACGCCTGTAATCCCAGCACTTTGGGAGGCCAGCCTGAGGTCAGGAGTTCAAGACCAGCCTGGCCAACATGGTGAAACGCCATCTCTACTAAAAATACAAAAATTAGCCAGGCATTGTGGCGGCTACCTGTAATTCCAGCTACTGGGGAGGCTGATGCAGGAGAATCACTTGAATCCAGGAGGCAGAGGTTGCAGTGAACAGAGATCATGCCACTGCACTCCAGCCTAGGCGACAAGAGTGAAACTCCGTCTCAAAAAAAAAAAAAAAAAAAAGGCCGGGCACAGTGGCTCATGCCTGTAATCTGAGCACTTTCGGAGGCCAAGGCAGACGGATCACGAGGTCAGGAGATCGAGACCATCCTGGCTAACACAGTGAAACCCCGTCTCTACAAAAAATACAAAAAGTTTGTCGGGCGTGGTGGCGGGCACCTGTAGTCCCAGCTACTCGGGAGGCTGAGGCAGGAGAATGGTGTGAACCCGGGAGGTGGAGCTTGCAGTGAGCCAAGATAGCACCACTGCAGTCCAGCCTGGGTGAAAGAGCGAGACACCGTCTCAAAAAAAAAAAAAAGTGACTCATGCCTGTAATGCCAGCACTTTGGGAGGCCAAGGCGGGCAGATCACGAGGTCAAGAGATCGAGACCATTCTGGCCAACATGGTGAAACCCCGTCTCTATTAAAAGTACAAAAATTAGCTGGGCGTGGTGGCACTGGTCTGTAGTCCCAGCTACTAGGGAGGCTGAGACAGGAGAATTGCTTGAATCCGGGAGATGGAGGTTGCAGTGAGCCGAGATCGGGCCACTGCACTCCAGCCTGGTGACAGAGCGACACTCCGTCTTAAGAAAAAAAAACAACAAAAAAAAAAAACAAAAAAAAACTCTAAGTATACATATATGTATGTGTTTACATATTTACATAAAAATAAATTACCTAATGAGTTTATATGGCAACTTCCTGGCCAAACTTAGAACTAAATGGTGTTTAATTGAAATTTTCTGTCTTTGATCTGTATCTCTTATTCCTTAGTACCAATTCTCCAATACTCCAGTGATGATAAAATTAAAATACCATGCAAGTATTCATTTCCTTTATTCTATTTTTTTTTTTTTTTTTTTGAGGCAGAGTTTCGCTCTTGTCGCCCTGGCTGGAGTGAAAAGGTGCGATCTTGGCTCATCGCAACCTCTGCCTCCTGGGTTCAAGCGAGTCTCCTGCCTCAGCCTCCAGAGTATCTGAGATTACAGGCATGCGGTACCATGCCCGGCTAATTTTGTATTTTTAGTAGAGATGGGGTTTCTCCATGTTGGTCAGGCTTGTCTTGAACTCCCAAACTCAGGTGACCTGCCCACCTTGGCCTCCCAAAGTGTTGGGATTACAGGCATGAGCCACCATGCCCAGTCATTTCCTTTATTCTTTATGACACATAAAACATTCTTAGAACATTAGTAACAGCTTTACTACCTAAATGATTACTGAAAACAGTTTTTTAGTATGCCCAGTCTCCTCCCAATTTTTAGTTTCACTGTAATCATATTATGAAATATATAGTCATTGCATCATATGCTTTCTCCCTTATGACTGATATTTACTCTGTTTTTTTTGTTTTGTTTTGTTTTTTTTGAGACAGTCTCACTCTGTCGCCCAGGCTGGAGTACAGTGATGGATCTTGGCTCACTGCAACCTCTGCCTTCTGGTTTCAAGCGATCTTCCTGCCTCAGCCTCCCAAGTAGCTGGGATTACAAGTGTGTGCCACCATGCCTGGCTAATTTTTGTATTTTTACAAAATACAAAGGGTGGTCTCGAACTCCTGACCTCAAGTGATCTGCCCACCACGGCCTCCCAAAGTGCTGGGATTACACTCTTGAGCCCCGGTAACTGGCCCTGATATTTACTCTTAACCTAAGTATATATTTATAATATATATATATATAACTATAGTTGTTCTTGGGTATTTGGTGCTCAGCACCCTGTGGCATGGCTGCAGTGATTCATGCATATGAGACAGCCTTCCAGGAGCTCTCTTTTCCACAGGTGCTAGAGCTCAAGTGCTAGGAAATGAGATCCACACGGCAGGAGTGTGGGCCTCCCCTGACTTAAGAAGACTGGTTTGGCTGGGCGCGGTGGCTCATGCCTGTAATCCCAGCACTTTGGGAGGCCAAGGCAGGTGGATCGCTTGAGGTCAGGAGTTCGAGACCAGCCTGTTCAACATGGTGAAACCCTGTCTCTACCAAAAACATAAAAAATTAGCCGGGTGTGGTGGTGCATGCCTGTAATCCCAGCTACTCAGGAGGCTGAGGCAGGAGAATCACTTGAACCAGGGAGTCGGAGGTTGCAGTGAGCCGAGATCGCACCACTGCACTCCAGCCTTGGTGACAGAATGAGACTCCTTCTCAAAAAAAAAAAAAAAGACTGGCTCCAAAGGTTGGTACAATATCTGGTGTGAGGATTCTTTAGTCATCGTTTCCAGGGTCTTTCAAGGATATGCTCTTTTAAAAAGAAATGTAGTCAAAGAAACCCTAAATATGGTGTTCTCTTCATCTAGCCCCTAGTCCACAGTCCGAGGTGCAACTTGCCAATCAGGGTCATTGTTACCATAAATAATGAAACTTATTAACATAGTTGACACATTCTGTTTTTAGGGAAGCAGCATTGGAGAGTTAGCCTAAGAGTACATCCTCATGCAGAATGGGATTCCCATTCTGTTTAATGTTTAATTACAGAACATTAGAAAATGTTTTGTTAACCCTTTGCCCACATTACCCAAGTGATTTCACAATTCTCTAAGAATATTATCAAATATACAGTCCACATCCAAATTTCTCCCAATTATCCCAGTAATGTCCTTTTATAAATTTTAAAATCTAGGATCAACTGAAGGAACATCTGTCATACTTACTCACCAAATCTATTTAATATCCTTTAATTCAGAGCATCTTCCTTCAT
Organism: Homo sapiens; assembly: GCF_000001405.40. Classification (NCBI taxonomy): domain Eukaryota; kingdom Metazoa; phylum Chordata; class Mammalia; order Primates; family Hominidae; genus Homo; species Homo sapiens. Next base: position 37,762,238 of record NC_000019.10, on the reverse strand, counting down.
GAAATTGACATCTTTGCAAAGTCCAGTCCACTTGATTTCTTTTTAGAATGTCTACAATCTGCAATGTATTATCACTTCCTTATGATTAAATTCAAGCCCAACATATTTTGAAAAATTGCCCCCAGGTGATGTTCTATTCTTCCCATTGTATCACATGAGGAGACAATAATAGTTTGTTCCACTGGCAATGCTAATATTATAATTTGGTGAAATAAGAATTTGTGCCTTAGGCAATGCTAATATGATATAACTTGTTTGAGATGCTTTTCATAATTGTATCTGTCCGGGCCAAGGAAAAACTTCTTTTTCACCCTCTGAAGTTTCACTGAAAATCACTGACAAAAGGCAGATTGAGAAGAAAAGGCATACAAATTGATCTAATCATACTTTTTCATGACACAGGAGCCTTTAGAAAGAAGATCCAAAGGTACAGGGGAAATTACCTATTTTTATGCTTAGGTTTAACAAAGTATGGACAGCTATGTAGAAACAGGATTGGGCAAAAAGGGTGTGATCTAATGCTAATAGCCTGAGTAGGGAAACCCAGCAAGGCCTGTCTGTCTAGGTTCTTCTTGGCCTCTCAGAACACGTATTCCTTCCTTCCGGAATGGGGGACACTCTCTGGAATGGGGGTCTTATGACCAACAGTCAAACAAAGTAGGCCAGGGAATTTTTTATGGCCAGTTTTTACCCAAAAAGGCAGGGGAAAGTTAGAGTAATATTTTTAGGTTTTATGAGTAGCTCTGGGGACAAGGGGTTCTGGTTTCCATGACTTGCCTTGGGGAAGAGGGCTTCTAGTCTTTATGGTTAGCCTAGGGGGAGAATGGGACTGAGAGACAGGAGGGCAAGAGAAGGTCCGAGAAAAAACTTTTGCTTCTGAGGATGCTTTGCGGACTTCATTTTGTGGTATTATTTTGTGAGTCCCAGGAAAACAATACAGATATCCTATTTCTCCTCCAACTTTTACACCCCCTGATCCCCACCACAGATTTTAGCTTCCAACAGTAGATTTTGCTTATACCAGTTCTTTTTTTTTCCTTTTTGAGACAGAGCCTCACTTTGTCACCCAGGCTAGAGTGCAGGTGCAGTGGTGCTGTCTTGGCTCACTGCCACCTCCGCCTCCCAGGCTCAGGCTGGGATTACAGGCGCTGTAGCTGGGATTACAGGCTTGTGCCACCACCCCCAGCTAATTTTTGTAGTTTTTGTAGAGATGGGTTTTCACCATGTTGACCAGGCTGGTCTTGAGCCCCTGACCTCAGGTCATCTACCTGCCTCAGCCTCCCAAAGTGCTGGGATTACAGGCGTGAGCCACTGCGCCCGGCCTGCTTGTACACATCTTTAATGCAACATTTGCCTACTGATGATTTTGCATTAACCTCCTACATTTATTAGCTGGAAACATTTTTTTTTTTTTCTTCAGACAGACTCTTACTCTGTTGCCCAGGCTGGAGTGCAATGGCGCGATCTCAGCTCACTACAACCTCCGCCTCCCAGGTTCAAGTGATTCTTCTGCCTCAGCCTCCTGAGTAGCTGGAATTATAGGCATGCACCACCATGCCTGGCTAATTTTTGTATTTTTAGTAGAGACGGGGTTTCACCATGTTGGTCAGGCTGGTCTCGAACTCCTGACCTTGTGATCTGCCCGCCGCGGCCTCCCAAAGTGCTGGGATTACAGGCTTGAGCCACCGCACCTGGCCCATTAGCTGGAATTCTTCTGTAAGAAGGAATACTCCCTTTTTCCTCTATTTATTCAATTATTTATATCAATATGGACTCATAGATGTTTATTTTATTCCATGAGTTATAATCCTATACTATCCTTAGTTATTTGTCTTCTGCTTTGGCCATTGGGAACTCTTTCAAGTTGGCATCTGTGCCTTTTCAACCTGCTCACCTTTGGTGAGCATTTCTTATTTTCTGGTACTACAAGTTGTTAATCTAGGATTATCTTATATTTTCTTTGCCATAGCCCTGGAATCAGCCACTTCTGTAAGGAGCACCAGTTCCTTTTATTGGGAACGCCATTTAGAAATCCAGATCTAGGCTTAGGTATGGTAATTGCTCGTGGACCCTCTTCGTGCTAGGCCCTCTTAACTCATTGAACTGGCAGCTATGTACGTATGTGTGGCAATGTGGCCAATCACTCTGGAGTATTTTCCTGTTCTTTTGAAGCTGCAACACCAGAACATGCTTTATACAAATCTTAAAACTCCAAATCATGTATGTGAACAATGTCAGTCTTTATCGTTTGCATTTCTTATTGCTGAAGCTGAGAAAAATAATCTTCTCCATTTCATCTTGTCCAAATTTTACATATACTAAAGGAATTGCCACACTGGCAGTAATATCTAATCATTTATCCAGTTGCAGTGAAAATGAACAAAGACGAGTGAAGGTTGATACGCCATTATTAAATTAGGGTAAAGAAACCAACAACGTAAGTTCTACACTCTAACTTAAACTATAATTTTTATTTTCATTTTTATTTATTTATTTATTTATTTATTTTTTGAGACAGAGTCTCGCTGTGTTGCCCAGGCTGGAGTGCAGTGGCGCGATCTTGGCTCACTGCAAGCTCCGCCTCCCGGGTTCACGCCATTTTCCTGCCTCAGCCTCCCGAGTAGCTGGGACTACAGGTGCCCACCATCACGCCTGGCTAATTTTTTTGTATTTTTAGTAGAAACAGGGTTTCACTGTATTAGCTAGGATGGTCTCAATCTCCTGACCTCGTGATCCACCTGCCTCGGCCTCCCAAAGTTCTGGGATTACAGGCGTGAGCCACCGCGCCTGGTCTAAACTATAATTTTTAAAAAGAAATTTGAAAAATGATAGTTTTTAAAAACCCTTAAAACTAAATCTATGTTTGTATTTTATTAAATGTTTATAAACTTTTGAGTTACAGTTAAACTTCAGGTCAATTAAAATAGAGTTCTTTTACTTGATGTAAAAGAAATTGTTCTCTGATATTGCTATAAATTTCTAATGGTGCTATGTTCTTGTCAGAGATTAAGAACTTGTATAACACATAATTCTATAATATGTAATTATATACTTCTATATTGTGTGATTCGTTATTTTGTTTGTTTGTTTGTTTATTAGAGATGGGGGTCTCACTGGGTTGCTCAGCTGGTCTCTAACTCCTGGGCTCAAGCAGTCCTCCTGCATTGGCTTCCCAAAGTGCTGAAAATACAGGTGTGAGCCTATAATTAGTTATTATTGATATATTAGATATATTGATATATCAGCCTATAATTAGTTATTATTGATATATTAGAAAGCAACTGATTTTTGTCTGAAAATAGCAGCCTTCCTGATATATCTTCATTATTCTGGTACTTTGTATTATTTTGAGTTGGACTTACTTGTTATATGTTTATGATATTTCAAAATATTTATTTTTCTATATTTAACGATATTTTTCATATACTTCCTAGGGTGTCTATATACTGTTGACTTCCAAGAATTACCAGACATTTCTGTTCATCTAGCAAAGCTAAGCTTATTAGATTTATTGCAAAAAAGGGAGAACAACCTCTTGAAAGAGTAACAGTAGTATCTTAAAATAAGAAACCAGGAAACTTACTTATCAGGTTTTAGAACCAGACTGGGTAATTTTTTTTTTCCTTTTTTTTTTTTTTTTAGATGGAGTCTTGCTCTGTCGCACAGGCTGGAGTGCAGTGGCCCGATCTCAGCTCACTGCAACCTCCGCCTCCCAGGTTCAAGCAATTCTCCTGCCACAGCCTCCAAGTAGCTGGGATTACAGGTGTGTGCCACCAAGCCTGGCTAATTTTTGTATTTTTAATAGAGACGGGGTTTCACCATGTTGGCCAGGCTGGTCTGGAACACCTGACCTCAGGTGATCCACCCACCCCTGCCTCCCAAAGTGCTGGGATTACAGGCGTGAGCCACCGCGTCCAGCCTCTTTTTTTTTTTAAAAAACGTGCTCCACAGAAAAGTAGCAACTGGGTAATTTTATATATATATATATATATATATATATATATATATATATATATATATATATATATATATATATTTTATTATACTTTAAGTTCTAGGGTACATGTGCACAACATGGAGGTTTGTTACATATGTATACATGTGCCATGTTGGTGTGCTGCACCCATTAACTCATCCTTTACATTAGATATATCTCCTAATGCTATCCCTCCCCCCTACCCCCACCCCACAACAGGCCCCGGTGTGTGGTGTGTGATGTTCCCCTTCCTGTGTCCAAGTGTTCTCATTGTTTAATTCCCACCTATGAGTGAGAATATGCAGTGTTTGGTTTTTTTGTCCTTGCGATAGTTTGCTGAGAATGATGGTTTCCAGCTTCATCCATGTCCCTACAACGGACATGAACTCATCATTTTTTATGACTGCATAGTATTCCATGGTATATATGTGCCACATTTTCTTAATCCAGTCTATCATTGTTGGACATTTGGGTTGGTTCCAAGTCTTTGCTATTGTGAGTAGTGCCGCAATAAACATACATGTGCATGTGTCTTTATAGCAGCATGATTTATATTCCTTTGGGTATATACCCAGTAATGGGATGGCTGGGTCAAATGGTATTTCTAGTTTTAGATCCCTGAGGAATCGCCACACTGTCTTCCACAGTAGTTGAACTAGTTTACAGTCCCACCAACAGTGTAAAAGTAATTTTTAAGGCAGGTTTTGCAAAACAGAGCGAACTAATTGGGATGGGGCTGAGTCTATGACATCATAATTTTAGTGTGGGCCGGGCGCGGTAGCTCACGCCTGTAATCCCAGCACTTTGGGAGTCTGAGGCAGGCAGATCACGAGGTCGGGAGATCGAGACCATCATGGCTAACACGGTGAAACCCCGTCTCTACAAAAAAATACAAAAAATTAGCCGGGCGCGGTGGCGGGCGCCTGTAGTCTCAGCTACTCGGGAAGCTGAGGCAGGAGAATTGCTTGAACCCAGGAGGTGGAGGTCGCAGTGAGCCAAGATCATGCGACTGTACTCTAGCCTGGGCGACAGAGTGAGACTCTGTCTCAAAAATAATAATAATAATAATAACAACAATAATAATTTTAGTGTGGGTAGGCAGTGAGAGGTGAGATACTTGGAGCCTTGATGAGTAAGCAATTGGCCTTAAGAGGGGATTGTGTTGGTTTCACTTTTCAGTAACCCCCATTTTTCCATTTTTGGTCATCCTTCTGCTTGAGATGGAAGATAAACTTATGTGGGAACACTAGTTCAGATGTACAGTGCTGTTTGAGGTTATCATTGTGTTTTTAAAAGTTTTCCCTCATGGTTATTCTAATCTCCATACATTTCATATTTTTGTATTCCTTTTGTTGGAAGATAATTTGTTGGCTCATTCGATGGAACATATATAGTAGCATTGCTATATATATGACTGTATAGTAGCATTTTATTATTTTATCATAATATGAGATTATATATTGTATATATATAAAATGATATAGTAGCATTTTATTATTCTGGAGATCACACTTTTGAACAAACGTATTTAGGGAAGAATTGCAATCACAGTTTATAGTCTCCTAAATCAGGAGCCAACAGAGGCCAAATTAAAACAAAAGAACAGATTCCTTACCGAATGCAAAGAGCCATTATAACTAGGTAAGTGGGAGCATTCTGCAAGTTTCCTAATGTTATTGCGACTCTGTTTTCTGAGTCATTAATATTAGTAATATTAAAGATTCCACAGAGACCTCTAGTGATATAACATTCTTCCCATAAGACAGCACATAAGCCTGCCCCCTTAGACCAGCATTGCATCTAAAGCAGCTCTCTTTTGAGTGACCATGCCTGCAATTTTATGCACCTCCGTTGAGGAGTTCTGTGCTTTAATCCCATGATCTTAATCTACTATTTCTGAAACCGTATGTACAATTCTTAACATTTTTCAGCCCTCATAAAGCATAACATGAAGAGGTTTGGGGGAAGAAGGAGATGGCAGAATTTCCCTTCAACAGTAAAGTTCTTTAAGTGGCATCAGGCCCACGAAATCTCCTTGAATTAAGTGATCTAAAGATCTCTTATTCTGAGAAAGGAAGTTGGTAGGCCGACATTGATCCTAGGTAAAATAAGGATCAGTTTACTGAGATATAACAACTCTGTGCCCACTTCGCAGATAGGAGCCAACAGCCTTTTCACAGTATCAGTCATTAGGAGACAGCCAGACATCTGTTTTCCCTGCAGGCTTCCCTGAAGGGTCAGTGGTGGGATAATACAGGTTAGCGTGTTAACCTAAGCGAAAGAGCACAGGGTTGAGCCCAAGTAGTGGGCTTTTCTTACAAGGTTTATAAAAGTGATTAATTTCCTCATGTTATTCTTTATTTCATGTATTAGGAAATTTGCCTTTTATTCTTACTGCATTGCCTCATTTAACTTTTTTTTTTTTTTTGCGAAGAACCATTTTGCAGTTGTTTTATATTTTTCTAAATACAGTAAATCATTTTTGCTCTGATTTTACCAATGCCTCTTCTGTTGCATCAATTTATTTTCTTTCTGATTTTGAAATTTGTGAGTCATAATTACTCACTTATTTTCATTCTTTTTTGATCTCTTCAGTATTTAAGGCCATAGATTTTGCTTTGAGCACAGATTTTGCTGTTCTATCTAGTTATATAATGTTTACACAGTTATAATTTTAGTTTATTTTGGCCCCTTGCTTCAGGTCAATTAAAATAGAGTTATTTTACTTCATGTAATAGAAATTGCTCTCTGATACTGCTATAAATTTCCAATGGTACTATGTTCTTGTTAGAGATTAAAGTCTGTGTTCCTAATTCTTCAAGAACTTGTTGAAATGTCAACTCAACAAATTGTTGGCGCTCTATGTGGTTAGATTTCCATGAATGCTCTGAGGTCAATGTTTTAAGTATTCTTTGTCCACTTGAAATAAAGTTTATTATCAGAGATAAGCATTGTAATTAGATTTCATCAGTGCTTATTTAGATTTATTCCATTGGGCCAGGTGCGGTGGCTCACGCCTGTAATCCCAGCACTTTGGGAGGCCGAGGCGGGCGGATCACGAGGTAAGGAGATCGAGACCATCCTGGCTAACACAGTGAAACCCTGTCTCTACTAAAAATACAAAAATTATCCGGGCGTGGTGGCAGGGGCCTGTAGTCCCAGCTACTCAGGAGGCTGAGGCAGGAGAATGGCGTGAACCCGGGAGGCGGAGCTTGCAGTGAGCTGAGATGGAGCCACTGCACTCCAGCCTGGGAGACAGAGCGAGACTCTGTCTCAAAAAAAATAAATAAAATAGATTTATTCTATTAATTTGAGACTGTTATTCTTTACCTCTAATTAGTTACTTTTTATTTTTAGAAATCTTTTAATTCTTTTTCTTTGAAAATTGATTTGATAGTAGGTGTTATGTTGTGTGGCTGTTCCTAACTTTTAAATTCATTGTTATTTCATTGTTTAATATTATGGAGTGCCATTTGGTCTATTTTGTAATTTGTTCCCTTAATTCAAAATTTTTTGATATCAAGATTAAGATACCTTTTTTTAAACTTTGCCTTCTGTACCCTTTCTCATCATTCTATTTTAGAGTCTTTTTTTTTTTAAATGAAATCTAGAAATGGATTTTTTTTCTGGAATGCAAGCAAAAGCCATTTAATAGAGACTTTCACATTTTTACATTTATTGTATGACAATTTTTGGTTCTTTTTGTATTATGCTTTCTGGTTTCATTTTTTTTTTTTTTTTTTGAGGTGGAGTCTCACTTTATCACCCAGGCTGGAGTGCAGTGACATGATCTTGGCTCACTGCAACCTCTGCCCCCCGGGTTCAAGCGATTCTCCTGCCTCAGCCTCCGTAGTAGCTGGGATTATAGGCACCTGCCACTGCACCCGGCTAATTTTTGTATTTTTAGTAGAGACAGAGTTTTACCATCTTGGCCAGGCTGGTCTTAAATTCCTGACCTCGTGATCCACCCACCTCGGCCTCCCAAAGTGCTGGGATTACAGGCGTGAGCCACCGTGCCCGGCCATTCTTTTCAATTATTTGATATGCTAGCTTTAAATGACAGTCTTTTCCATGGAATATTATACAAATTGACCACACAACATTCATGGATGTTTGTCCCCAAATCAGCATTTTTACATGAATTACTTCTTTAGACATTCTCCCAACTTTTCTAGGAACATGACTTTTATCTTTTACTCCCTTTTATGTATCTGACATTGTAGTCGCTGTATGTTCCCAGTTCTCCATTTCCCGGCTGTTGATAATGACCAAAGAGCCTGCCAAGATGAGATCAGGAGAAATATATTGTGAGAGTTCTTGTATATTTAAACTATTGGCTATTTTTGTAGTTGAAAGATACTTTGGATATCAAATTCTTAATTCATCTTACTTTTCTTGAGAACTTCGTACCTATTGCTCCTTTACTTTCTGAGTTTAAGTAACACTAAGTGTAACTCTAATGCCCACTGGATATTTCCTCCCTTCAAAGTGACTTGATCTTTTTGCCTGGCAACTATAAAAATTTTTTTGTTTTTTGAAGTCATAGAACTCTAATAGTATGTGCTTTAAATGGACCATTCTAGTTAGTTTTCCTTGGTATACATAGTGGCTTTTTAATATATAATTCATGTGCTGATAATGTCCAGAAACTTTTCTGGAGTAATATCTTAAAATGTTAATAATCTCCAGTTCTTTCTGTTTTTATTTTGAATACCATATATTTCCATTTACAAATATACTTCTTCTGCCTGTCTTTTATAGCTACTGTTTTCTCTTTAAAAAAAAATTTACTGTGATAAATAAGATCTAGTATTTGATAGCGCAACAAAGTGACTATAGTCAATAATAATTTAATTGTATATTTTAAAATAACTAAAAGAATATAATTGGATTTTTTGTAGCACAAAGGATAAATACTTGAGGTGATGGATGTTCCATTTACCCTGAAGTGATTATTACACATTGTATGCCTGTATCAAAATATCTCATATACCCCATAAATATATACACCTACATTGTACCCACAAAAATTAAAATAATAATAAAATTTTACTGTGAAATATAACAATTTTGCATGAATAGATGTACACTAATATATAACTAAAATATATACTACAGATGTGTGCCACACCCCCTGCCCCAACCCCGGCTGATTTTTTAAAAATTTTTTTGTAGAGACGGGGTCTTGCTTTTTGGCACAAGCTGATCTTGAACTCCTGGGCTCAAGCAATCCTCCCACCTCAGTGTCCCAAAGTGTTAGGATTACAGACATGAGTTACCACACCCAGCCTGAAATAATGTTAGACAAAAGTTTACAAAAATTATACAGTTCAAATGCCATGGCTCATACTTGTAATCCCAGCATTTTGGAATGCTGAGACAGGAGAATTGCTTGAGCCCAGGGGTTTGAGACCAGCTTGGGCAACATAGTAGGATCCTGTCTCTACAAAAAGTACAAAAATTAGCCAGGCACGGTGGCATGTGCCTGTTGTCCCAGCTGCTCAAGAGGCTGAGATGGGAGGATGGCTTGAGCCCTGAAGGTTGAGGCTGCAGTGAGCCATGATCATGCCACTGTACTCCAGCCTAGGGAACAGAGCAAAATCCTCATCTCTGAAAAAAAGAGAAAAGAAAGCTCATACACATTGCCAGTCATTCCCTATCCTCTCACTCTCAGCCTCTGGCAACCATTAATCTCCTTTGATATCGATAGATTTGCTTATTCTGCATATAAAAAAGGAATCAAGCAACATGTGGCCTTTTGCGAATGACTTTCTTTCACTTAGCATAATGTTTTTGAGTTTCATCCATATAATAGGAGGTATCAATACTCATTCTTTTTTTATGGCTGAATAATATTCTATTCCATCCTATTATTTCTTTTGTTGCTGTGCTTTTGATATTATTGTCTAGGAAACTTTTGTAATCCAAGTTCATGACGATTTACTTCTATGTTATCCTCTAAGTTAGTAGTTTTAGCTCTTACATTTAGGTCTTTGATCCACATTGAGTTAATTTTCATATGTGATACAAAGGGTAGATAGATGCCCAGCTTCATTCTTTTGCATGTGAATATCCAGTTGTGCTAGCACTATTGCTAAAGAGACTCCTTTGAATTTTGTTGGCACCCTTTTTGATAATGAATTAATCATAAATTTGAGATATATGTAAGTGTATGTGTATATATATACACACATAGTCTTTCTGTCTATATACTGTACTATATACTATATACAGTATATATACGGTACTATGTACTATATACAGTATATATACGGTACTATGTACTATATACAGTATATATACGATACTATGTACTATATACAGTATATATACGGTACTATGTACTATATACAGTATATATACGGTACTATGTACTATATACAGTATATATACGGTACTATGTACTATATACAGTATATATACGGTACTATGTACTATATACAGTATATATACGGTACTATGTACTATATACAGTATATATACGGTACTATGTACTATATACAGTATATACGGTACTATGTACTATATACAGTATATATACGGTACTATGTACTATATACAGTATATATACGGTACTATGTACTATATACAGTATATATGCTGTCTATACTGTATATATACACAGTATATATGCTGTCTATACTGTATATATACACAGTATATATGCTGTCTATACTGTATATATACACAGTATATATGCTGTCTATACTGTATATATACACAGTATATATGCTGTCTATACTGTATATATACACAGTATATATGCTGTCTATACTGTATATATACACAGTATATATGCTGTCTATACTGTATATATACACAGTATATATGCTGTCTATACTGTATATATACACAGTATATATGCTGTCTATACTGTATATATACACAGTATATATGCTGTCTATACTGTATATATACACAGTATATATGCTGTCTATACTGTATATATACACAGTATATATGCTGTCTATACTGTATATATACACAGTATATATGCTGTCTATACTGTATATATACACAGTATATATGCTGTCTATACTGTATATATACACAGTATATATGCTGTCTATACTGTATATATACACAGTATATATGCTGTCTATACTGTATATATACACAGTATATATGCTGTCTATACTGTATATATACACAGTATATATGCTGTCTATACTGTATATATACACAGTATATATACCATACTATACTACTATAGACAGTATATATACTGTCTATATACAGTACTATATACTGCTTGATTTACTGTAGCATTATAAAAAGTTTTGAAGTCACAAAGTATGAGTACTGATACTTGAATTCTTGTCTTTCAAGATTGTTTTGGCTATTCTGAGTCTTCTATATTCACATATGAATTTTAGTTCAGCTTGTCATTTTCCACAAGAAAAAGGCAGTTGACTTTTTTTTTTTTTTTTTGAGACTGGGTCTTGCTCTGTCATCTGGGGTTGGAGTACAGTAGTGTGATCTCGGCTCACTGCTGTAATTCTCCTGCCTCAGAGTCCCAAAGTGCTGGGATTACAGGTGTGAGCCTCCGTGTCTGGCTAAGGTATGTTTTTTAACAATTTATATAAATACTCTTTCACATGGAGGAGGTTTGCTTTTTTATACAATTGCTAAAATTTTTCTTAGGAATCATTCTTTCTGCATGTATTAACAAAATTCATACGATTTTTTTCCTCCATTATTCTGTACTATGTTGAATTCTAGTACTTGACTAACCTTGCATGCTGGACTCCAATTTGGTCATCATGTGTTGATATTTTATCTCTTATCAATTATATCTGAACTTTTAATGTTTTCTTTAGGTTTCATGAGTGGGATTGGATTGCAATTTTGTTTTTCATTATCCTTCCTAACGTTGGATGGCTGGGCGCAGTGGCTCATGCCTGTAATCCCAGCACTTTGGGAGGCCTAGGCCGGCAGATCACTTGCGGTCAGGAGTTTGTGACCCAGTCTGGCTAACATGGTGAAACCCTGTCTCTACTAAAAGTAGAAAAATTAGTGAGGCATGGTGGCGCAGGCCTGTAGCCTCAGCTACTCAGGAGATTGAGGCAGGAGAATTGCTTGAACCCAGGAGGCGGAGGTTGTGGTGAGCCGAGATCGTGCCACTGCACCCCAGCCTGGGCAACAAAGGGAGACTCCATCTCAAAAAAAAAAAAAATTAAAAAAAAATAATGTTGGATGTGTTTCATTAGCTTCATACATGTGTTGAGGGAATGTACCCTTTTACCCCCTCTTAGAATGTCTGAAGAAACACTCCAGAAAAAAAAATCTGAAACTTCAGTTTCCATTGTGCTTTTTAAAAACTTATGCAAATTACATAATGCTTATAGAATTGTCCAAGTTTTCTGTGTGTTGATTTTGCAGTGGCTACTTTTTAGAGTTTTATGCATTTCAAGCAAGTTAGTAACATGTTTTTATCCTAATGCCATCTTACTGTGTTTGTGCAGTGTGGAGAGCTATAGCTGAGGTACCTGGTAGCACTCCTAGGTTGGATATTGTAGCATTTACTTTTTTCTTCATCAGTGTTGAGAGAATTGCATCAGTAACATTAGTTTGAAATAAAATATCTGCCGTTTTGGCTCTTCTGTGGTATTTGTGAACTCCATTTTTTAAAATTACTGGACTTTTATATCTTATTTTTGTTTATTTGTTGCATTTTCCAGCTTCTTGTGATGAATATATAGGTCACCAATTTTCAAGTTTTCTCCTTTTCTCATATGTATTTACATCTGCTTTATAAATTGTTTTTTCTTCTTTCATGCTATCAAATATAAATGGATATAAACCTACTATTATTTGGTTAAAAATAATTTTATATGGGAATTTAGGTAATATCTCCTTAAATTCTGGGTTGCTGTTTCCTTTCCCCAGCTTTTTATTTTAAAAATCATCAAGCCAAGGGAGAATATTTTAAAAATATATATTTGTGTATATATGTATGTGTGTGTATGTGTATAATGTATAATATATAATATATATACAGTTAATTACCTTTCACATAGATTCATCTTTGGTTATTAACATTTTGCCTTACTTTTTCTCTGTATATATGCACCTTTCTTCTTGGCTCACTTGATGGTAAGTAGCAGTTGTCATTAAATTTCACCTCTTAACTATGTACATCTCCTAAGAATAAAGACATTCTCCTTCAAAGTCACAATATTATTATAATAGTAATGTAGTCTTATCTACTATAGAGTCTATACTTACATTTGTTATGCTGTTTCTAAAAATGTCATTTATAAAATGTTTCCAGGATCCATTGTGTATTCATACATTGCATTTAGGTCTTAGGCTTTTTTTTTTTTTTTTTTTTTTGAGACCAAGTCTTGCTCTGTCGCCCAGGCTGGAATGCAGTGGTGCTATCTCGGCTCACTGCAACCTCTGCCTCCTGGGTTCAAGCGATTCTCCTGCCTCAGCCTCCGAGTTAGCTGGGACTACAGGCGCCCGCCACCACGCCTGGCTAATTTTTGTGTTTTTAGTAGAGATGGGGTTTCACCATATTGGCCAGGCTGGTCTCGAATTCCTGAACTTGTGATCCGCCTGCCTTGGCCTCCCAAAGTGCTGGGGTTAAGGCATGAGCCACCATGCCCAGCCAGGTCTTAGGCTTTTTATCTTGGTGTTACCTTACTACATTTTCCCCTTTGGGTTTGGCTTTTTTGAAGTGTCTACTCCAGTTTTCTTGTGGAATGTCAGATTTATAGGTTTGATGGTTTCCCCTCATGATTAGAGTAAGATTAAACATTTTTTGCCAAGAATATTGCAGAAGTAGTGCGTAATGATCGTTTTTGTTTGTTTTCTTTTCTCCACCAACCAAACAAAGACCACTGGTAATTAACTTTTTTTAAAATAACTTTTTAACTTTAGAATAATTTTAGATTTACAAAATTTACAGATTTACAAAGATAATACAGAGATTTCCTGTATACATCTCTCCCACTTTCCACCATTGTTAACATCTTACATAAAGTATGTTTGTCAAAACTAGGAAACTGACATGAGACTCTCCATTGGGATTTCACCAGTTTTTCCATATAGCTCATATTTCTGTTCCAAGATGCATCCAGTTAGGGGTACCACATTGTATACATTTGTCTTATCTTCCAGTCTCTTCTGTTCTGTGACAGTTTTTTCTGCTTTTCTTTGTTTTTCATGACTTTGACTGTCTTGACAGACCATGCCAGTAGTGTTCTCCCAATCCAAGTCTGTTGTTTTTTTGTAATTAGGCTGGAAGTAGTAGTTTTTAGAAAGACTGTAACAGCCGGGCGCGGTGGCTCATGCCTGTAATCCCAGCACTTTGGGAGGCCGAGGCAGGTGGATCACGAGGTCAGGAGATCGAGACCATCCTGGATAACACGGTGAAACCCCGTCTCTACTAAAAATACAAAAAAATAGCCGGGCATGGTGTCAGGCGCCTGTAGTCCCAGCTACTTGGAGGCTGAGGCAGGAGAATGGCGTGAATCTGGGAGGCAGAGTTTGCAGTGAGCCGACCAGCTTGGGCCACAGAGTGAGACTCCATCTCAAAAAAAAAAAGAAAGACTGTAAGAGAGGTGAAGTATGCTTTTCATCACATTACATCAGGGGTACATGACATCACTGGTGATATTAACCTTTATCATTTGGCTAAAGTAGTGTCTGCCAGGTTTCTTCACTCCAAATGTACTATTTTTTCCTTTTCCATTCTCTACTCTTTAGAAACAACTTGTTAAGTCTAGCCCACCCTGGGAGCAGGTACATAGAAGTGGAAATTAAGCTTTACATTCCATAGAGTTTAATATCTAGAATTCTTCTATAAGACATATTTGTTTCTTCTCATATCAGTGTAGACTCATTTATATTTGTTTTATACTTCAAGGTAGAATCAAATATTACATTACTTCTTTTGCCACCCATACCGTTTCAACTTCAGATAGAATTCTTCTATAAGACATATTTGTTTCTTCTCATATCAGTGTAGACTCATTTATATTTGTTTTATACTTCAAGGTAGAATCAAATATTACATTACTTCTTTTGCCACCCATACCGTTTCAACTTCAGACAGAATTCTTCTATAAGACATATTTGTTTCTTCTCATATCAGTGTAGACTCATTTATATTTGTTTTATACTTCAAGGTAGAATCAAATATTACATTACTTCTTTTGCCACCCATACCGTTTCAACTTCAGACATTGATAGCTCTTTTAGCTTGGTTCCTATGTTCATTTAATACCCTGATCCTTCTGTTTTTTGAGGACTTCTTTCCTGGTACTACCTTCAGGTTCATTTTGTTTTCTCCCTCCCGTGGTCCTGGAATCAGCTGTTTCTCCCAGGAGTGTGATTCCTTTTAGTGGAGAATGGGATTTAAAAACCAAGGTCAGCTGGGCACGGTGGCTCACGCCTGTAATCCCAGCACTTTGGGAGGCCAAGGCGGGCAGATCACGAGGTCAGGAGTTTTTAAGACCAGCCTGGCCAACATGGTGAAACCCCGTCTCTACTAAAAATACAAAAATTAGCTGGGCGTGGAGGCGCGGGTCTGTACATAATGCCAGTTACTTGGGAGGCTGAGGCAGGATAATCGCTTGAACTCGGGAGGCAGAGGTTGCAGTGAGCCAAGATCGCACCACTGCACTCCAGCCTGGGCGACAGAGCAAGACTCCGTCCCAAAAAAAAAACAAGGTCTGGGTAATGGATATATGCACATTCGCCGATGTATGCTTACATATATTAATAATTGTCTTTTTGTCTATCCATTTGTATGCATCTGAAGCTAAACATGAGTTCATACTAATGTCTCTGACTCTCATCTACTACTACAAAATGTATTCTAATCTTCCTGTCTTGTTTATATGTAACTTTTTACCCTGACAGCAGGAAAACTGGCTCTCCCCGTCCACCATTTATTTCTGTATCTATTCAACTCCAGTGTATGTGTAACACATTTCTGAGTTGTTAACCTGTACCCCCATGAGCATCAAGTTTACTCACTTGAGTAGTGTTTGTATATACTTCCTTTAGTGTATGGCCTTATAATTTTCAGTCAAAACATCATTTTCCAAAGTTTGTTATTTTATCATATCACAGTGCACTGTTTGTTCAGTATATTGATTACCTACAAGCAGTATATAATTACCAAATATATGTTGTCTAGTTATCTTTGCAGTATTGATTTCTAGCATAAAATTTTTCTTGTGGTCAGACTACATACTCTATACAATCTTGATCCTTTGAAATACATGAAACTTGCTTTATAGCCCAGTATATGGTCAGTTTTTAGGAACAATCTGTGTGTGACTGGAAGGTAACTGAGCTCTGCAGTATTTGAATTGTATCTATGAAGTTCTGGATCTTTATTGATTAAATGTTCCACTCAGACTTTGGATTGTCTTTGGTTAATCAGACTTTGGATAATTTGCTTTCTTTATTTCATACCATGTTAATAGAGAAATACAGAATTATTTATAACCCTTATAAAGAAATATTTATAACATTAAGAAATCCTCTATGTACATTATAGTTCATTAGAAAATAGAGATGGTTAAAACTGCTTTCAAAACATTACAATCTTGCCAAGTGTGGTGGCTCACGCCTGTAATCCCAGCACTTTGGGAGGCTGAAGCGGGCAGATCATTTGAGTTCAGGAGTTTCAGATAAGCCTGTCCAACATGGTGAAACCCTGTCTCTACTAAAAATACAAAAATTAGCTGGGCGTAGTGGCAAGCACCTATAATCCCAGCTACTCCAGAGGCTGAGGCAGTAGAATCCGTTGAACCCGGGAGGCAGAGGTTGCAGAGCTGAGATCGTGTCACTGCACTCCAGCCTGGGCAACAGAGCCAGACTCCATCCTACCACCCCCACCCCCCAAAAAAATTAAAGTCTTGGCTGAATGCAGTGGCTCACGTCTGTAATCCTAACACTTTGGGAGGCTGAGGCAGACAGAAGCAAATCACTTGGCGCCAGGAGTTCGAGACCAGCCTGGCCAACATGGCGAAACCTCATCTCTACCAAAAATACAAAAAAATTAGCCAAGCATAGTGGTGGGTGCCTGTGGCCCCAGCTACTCGGGAAGCTGAGGCACAAGAATTGCTTGAACCTGAGAGGCAAAGGTTGCAGTGAGCCAGTATCACACCACTGCACTCCAGCCTGAGTGACAGAGCATTTTTTTTCTTTAAGTATTTCCTGGCCGGGCACGGTGGCTCACGCCTGTAATCCCAGCACTTTGGGAGGCCAAAGTGGGCACATCACGAGGTCAGGAGATCAAGACCATCCTGGCTAACATGGTGAAACCCTGTCTCTACTAAAAATACAAAAAATTTAGCGGGGCGTGGTGGCGGGTGCCTGTAGTCCCAGCTACTCGGGAGGCTGAGGCAGGAGAATGGCATGAACCTGGGAGGCAGAGCTTGGAGTGAGCCGAGATCGCACCACTGCACTCCAACCTAGGAGACAGAGCGAGATGCCATCTCAAAAAAAAAAGTGTTTTCTTTTTCTTTTTTCTTTTTTTTTTTCTTTTTTTTTTTTTTTTGAGATAGGGTCTTGCTCTGTTGCCTGGGCTGGAGTGCAGTGGCGTGAACACAGCTCACTGCAGCTTTGGCCGCCTAGGCTCTAGAAATTCTCCCACCTTGCCCTCCCGAATATCTGGGACCACAAGTGCATGCCACCATGCCCAGCCAAGTTTTTAATTTTTTTTTGTAAAGAAGAGGTCTTATTGTGTTGCCCAGGCTGGTCTTGAACTCCTGGGCTTGAGTGATCCTCCTGCTTCGGCTTCCCAAAGTGCTGGGATTATAGGCGTGAGCCACCACTCCAGTCCCTGACTCTGTTTTTGATGTTTAACTGCTGATGACTCCTCTTTTTTTTTCCCCTTCTGTCTACTTCTGGGCCAGCTGGTAAAAAACCTAGGTGCTCCCTCCTTCTCATTCAAACCATGTGAACCCCATGCCATGAGCAGGAACACTCAGCCCAGCACCACACCCTAACCACCATGCAAACTCCAAGCCAGCCTCCTTTTCCTAATCTCTCAAGTTGTTTTATGACCTGCTTGGGAGCTGCTCTGCTCTCTAGAAAGCCTCATGATGAGAGTTATAAACCCTTTCATACCTTTTTGGTGTATCTGTGTGACATCAGTAGTCTTTTTTTTTTCCTTTCTTCTAAAAAAAAAACAGGATACATGGATACATGTGCAGAACATGCAGGTTTGTTACATAGGTATACGTGTGCCGTGGTGGTTTGCTGCATCTTTTGACCTGTCCTCTAAGTTCCCTCCCCTCACCTCCCAGCCCCCAACAGGCCCTGGTGTGTTATTCCCTTCTCTGTGTCCATGAGTTCTCATTGTTCAACTCCCACTTATGAGTGAGAACATGTGGTATTTGGTTTTCTGTTCCTGTGTTAGTTTGCTGAGAATGATGGCCTCCAGCTTCATGCATGTCCCTGCAAAGGACAAGATCTCATTTCTTTTTATGGCTGCATAGTATTCCATGGTGTATATGTACCACATTTTCTTTATCCAGTCTATCATTGATGGGCATTTGGGTTGGCTCCAAGTCTTTGCTATTGTAAATAGTGCTGCAGTAAACGTACATGCACATGTGTCTTTCTAGTAGAATGATTTATATTTCTTTGGGTATATACCCAGTAGTGGGATTGCTGGGTCAAATGTATTTCTGGTTCTAGATCCTTGAGGAATTGCCATACTGTCTTCCACAGTGGTTGAACTAATTTACATTCCCACCAACAGTATAAAAGTATTCCTATTTCTCCACAGCCTCACCAGCATCTATTGTTTCCTGACTTTTTAATAATCGCCATTCTAACTGGTGTGAGATGGTATCTCATTGTGGTTTTGATTTGCATTTCTCTGATGATCTCTGATGATGATGTTGAGCTTTTCTTCATATGTTTGTTGGCCTCATAAATGTCTTCTTCTTCTTCTTTTTTTTTTTTTTTTTTGAGATGGATTCTCACTCTGTCACCCAGGCTGGAGTGCAGTGGCTTGATCTCGGCTCACTGCAACCTCTACCTCCCGCGTTCAAGTGATTCTCCTGCCTCAGCCTCCCGAGTAGCTGGGATTACAGGCACCTGCCACCATGCCTGGCTAATTTTTTTTGTGCTTTTAGTAGAGATGGGGTTTCACCATGTTGGCCAGGCTGGTCTTGAATTCCTGACCTCGTGATCCACCCGCCTTGGCCTCCCAAAGTGCTGGGATTACAGGCATGAGCCACCGCAGCCAAATGTCTTCTTTTGAGAAGTGTCTGTTCATATCCCTTGCCCACTTTTTGATGTGTTGTTTGGTTTTTACTTGTAAATTTGTTTAAGTTCCTTGTAAATTCTGGATGTTAGACCTTTGTCAGATGGGTAGGTTTCTCCCATTCTGTAGGTTGCCTGTTCACTCTGATGATAGTTTCTTTTCCTGTGCAGAAGGTCTTTGGTTTAATTAGATCCCATTTGTCAATTTTGGCTTTTGCTGCAATGGTTTTTGTCATTTTTGTCATGAAATCTTTGCCCATGCCTATGTCCTGAATGGCATTGCCTAGGTTTTCTTCTAGGGTTTTTATGGTTTTGGGTTTTACAGTTAAGTCTTTAATCCATCTTGAGTTGATTGTTACATAAGGTGTAAGGAAGGGGTCTAGTTTTAGTTTTCTGCATATGGCTACCCAGTTTTCCCAGCACCATTTACTGAGTAGGAGATCCTTTCCCCATTGCTTGTTTGTGGCAGGTTTGTTGAAGATCAGATGGTTGTAGATGTGTGGTGTTATTTCTGAGGTCTCTTTTCTGCTCCATTGGTTTATATGTCTGTTTTGGTACCAGTACCATGCTGTTTTGGTTACTGTAGCCTTGTAGTATAGTTTGAAGTCAGGTAGCATGATGCCTCCAGCTTTGTTCTTTTTGCTTAGGATTGTCTTGGCTGTACGGGGTCTTCTTTGATTCCATATAAAATTTAAAACAGTTTTTTTCTAATTCTGTGAAGAATGTCAATGGTAATTTGATGGGAATAGCATTGAATCTATAATTTACTTTGGGTAGTATGGCCATTTTCATGATATTGATTCTTCCTATCCATTAGGATGGAATCTTTTTCCATTTATTTGTGTCCTCTCTTATTTCCTTGAGCAGTGGTTTATAGTTCTCCTTGAAGAGGTCCTTCACATCCCTTGTTAGCTGTATTCCTACGTATTTCATTCTCTTTGTAGCGATTATGAATGGGAGTTCATTCATGATTTGGCTCTCTGCTTGTCTATTGTTGGTGTAAAGGAATGCTTGTGATTTTTTCACATTGATTTTGTACCCTGAGACTTGGCTGAAGTTGCTTATCAGTTTAAGGAGTTTTTGGCCTGAGATGATGGGGTTTTCTAAATATAAAATCATGTCATCTGCAAACAGAGACAACTTGACTTCCTCTCTTCCTGTTTGAATACTTTTATTTCTTTCTCTTGCCTGATTGCCCTGGCCAGAACTTCCAGTACTGTGTTGAATAAGAGTGGTGAGAGAGGGCATCCTTGTCTTGTACTGGTTTTCAAAGGGAATGCTTCCAGCTTTTGCCCATTCAATATGATATCAGCTGTGGGTTTGTCATAAATAGCTATTATTGAGATATGTTCCATCAATACCTAGTTTATTGAGAGTTTTTGACATGAAGGGATGTTGAATTTTATCAAAGGCCTTTTCTGTATCTATTGAGATAATCATGTGGTTTTTGTCTTTGGTCCGGTTTATGTGATAGATTATGTTTATCGATTTGCGTATGTTGAACCAGCCTTGCATCCCAGGGATGAAGCCAACTTGATCACGGTGGATAAGCAACACAGTGAGACCCTGTCTCTACACATAATTTTAAAATTAGCCAGGTGTGGTGTTGTGCATCTGTAGTCCCAGTTACTTGAGAGGCTGAGGTGGGAAAATCGCTTGAGCTGGAAGAGTACAAGGCTGCAGTGAACTATGATTGGGCTATTGTACTTCAGCCTGAGTGACAGAGCAAGACTCTGTCTTGATGATTGATTGATAGCTAGATGGATGGATAGATAGATAAACAGACAGATAAAGATAGAGAGACAGACAGAGTTAGCAGGTACTGCCTTTCTAAAGAAAGAACATTTACTCTGAAACATAAAGGATGAGAAGGATTCAGCCTACAAAATGTCTAAGTCCAAGGACTCTTGAGCAGTTAAACGGTCTGTGGAAAGCATTAAGTGTTGGGGGAAGTTGTACAGTTGGCCCTTTGTATCTATGGGTTCTGCACTCATGGATTCAACCATCTTCAGATCAAACATATATTTTTAAATTGTGAGGGTACTGACCACATACAGGCTTTTTTCTTGCCATTATTTTCGAAGCAACAGTAGAACAGCTATTCACATAGCATTTACATTGTATTGGGTATTGTAAGTAATCCAGAGATGATTTAAAGTATACAGGAAGATGTTTATAGGTTATGTGCAAATACTATGCCATTTTATATCAGGGACTTAAGGCGTCGGTATCTGGGTTGGGTTTTGGTATCTGCAGGAGGTCCTGGAACTGATCCTCCACAGATACCAAGGGGCAATTGTACTATATTCCAGGTGTTGAAAAGAGGGACTATGATAGAGAATAGGAAGCAAAGAGCTGATGTTTTGACATGAGACCTCCTAGGTAAGCAGCAGTCCTTGGAAAGGGATTTGTATTTTATTTTAAGAACAGTGAAAAATCACTCGAGAAACTTAAAGGATGTATTCTTAAACACTGACCTGCATCTAAATCAGTGATAGGTTCAAAATAAAGATGTCAAGGTTTCTCTCCTCTCAGTTTTAATTCACTTGGTCTTTGACGGTGCCAATATAGCAGATTTGGAACAAGCTTGTCAAAGATTCTGGCCCCACCTAAATGTTACCTATGTCCTCAATCAGTAATTTCACTATCTTACGTAAACTCTCATACGTCTCTGAACTCTTTTTGGCCTTTTTCAAATTTCGTAACCATATTTTTGAATTCTATATGCCATTCACTTATTATGAATGTTGGTTTTTCTTTGTTGCATAAAGTTTCTTGTTCTCTGGTATAGAAATACAAATTTTTTTTGTTGTCCTCTTTTGTTTCAGATTTGGATTTACAGTGTGAGATAATCAGCTACATAGAAGTACCCACTTATGAAACAGATATATCCTCTACACAACTTCAGAGCATATATAAGAGAGAGAAACTCTATGAATGTAAGAAATGTCAGAAGAAATTTAGTAGTGGTTATCAACTTATTCTACATCACAGGTTTCATGTCATTGAGAGACCCTATGAATGCAAAGAGTGTGGGAAGAACTTTCGTAGTGGCTATCAACTTACTCTACATCAAAGATTTCATACTGGTGAGAAACCCTATGAATGTACAGAATGTGGGAAGAACTTTAGAAGTGGTTATCAGCTGACTGTGCATCAGAGATTTCATACTGGTGAGAAAACCTATGAATGTAGGCAGTGTGGGAAGGCCTTTATATATGCCTCACACATTGTTCAACATGAGAGAATTCACACTGGTGGGAAGCCGTATGAATGTCAGGAGTGTGGGAGGGCCTTTAGTCAAGGTGGACATCTTAGAATTCATCAGAGAGTTCATACTGGCGAAAAACCATATAAATGTAAGGAATGTGGGAAGACTTTTAGTAGGCGCTCAAATCTTGTTGAACATGGGCAGTTTCATACTGATGAGAAGCCATACATATGTGAGAAATGTGGAAAGGCCTTTAGAAGAGGTCACCAGCTTACTGTACATCAGAGAGTTCACACTGGTAAAAAGCCATATGAGTGTAAAGAATGTGGGAAGGGCTATACCACTGCCTCATACTTTCTTCTACATCAGAGAATTCATAAAGGTGGAAAACCCTATGAATGTAAGGAGTGTAAGAAAACCTTTACTTTGTATAGAAATCTTACTCGGCATCAGAATATTCATACTGGTGAGAAACTTTTTGAATGCAAGCAATGTGGGAAGACCTATACTACTGGTTCAAAACTCTTTCAACATCAGAAAACTCATACTGGCGAGAAACCCTATGAATGCAAGGAATGCGGAAAGGCCTTTAGCTTGTATGGCTACCTTAAACAACATCAGAAAATTCATACTGGCATGAAACACTTTGAATGTAAGGAGTGTAAAAAAACCTTTACTTTGTATAGAAATCTTACTCGACATCAGAATATTCACACTGGTAAGAAACTTTTTGAATGTCAGGAATGTGGGAAGGCCTATAGTACTGGCTCAAACCTTATTCAACATCGGAAAACTCATACTGGTGAGAAACCCTATAAATGTAAGGAATGTGGCAAGACCTTTAGCTTGCATGGATATCTTAATCAACATCAGAAAATTCATACTGGTATGAAACCCTATGAATGTAAGGTATGTAGAAAAACCTTTACTTTCTATAGAAATCTTACTCTACATCAAAGTATTCATACTGATGAGAAACCTTTTGAATGTAAGGAATGTGGGAAGACCTTTAGACGTAGTTCACACCTTACTGCACATCAGAGCATTCATGCTGATAAAAAACCCTATGAATGTAAAGAATGTGGAAAGGCCTTTAAAATGTATGGCTACCTTACCCAACATCAGAAAATTCATACTGGTGGAAAACCTTATGAATGTAAAGAATGTGGGAAGGCCTTCAGTCGTGCTTCAAACCTTGTTCAACATGAGAGAATTCATACTGGTGAGAAACCCTATGTGTGTAAGCAGTGTGGGAAAACCTTCAGATATGGTTCAGCCCTTAAAGCCCATCAGAGAATTCATAGGAGCATAAAAGTGTAAGACCGTAAAGAGTACGAGCGCGCCATTCATCATCAGACAGCCCACACTGGTGAGAAATGATGGAATGTTAGTCTTATAGGTATGGCTTTAGCAATTGAGAGAGTTCAAAATGCAGATCTTGCCACATTAGAAAGCATTCAATGTCAGTCCTGTTTTAATGGAATATCTGACTATTCAATGGTAAATTAAGAAAAAAAAAAAAAAAAACAGGAATCCCAGTTTCTTCATGCCTACAACATCCATGGCATGGATTTTTTTTTAAAAAAACTTAATAATTAAGGCTGGGCGCGGTGGTTTGCCTGTAATCCCAGCACTTTGAGAGGCCAAGGTGGGCGGATCACGAGGTCAGGAGATAGAGACCATCCTGGCTAACACGATGAAACCCCGTCTCTACTAAAAATACAAAAAATTAGCTGGGCGTGGTGGCAGGCGCCTGCAATCCCAGCTACTCGGGAGGCTGAGGCAGGAGAATAGCGTGAACCCGGGAGGCAGAGCTTGCAGTGAGCAGAGATCGCGCCACTGCACTCCAGCCTGGGCAACAGAGTGAGACTCCGTCTCAAAAGAAAAAAAAAAAAAACTTATTAATTAAAAGGATGACCAAAAGCCTTTCATACTAGATTTCAATGGCTGTATTACAAATTACCCCAAGCCTTAATGTCTTACCACAACAATAAACATCACTCATAGGTTCTGAGGGTCAGAAATTCGGAAGAGGCTTAACTGAGTGCTTTTGAATTGGTCTTTCCATGAGCTTGCAGTCTTCTGAAGGCTCCTTGGGGCGGAAGGATCTGTTTTCCAGGTGGCTTGCTCACACTGGCAGGCTGGCTTAGACAGTGAGAGTGCCAGGAGAAAGCTGTGACTTTGGAGCCGTTTTTTGTTTGTTTGTTTGTCTGTTTTTGTTTTTGTCTTTGTTTTTTGAGACAGGGTCTTGCTCTATCACCCAGGCTGGAGTGCAGAGGCATGCTCATAGCTCACTGCAGCTTTCAACTTCTGGGCTCAAGCAATTTGGGTGGCTTCTTGAGCATATTTTGCATGACGTAGAAATATAAGCAATTTGTACTCAGAATGCCAGTCGTGGTGTTTTAAAAATATGTCCTCAAATTCTTGAAACTCTACCCTTCAAACTTGAAGTCTGGCCAGGCACGGTGACTCACGCCTGTAATCCCAGCACTTTGGGAGACCGAGGCCTAGCCAGGCGTGATGGCACACGCCTGTAGTCCCAGCTACTAGGGAGGCTGAGGCAGGAGAATCGCTTGAACTTGGGAGGCGGAGGCTGCAGTGAGCTGAGATCGTGCCTCTGCACTCCAGCCTGGGCAACAGCATGAGACTCCGTCTCAAAAACACAAACAGCAAATAAAAAAACCTGAAGTCCAATTCCCTTCCCTTTGCATGTGAGCTGAACCTAGATGAACAGAATCTTCAGGATCACCTTTCCCTGGTGCTCATGCTCACTTGTTCATTCACTCTCGTGCAAATCCGGCCTCCTCTACCTAGGGCTTCTGCAGAGGCTGCTGACAGAGCCATTTATAGAAGTTTCATTGAATGGTGATTCTCATAATTGTCACATTAGATATTGCTGGAGTCTTAACCAAGGGTTTTTAACAGTCATACTCTATCTGTTCTTTGGAGAACAGATAACCTGCCTGTGAAGTGCCCACTCTGCTCCCTCTCTGAAATAATCATTGTGTTAATGTTGAGGCCATGCTTCCTATGGGCTGCCCCCAGCTCCTTTTCTGAGCATAACATAAGTATTCATGCTAGTCAATTCTTACGAAACCCAGACCCTTCAGCTGGGGAACTGTGAATCAGCCAGGCTGAAACTGTTTTCATACTGCCCCGCGTTTTCATAGTTTTTCTACCAATCTTGCTTCATCCCTCTCCTTCAGAGTCATCCATCTTGTACCATGGCCTGAAGGCTTTCACTGCCTTTCCTGGACCTCTTTTTCATTCATAGCCCCCTCCTTCCTTCTGATCTGATCTTGCTTTTTGCTTTTCAGAGGATCAAAATGAACACATACCCTAAGGTTACCTACATACTATGTTTCCCTAACAGCACTCTGGATTTTATCTTTGTCCAGAGACTATTTCTGAAGTTTAGCATCATTTGCTTTCTGGAGAGGCTGGGAGTTTCCAAAAGCAAGTCCTGGTTCACTTCTGTTTAACAGTCTTTTTCTAGCTTATCTCACTTCTAGCACTTAAGCAACAAGAAGCAAGACACCTTCAACATTCTGCTTGGGAGTTTCCTAAGCTAAATTACCCACTTTTTTTGTTGCTGTTGTTTGTTTGTTTTTGTTTCTTAAAGACACAATCTTGCTTTGCCACCCAAGTTGGAGTGCAGTGGTGTGATCATAGCTCACTACAACCTTGAACTCCCGGGCTCAAGTGATCCGCCCATCTCAGCCTCAGGAGTAGCTAGGACTACAGGTGTATGCACAACTACATCTAGCTAATTCTTTTTTTTTTTTTTTTTTTGGTAGAGATGAAGTCTCCCTATGTTGCCTGAGCTGGTCTCAAACTCTTGATCCTCCTACCTTGACCTCCCAAAGTGCTGGGATTATAGCACGAGCCTGGGCCAGTTACACAGTTCTGTAGGTATTATTTTGTACTTTTCACAGTAACCACGTGCAGCCATGTTGCTTTCTGCTGTTGCATAACAAGAATCCCTTCCCCCTAGTCTCCAGTAACATTTTTCAGTTTTCTTTAAGCCCTCACTAGGAGCTCCTCAAAAATATCCAGGTTTCTGCTAATAATATTTTCCAGGCACTTCCAATTTCCACCCAGTTTGTGGTCCCAATGCCCCTCTGACATTTGTAGCTTTTTGTTTCAATAGCATCCCTTGTCTAGGTACCAAAATCTGTTATCTCATGCCACATTCCAAAGAACCTGAAGAATTAGTGGCTTAAAATGCCAATAAATGTGTATTTTTCTCACAGTTTCTGTGAGTCAGAAATTTGGGAGCAGCTAAGCTAGGCAGTTCTAGCTCCAAGTGTCTCAAGAGGTTGTGCTTATCTAAAGGCTTGACTATAGCTGTAGGATATGCTTTCAAATGGCTTAGTTCTGTGGCTGATAAGTTTATACTGGCAAGTCGTTTCTTCTCCCAAGGGGCCTTGTCCATAAGCTGCTTGAGTGTGCTTGTGACGTGACAGATGTGATCCTTTTTATAATCTCTCTTTGGAAGTTAGTTCTGCCACGTTCTGTTTGTTCCCAGAAAATCACTAAGTCTGGCCTACATTCAGTAAGAGAGGAATTAAGTTTCACCTTTTTTTTTTGAAGGCAGGATCTTTCACTGTCGTCCAGTGGAGTGCATATGGCTAACTTCAGCCTCAACCTCCTGGGCTTCAGTGATCCTCCTGCTTCAGCTTCCCGAGTAGCTGGGACTACAGGTGTGCGTCACCATGCCCAGCTAATTTTTAAATTTTTTGTAGAGATGGGGGTCTCACCAACTTGCCCAGGCTTGTCTCAAACTCCTAAGCTCAAGCAGTCTTCCCACAGTGTTCCCAAAGTGCTGAGATTATAGGCGTGAACCACTGTGCCCAGCCCACTTTCACTTTTTAAAGAGAGAAATGTCAAAACATTTGCAGACATATTTTTATTTTTAAATCGCCACACCTGACACCACTCAATCATTGTTGAAGTCTCAAAAATTAGTACTAATAAACTAACTTGTTAATGTCACATATGCAATAGTGCTTTTAGCCATGGCACATGCCTTACCTGTCATCACTGCCACATAACTCCCTGTGTGTCATTGGCCAAGATATTTATCATCTATGGGAATTATTTGCAAAGTATAATCAAGAGCCTACATGAAACCCAGGCATGGTGGCGCACACCTGTAGTCCCAGCTACTCGGGAGACTGAGGCGGGAGGATCGCTTGAGGCAAGAGTGTAAGCCTGCAGTGCTCTATGATGGTGCCTGTGAATAGCCACTGCACACCAGCCTGGCTTTTTTAGGCCCCATCTAAAAAGAAAAAAGGTACATAAGAGTCCTATTATGCGGATGTGGCCGAAATTATACTTGTCAAAACCTGGGAAGACTGTTTGGCATATAGCGTTATGCTCAATAAATATGAGCTATTGGCCGGGCGCAGTGGCTTACGCCTGTAATCTCAGCAGTTTGGGAGGCTGAGGAGGGTGGATCACATGTCAGGAGATCGAGACCATCCTGGCTAACATGGTGAAACCCCATCTCTACAAAAAATACAAAAAATTAGCCGGGCGTGGTGACACGCACCTGTAGTCCCAGCTACTCAGAAAGGCCGAGGCAGGAGAATCACTTGAACCTGGGAGGCGGGATCATGCCACTGCACTCCAGCCTGGGTGACAGAGCGAGACTCCATCTTAAAATAAATAAATAAATAAATATGACCTATTATAGATATCGTCATTATTTGTGTTGCTGATAATTAATTTTTATGAAAGATTCTAATAGCATAATTAATTTAGAACAGCTTCTGAAAGCCACTCATCTATTATTAAATTTTATATAATTTTGGAAATTAAGAATATGATTTTAGCATGTCTAAAGATTTTGACCAGGTGCAGTGGCTCACACCTCTAATCCCAGCAGTTTAGGAAGCCAAGGCTGGCAGATCGCCTGAGATCAGGAGTTCAAGAACATCCTGGGCACATGGCAAAACCCCATCTCTACTAAAAGTACAAAAATTAGCTGGGCATGGTGGCACACACCTGTAATCCCAGCTACTCGGAGGGCTGAGACACGAGAATCACTTGAACCCAGGAGGCGGAGGTTGCAGTGGGCCGAGATCACACCGCTACACTCCAGTTTGAGTGACAGAGCAAGACTCCATCTCAAAAAAAAAAAAAAAAAAGATTTTGCATATCTTGTTTTGTTTTGCTTTTGCTTTTTTCATTTTTTGTGGAGATGGGGTCTCACTATGTTGCCTAGGCTGGTCTCAAACCCCTGGCCTCAAGCAATCCTCCTGCCTTGGCTTCCCAAATTGCTGGGATTATAGGTGTGAGCCACTGTGCCTGGCCAAGATTTTGATAATAGCCAACAGTTCATATTTTCTGTTCACAATTTAAGATTAAGTAGGAATTAATAATGGGCTATCAAGAAGTAAATTGTTGTCTTGGAGGTTTTCCCTAAATTTGAAATGTACATTTTAATTTAACATACAGAAAAAATGAAAGAATTGTTTAGTAACCCACCATATATGTTTACATTCATGTTATTTGCTTTATCTTATTTCAGCTCTTTTTATCCGCTTATGTATGGGTTATTTCTGTATCATTTGAGAGTAAGTTGTAGATACCATGGCCCTTTGCCTTTAAATATATGCAAATTTCCTGGATAACTGTGATACTATAATCATACTGGAAAAATGTAATAATTTATATAGTGTCTTCAAATATGTGCCCAAAGATTTTTTATAACGACTTATTTTCTAATCAGTATCCACTCTTGGTTAATTCATTGCATTTGGGATTTTTTTTTAATTTATTCCTTTTCTCTAGGATAATATCCCCACTTTTTCATGCTTTTGAATTTTTCCTTTTTTTTTTCTTTTTTTTTGAGACAGAGTCTCACTCTGTCACCAGGCTGGAGTGCAGTGGTGCGATCTTGGCTTACTGCAACCTCTGCCTCCCGGGTTCAAGCAATTCTGCCTCAGCCTCCCAAGTAGCTGGGACTACAGGCGCATGCCACCACACCCAGCTAATTTTTGCATTTTTAGTAGAGACGGGATTTCATCATGTTGGCCAGGATGGTCTGGATCTCTTGACCTTGTGATCCACCCGCCTTGGCCTACCAAAGTGCTGGGATTACAGGCGTGAGCCACCACACCCAGCCTGAATTTTTCTTTTTTAAGTACCCAAAGAATGTCCCACATTCTTGATTTCTGCTTCACAGTATGATTTAACTTGTTGCTCTGTCCCTTGTTTTCCCATAAATTGGCAGTTATGTCTAGAAAATTCATTAGGTTGAGATTTTTGTCAAGAACATCTCATGAATGATGCTGCAGACTTCTGAAAGCATATCAGGTTTTTACATGATTATTTATGCTACACTGTAAAGCTTGCTTAAAGAGGCAACTGTCAGCTCTCCATTGAACAATTCCATTTTGCATTAGTAATTTGATGGGTGCTACATTGATCCGTTAATTTGAAAACATAATCCCTTTAATTCAGGAAACAAGGATTGAAACAAAAAGATGTCATTGTATTCATCTCTCTGTGTAGCACATATGAACTGCCTGTTAAAGGTTAGACTATAAATCTGTGGATAGAAACAATGTTAATATATGAGGCTAGAAGAAAGGAAAACAAATATACCAATATTAAGAAAAAATTAATAAAACTAGATAAAGAGATTAATGATTAGGAAATAAAACTAGTTTTTATTCAAATCTTACCCCCTCCCATTTTGTGGAACATGAGCTAAATCTCTAGATATAATCAAGAAAAATTTTAAAAGAGATATGAAGAAAATGTTTTAAATTAAAAGTTAATTTTTGCCGGGCACAGTGGCTCACGCCTGTAATCCCAGCACTTTGGGACGCCGAGGCAGGTGGATCATTTGAGGTCAGGAGTTCGAGACCAGCCTGGCCAGCATGATGAAACCTCATCTCTACTACAAATACAAAAATTAGCTGGGCATGGTGGCATGCGCCTGTAATCCTAGCTACTTGGGAGGCTGAGACAGGAGAATCGCATGAACCTGGGAGGCAGAGATTGCAGTGAGCCGAGATCATGCCATTGCACTCCAGCCTGGGCAATAGAGCGAGAACCAGTCTCAAAAGAAAGAGTTAATTTTTGATGTTTATACCAAAATATTTAGCAATCTCTAATGTATTTTGAGAAGGAATTATATTTGTGAAAGAATATAGTTTTTCAAAATGACATAGATATTGTAGGAAATCGGAATTTTTAAAACATGATTGAAAACAAGATGAGTTTCACTCATTAGGGTAAATGGAAAATTTCTGAGTATGATATCAGCAAACTCTAAGATTCTTTTAAAATAATTGTGCAATAGTCATTTTTCTGGCAGAGTCAATTCATTCTTCTGGTTCAATATATTCTAGACAAATGAAAGAAAAGGAATGTTGATCTGTGTTTATCCTTGTAATTTTTCTAAGCTTTATATACAGTTTTATAAATGGGATGAATTATGTGCACGATACCATCAATTCTAAAAACTACCTTTTTAAAAACCTTTTGGAAATCAGGATTGCAGTTGATAACTACCTAAACTCACTTCCAGCCCTATAAAAATTACTTTTCCAAACTAAGGAGCATCACGCATTATGCATTGTCAGCCAAAGTTCTGTAGTGTCAGCGTGATCATTCGTTGTGTCTGTAGTGTCAGCGTGATCATTCGTTGTGTCTGTAGTGTCAGCGTGAACATTGTGTCTGTAGTGTCAGCGTGATCATTTGTTGTGTCTTTAGTGTCAGCGTGATCATTCGTTGTGTCTGTAGTGTCAGCGTGATCATTCGTTGTGTCTGTAGTGTCAGCGTGATCATTCATTGTGTCTGTAGTGTCAGCGTCATCATTGTGTCTGTAGTGTCAGCGTGATCATTTGTTGTGTCTTTAGTGTCAGCGTGATCATTCATTGTGTCTGTAGTGTCAGTGTGATCATTCGTTGTGATCTACATGCTCATATCCCTTTTGTCCACAAAGGAAATAATTCGCCTTTAAATATTAACATCATTTCCCCTATGCAATTTTAAGTTTTGATAATGAAATAAAACACAATGCAGAATGATTTTGCTATAGGTTAGATGACCACTGTACTTGATAATTGAAAAATGGTTTATGTTCTTAGACAAGCCAATGAAGCAATCTCCTGCTCTTGGAACAAACAAAAACCACATGATTAACCTCTCACAAGATTGACGTGCACTGTGGTGTAGAAAGTTTGTTTGCCTTTCCATAACCCAGTGTATCTAAGAATTACCTCGGAACTTCCATTTCTATTAATATTACCTACTAACACTTAAGTCTGAGTGTGGTGGCTCATGCCTGTAATCCCAGCACTTTGGGTAAGGCCGAGGTGGTCGGATCACTTGAGGTCAGGAGTTGAAGACCAGCCTGGCCAACATGGTGAAACCCCATCTCTACTAAAAATACAAAAATGAGCCAGGTGTGGTGGCGCATGCCTGTAATCCCAGCTGCTCTGGAGCCTGAGGCAGGAGAATCACTTGAACCCGGAGCATAGGCTGCAGTGAGCCGAGATTGTGCCACTGCATTCCAGCCTGGGTGACAGAGTGAGACTCTGTCTCAAAAAAAAAAAAAAAAAAAAAATCGGGACATGAAACCATAAGCTGAAATGCTGCCAAGACCTAAAGGAATGACCCTCAAACTGGAATTTCAGCATTTTGTCATGTGATTAATCCCCGGGAGAATGCAGTCAGCTCACATGATGATAGGCAAGTAACCACCTTTTTCTGTACTCGTACTACTGTTACTTTTCTACAAAATGAAAAACCTAAATGTTTTTTTGTTTTGTTTTGTTTTTTGGGTTTTTTTTGTTGTTGTTGTTGTTTTTGAGACGGAGTTTTGCTCTTGTTGCCCAGGCTGGAGTGCAATGGTCCGATCTTGACTCACTGCAACCTCTGCCTCCCAGGTTCAAGCGATTCTCCTGCCTCAGCCTCCTGAGTAGCTGGGATTACAGGCACGCATCACCACGCCTGCCTAATTTTTTTTATACTTTTAGTAGAGACAGGGTTTCTCCATGTTGGTCAGGCTGGTCTCGAACTCTCGACCTCAGGTGATCCACCTGCCTCGGCCTCCCAAAGTGTTGGGATTACAGGTGTGCGCCCCCACGCCTGGCCTAAATGTTTTTAAACTCTCATCCTGATCAGTATTTAGGTTATAGATAATTTTTTAAAACTCTACTTAGAATATTGTTTCAGAGGAGTCTGTAAATAACAAAACTCTATAATTGCAGTCATAGCTGATGTATCTATACTTGGATCTTTTCCAAATGCTCTTCTACTCTTGTAATTTCTAGTCTGGTCAGCTGGAAATAAAAGTATCCAGTAACTCCACTTGTCCATCTAAAAATATAATTATTTTTTTAACTAACCCATTAAGTATTTTTTATATGTATTTATTAGCCAATCATGTTATTTACTGTGACTTTCCTGTTTGTTTCTTTTGCTCATTTTCTCAACCTGCTGATTTATGAATACACACACATACTCTAGATCTTGATTCTTCTGTTATTTTATATATAATATCCTTTTCCTGGAGAGTAGCTGTTTAAAGTGCATTCATGATTTTTCTGATACTGATAGTTTTCCCACATACTATCATATTATATTTGGATGTTGCCATTATCACTCTAACCATAAACT
Source organism: Homo sapiens (assembly GCF_000001405.40). NCBI lineage: Eukaryota > Metazoa > Chordata > Mammalia > Primates > Hominidae > Homo > Homo sapiens. The sequence continues at coordinate 37,729,170 of NC_000019.10, read as the reverse complement.
GGTAATCTATTTATATTTTTAATAGTATGTGAGATTTCTGTGTATTCAGTCAGATTATCTATGAATGGAAATGAATTTTCTTTTAAAATCATTATTATTTCTTTACTTTTATTAAAATAAATACGATTATGTCAAGTATTGGGGTAATAGCCAGTGTCTTAGTTGTTTAAACAGTTTAATGGAAATCAGTACAATATTTTACCATTCAACTAATATTTACTTTGTTGTATGCAAGTATGCTCTATAATTAGGGCTAACTTCTTATATTTTTTCAAATCCTATCACTTCTTTTGCTTTGTTCATATATCATTCTCCTCTGCTATTTTAATGTTATAATTCATTCTGATTTCTTGTTTTAAACCATTTCTGAAATATAATATGCTTAGCTGTGGTATATTATTGTTTTGATAAGCTGCTTAATTTATCTTATGAATATTTTGTTTGGGATTTTTGTCCAAATATTCAAAATTGATATTAATATTATTAGCATTCATATATTAACATTCAAAATTAAGAATTTTTTAAATTTTTGTTATTGCCATTATTTGTTTATTAAAGGTTAGATAAAATTTGGCTTTAAACCCATATGGTCCTGTTTTTTCTTTATTTTGTTTTCCTTCTTACAGTTTTAATACTGGATTGTTAAACACTTCCAAAATCACCTGATACTCTATTTGAATTTCTACTTTCTATGAAAGCAACAGATTAACTGAGCTGCGTACCTGCCCGAGGCACAACGCCTGTGAGCACTGCACATTGTGGTATTACCACTGGGTTCCACATAAAAGACGCATCCCCACATGAACCCCTCAATGAAAATCAAGCATTATGTGTTCTTGGCAATACAATGCTAGGAGTTCAGAACTCTTTAGCAAGAATATAAGATGCGGGCCCCGCATGGTGGCTCACGCCTGTAATCCCAGCACTTTGGGAGGCCAAGGCAGGTGGATCACCTGAGGTCAGGAGTTTGAGACCAGCCTGACCAACATGGAGAAACCCCATCTCTACTAAAAAAAAAAAAATACAAAATTAGTGAGGTGGGGTGACGCATGCCTGTAATCCCAGCTACTCGGGAGGCTGAGGCAGGAGAATTGCTTGAATCCAGGAGACAGAGGTTGCAGTGAGCCAAGATGGGGCCATTGCACTCCAGCCTGGGCAACAAGAACGAAACTTCATCTCAAAAAAATATATATATAAAATGCATTGCTGCTTAGACGTGTTTGGATACTTACCAGCAGCCCTCATGAGAATGACAGATTCTTTAATGTGTGAAAAATTTTAATGCAGGGTGAGTAAATATCCACTAATAGTTTTATTTTATTGCCTCATGTTAAAATTATAATTTGTCACATAATTAGCATTGATTGCATTAAATATTAAGCAATTGACATTCCTCTAGATCTGCACTGTCAGGTAGATACAGTAGCCACCAGCTACACGTGGCCATTTTAAATTAATTTAAATTTAATAAGGCATAAAATTGAGTTCACCAGTAGGACTAGTCACAGTTAAGTGTTCAATAGCCATGTGTATTGGACTTTACAGATACAGTAGTCCCCTCTTTATCTAATGTTTCCTTGTTGTTAATCTCTTGCTGTGCCTAATTTATAAATTAAACTTTATCATAAGTACATATGTTTAGTAAAAAAATAGGATGGTTTGGTGCCATCCTTGGTTTCAGGCTTCCCCTGGGGGTCTTGGAACATAACCCCTGCAGATAAGAGGGAGACTACTGTATACAATGTTTCCATTATTAGAAAACTTTCTATTAGGAATATTCTGAATACTTATATTCTATTCAGATAAAAAATAATCTTATGGATTTAACCAATGAAATATTGCCAAGCACTTAATTATCATTTGCAAAATTAATTGAGCAATGTTAGGTATATATTAAAAATCATAGGCTGGGTGTGGTGGCTCACGCCTTTAATTCCAGCACTTTGGGAGGCCGAAGAGGGAGGATTACTTGAAGTCAGGAGTTCAAGAACAGCCCTGGCAACATAGTGAGACCCTGTGTCTACAAAAAAAAATTTTTTTTAATTAGGCATACTGGTGCATGCCTGTAGTACCAGCTACTCTGGAGGCCAAGGCAGGAGGATTGCTTGATCCTAGGAGTTTGAGATTGCAGTGAGCTATGATGGCACTACTGCACTCTATCCTGGGCAATAGAGTGAGAACCTGTCTCTAAAAAAGCAAAGAAAAGTCGTTAATTTTTAGCAGATACTTGAAAGCATCTTTTTTTTTTCTTTGAGACGGAGTCTCGCTCTGTGGCCCAGGCTGGAATGCAGTGGCATGATCTCGGCTCACTGCAAGCTCCATCTCCCAGGTTCACACCATTCTCCTGCCTCAGCCTCCCGAGTAGCTGGGATTACAGGTGCCCATCACCTTGCCCGGCTAATTTTTTTATTTTTAGTAGAGACGGGGTTTCACCATGTTAGCCAGGATGGTCTCAATCTCCTGACCTCGTGATCCGCCCGCCTTGGCCTCCCAAAGTGCTGGGATTACAGGCTTGAGCCACCACGCCCGGTCTGAAAGCATCTTAAATATTTTAAAGTGGAAACAATATGCAAAAAAGTTGTAATATTGATTTATATTTTATTTTTTTGAGACGGAGTCTCACTCTGTTGCCCAGGCTGGAGTGCAGTGGTGCGATCTTGGCTCACTGCAACCTCCGCCTCCCGGGTTCAAGCAATTCTCTGCCTCAGCCTCCCAAATAGCTGGATTACAGGTGTCCGCCACCACACCTGGCTAATTTTTTGTATTTTTAGTAGAGACAGGGTTTCACCATCTTGGCCAGGCTGGTCTTGAACTCCTGGCCTTGTGATCCACCCGCCTTGGCCTCCCAAAGTGCTGGGGTTACAGGCGTGAGCCACTGTGCCTGGCTATTCTTACTATTTTTATGCACTTATGTTCTATTCCTTCCTATTTTTCTCTCTACAGTTAATGGTAATTGAGCAATTTTTAGATACTCCTCTAGTTTCCATGGTCTTCACTGAGACACACGCATGCAAAGACGTAATCACAAAAAAAGAAAGCTTTACCATGTGGATTATCAACCACATGTTTCTTGATCAGGGCCTTGGTCTTGGTGATCTTATGGAAGAGATCATTAAGTGTTTTTCTTTTAGCTTTTTCTTCTTAAATAAGCATTATTGAGATAAAGCAAGATATAATTTTAGGCTGAACACAGTGGCTCACTCCTGTAATCCCCACATTTTGGGAAGCCAAGGTGGGAGGATCCTTTGAGCCCAGGAGTTTGAGACAAGGCTGGAGAACAAAACAACAAGACTCATCTCTACAAAAAGTAAAAAAAAAAATTGCCAGGCATGGTGGCATGCACCTGTAGTCCCAGTTACTCGGGAAGCTGAGGCAAGAGGATCGCTTGAGCCAGGAGTTTGAGGCTGCCATGAGGGCACCACTGCACGTTAGCCTGGACTACAAAGCAAGACCCTATCTCAAAAAAAAAAAAATTAAAATTTTGCTTACTTTTAAGATATAATAACAGGGTAGGATGTACCCTCCCATCTCAATAATTTTTAAAAATATATAGAATGACAGTTTTCAGACACTGAACAACAAGCAGACCACAATCCCCATTTGCAGAAACCACCAAGGTGAGCTCTATTATTTCTCCCAACTTAACATCTGGAGTATTTTCAGTCCATTGCTCAGGGAGAGTTAACAGAAGCAGAGCCCAGTGTTCTTCCCGAATTGAGACACAAACTTGAGGATTTGCAGAAGCCAGGGTATGTGGAACAAAGTACTAGACAGGAACAACCTCCATGAAGAGATCTCTGGAGCGCTGCCAGGGAGTTCCCTTTGAATCTTCAGCTGAAAGTACTGACCAGTTAGCTATATGTGAAAACACCTGAAGCTGTGGAAAAACCCACTTGAAATGAATAGAGGGAATAATCCTCATAGCTCAAACAAGTCCAGGAATAGCAGGTGTTACCAATAGCCAAAGTGGAAAAACCCTCATAATTCACAAGACCTCGGATACTCAGAAGTATACTGTCTTAAGAGAGAGGAAAAATCAGCTTTGGACTAATTAGTCTTGCTCTGGTCCTGCCTTATCAAAGCTGAAAAAGAACCCATGAAAAAGATCAAACTGTTTTCAAGTTACGTGAACTATATTTCAAAACAAAGCTCAAAAATATTGAAAAATATACCAGAATACCTGGCAAGGTAACATTTCAATGTTTAGCATCCAATCAAAAGTTACAAGACGGGTGGGTGCAGTGGCTCACGCCTGTAATCCCAGCACTTTGGGAGGCTGAGGTGGGCAGATCATCTGAGGTTGGGAGTTCCAGACCAGCCTGACCAAAACGAAGAAAACCCGTTTCTACTAAAAATACAAAAAATTAGTCGGGCCTGGTGGTGCATGCCTGTAATCCCAGCTACTCGGGAGGCTGAGGCAGGAGAATCACTTGAACCCGGGGAGGTGGAAGTTGCAGTGAGCAGAGATCACACCATTACAATCCAGCCTGGGCAACAAGATCGAGACTCTGTCTCAAAAAAAGAAAAAAAAAAAGGTTACAAGACATGCAAAGGACCAGGAAAACATGACACATAACGAGGAGCAAAATTGATTAATCAAAATTGTCTCACGTATTAGAATTGACAGGTTATCAGAATAATTATAATGATATTTCATATGTTGACAAAGGTAGACCAAAATATAAGCACTTTTTTTTTCTTTTTTTTTTTAAAGACAGGGTATCACTCTTTGGCCCAGACTGGAGTGCAGTGGCCCAGTCATGGCTCACTGCAGCCTCGACCTCTTGAGCTCAGTTGATCTTCCCACCTCAGCCTCCCTGGTAGCTGGGACTGCAGGCATGCACCACCATGCCCAGCTAATTTTTTGTATTTTCTAGTAGAGACAGGGTCTTGCTTTAGCCTCTCAAACTGCTGGGATTACATGTGTAAGCCACTGCACCTGGCTGAAATATAAGCACTTTTAGGAGAATCATGGGAGATGTTTTTTTAAACCACATTAAACATCCACAAATGAAAACTACAATGTCTGAGATGTAAAATACTCTGGAGAAATGATTAGATATTGCAGGAAAAGGATTAGTAAGCTTAAAAATTTTCCCAATTGGTGAAAACTGTAGACTTACAAATTGAAGCAACTCAGTGAATTCTAATCACAAGAAATGTAGAAATCTAAACAAAGACTGATCATAATCTAATTGCTTTAAAATAGTGATAAAGAGTAAGTCAGCAGAGAAAGGAGACTACATAGAGAGGAACAAATGCAAGAATAAAAGTATTTCTTGTTGAAACCAACATAACCTAGAAGACAGTTGAGCAAAATTCTTGTATAGCGCAGAAATGAAAAATGTTACCTTGAATTCTATACAATGTGAAAATACTTTTGTACGAAGGTGAAAATTTGTGGATGTCTGATTTTTTTAGACATCTAAAAGATGAGAGGATTGATGCTTTCCTACACTCTAAGAAATGTTAAGGTTCTTCAGACAAATGGAAAGTGATATCAGATGGAAATTTGGACCTACATAGGAAATGACTAATATGTGGGTAAATATATCTTATTATTTAAATTGCTTAAAAGATGATTGAGCTGGGCGTAGTGGCTCACACCTGTAATCTCAACACTTTGAGAGGCTCAGGTGGGAGGATCACTTGAGCCCCAGAGTTTGAGACCAACCTGGACAACATAGTGAGGCCCTGTCTCTGCAAAAAAATTTAAAAATTAGCCAGGTGTGGTGGTGCACACCTATAATCCCAGCTACTCAGAAGGCTGAGGTAGGAGGATTTCTTTAGCCTGGGAGGTCGAGGCTGCTATAAGCTGTGATTGCACCAGTTGAGGCTGCTGTGAGCTGTGATTGCACCACTGCACTCCTGCCTGGGCAACGGAGCAAGATCCTGTCTTTAAAAAACAATAAGATAGTCTGGGCGCAGTGGCCCACACCTGTAATCTCAACACTTTGGGAAGCCAAGGTTGGTGGATCACTTGAAGTCAGGAGTTCAAGACCAGCCTGATCAACATGGTGAAACCCTGTCTCTACTAAAAATACAAAATTAGCCGGGCCTGGTGGCGCGTGCCTGTAATCCCAGCTACTTGGGAGACTGAGGCAGGAGAATTGCTTGAATCTGGGAGGCGGAGGTTGCAGTAAGCTGAGATCGTGCCACTGCACTCCAGCCTGGGTGACAAAGCAAGACTGTATCTCAAAAAATTTTAAGAATAATAATAATAACATTATTACTATCTTTCAGAGAAACTAAATATGAGGAAAAAAATGGTTTTACTTCCATTAACTTTAATTCTGACTCTTCATTTCTTGTTTAGATACAAATTTCTGATTCTGTCCTATTCTTTCTCAAGAATTTTCTTTAACATTTCTTATAAAGAAGATCTGCTAACAACAAATGCTCTCAGTTTTTACTTGTTGAAAACTCTGTATTTCTTTTTTATTTCTTTTGGTAACAACTTTGTATATAATTCACATTCCATCCAATTCACTCATTTAAAGTGTAAAATCCAGTAGTTTTTAATGTAGTCACAAAGTTGTGAAACCTTCAACACAGTTTTATAACATTTTCATCACGCCAGCATGAAAGCCTTTAGCCACCATCCCAATTCCTTCTGCCACCGTTCAATTTAGGAAACAATTTACTTTCAGTCTCTATAAATTAGCCCACATTGGAAATTTTATATGAGAAGAAATTTCACATAGAAGGAATCATAAATATGTGGTCTTTTGTACCAGCTTCATTCACTTAGCATAGTGTTCAAGGTTGATCTATGTTGTAGCTTGTATCAGATCTTCATTTCCTTATATTACCAAATAATAGTCCATTGTGTAGATATGCCACATTTTACTTATCTACTTATAAAATGAAGAACAATTGGGTTTTCTTTCCAGTTTTGGCTATCATGAATCATGCTGCTATAAATATCTGTGTACAAGCTTTGTGAGAACATATGGTTTTGTCTTGAGAATATACCTAGGACTAAAATTGCTACATCGTATGGTAACTCTACATTCTTCTGAGGAACTGCCAGACTGTTTATACAGTAGTTCTACCATTTTCCAGTGACACCATCAATGTATATAGGGTTCTATTTATCCAAATCCTATCCAAAATTTGTTATTGTATATTTATTTGATTTTAGTCATCCTAAGTAGTATATCTCATTGGGGTTTTGGGGTTTTGATTTACATAGTCTTTTTCTTTGTTTCCCAGGCTGGTTTCGAACTCCTAGGCTCAAGCAATCCTCCTGCCTCGACCTCCCAAAGTGCTGAGATTACAGGCATGAGCCACTGCTCCTGGCTGATTTGCATATTCTTAATGATTAATATAGAACATGTTTTCAAGTATTTAGTAGCCATGTGTATACTTTTTTTTTTTTTTTGAGAAATGCTTATTCAGTTACTTTGCCCATTTTTGTTGGGCTTTTTATTATTGAGTTGCAAGACTTCTTTATATATTCTAGATACAAATCCCTTATTGGATACATAATTTACAAACAATTTTTCTCACTCTTTGGGTAGCTTCTCACATTCTTGGTGGGTTTTGAAGCACAATGTTTTACAATTTATGTCCAATTTCCTTTTTTGATGTTGTTGCTTGTGATTCTGATGTCACGGTTAAGAAACAATTGCTGACTATAAAGTCCAGAAGATTTATGCCTACATTTCCTTCTAAATGTTCTACTGTTTTAAGTCTTACACCTAGGTGTTTGATCCATTTTGAGTTGATTTTGTATATGGTGAGAGGCAGGGAACTCAATTCATTCCTTTCTATGTGCATCTCTAATTCCAGTCTTTTCAACAAAGACTACTCTTCCCTTCCTTAAAATGCCTTGGTATCCTTGTTGAAAATAGTATGTGGAGCCGGGCGCAGTAGCTCATGCCTATAATCCCAGCACTTTGGGAGGCCAAGGCGGGCAGATCATCTGAGGTTGGGAGTTCGAGACCAGCCTGACCAACATGGTAAAACCCTGTCTCTACTAAAAATACAAAATTAGCTGGGCATGGTGATGCATGCCTGTAATTCCAGCTACTCAGGAGGCTGAGGCAGGAAAATCGCTTGAACCTGGGAGGTGGAGGTTGCAGTGAGCCAAGATCGTGCCATTGCACTCCAGCCTGGGCAACTAGAGCAAAACTCCGTCTCAAAAAGAGAAAAAAGAAAAAGAAAATAATATGTGGAGTCAATTTAATCCATTGATCTATGTGTGGTATTTCTGAGAGATTATTCAGGAGATTCAGGAGCAACAAATCCAAGAACTAATTAAGAGAAGAAAAAGTGATCAATAAGTTCTTAAATTGTAACTTTAATAGTTTTTTTTCCTTGACTATTTGTATTTTTGAATGGTGATTTTTTAGTTTTGTTCCTTTTCCTCTTAGGGTATAGACAAATATTTTTTATTTTTAAATTAATTTTACTTATTTATTTTTTGAGACAAGGTCTTGCTCTGTTGCTCAGGCCAGAGTGCGGTGACACCATCATACCTCACTGAAGCCTGAACTTCCGGGCTCAACTGATCCTCCTACCTTTGTCTTTGGAATAGCTGGGCCCACAGGCGTGTGCCACCACACCAGGCTAACTTTCATTTTTGGTAGAGTTTGGGAGGAGGAGAGGGGTGTCTCACTATGTTTCTTAGGCTGGTTTTGAACTTCTGGCCTCAACTGATCCTCCTGCCTTGGCCTCCGAAAATGCTGGGATTAAAGGCGTGAGCCACCGTGCCCAGCCTGTATTCATCAATATTTTATTAAGCCAAAGAAACAGGAAATTCGGACTATTAAATATTTGTCCGTTTTAGCTGTTGTAAATATTTCCCCCAAATTTACTTACCTAAAAATTTTTCTTATTCGTTTTTTACCATTTGGAAATTTTGGATGCTTCTAAATAACTATGAAGATTTACAAAGTATTACATGAAGGATCAAAAAAATTTTTTAAATTTCTTATTTTATCTTCAAGAAGCCTATTCCAGAACAAAAATAATAAAACTATTTAGCAGTTATTTCTTCAGATGATTTTTTAGTCAAATTTTTAGTCAAATATATTCGTGTCCAAAGATGAAGAACATAATGTCATGTATTGAAGAATGTGATGGAACTTCAAACCCTCATATAGGACGTGAGTCCATTTACTTAGCGCTTGACGAGACAAGCTGGGCCTGTCGGGTGGTATTAAAAGTCCCAGTCCCATGTGTTACCAAGGAGGCCGGCTCTACCTCAGGAGCCATGAGGGTTTCGGCGCCCCACCCTGAGGAGCTCACACCCATCCAGCAGGTGATCCCTTCCGAGGCTACCTGGATCAGTTTCTACTCAGACTCGCCTCCTACTGGCCCTAAGAACGCACTAACTCCACCCTAAGCCTCAGGCCAGGGGCCCAGTAGTGGCCGATCTGCGCATGCGCACTCGAGGCAAGGCGGCCACTCCCAGAAGTCTCCGGGGCTCGAGCGGTGGGTGGGAGGCGCGGTCCAAGTGGTCGCTGCCGTATTTCTCGTAGGTTTTTAGGATTCTGGACTCCATTTCTCACCGGTACCTGCGGTCCTGACTGTTCTGGCTTGGACTACATATTACAAAGGCAACGGAGAAAACTTGGACCCCTGGCTCCGGTTCCGGGACCTTTTGGTTCCACCTGAAGAAGGCGGCGCAGGTCACTGCGGGAGCCTCTGCAGCCCCAGCCCGCCGCCCGCGTGGTACCCTGCGTGGCGGTGAGAGTGGGGCTGCAGGAGGCGCTCAGAGCGCGGAGGCCCCCAGGCGGGCCGGGCGAGTCTCCCGCCTCCTCAGGCCCTAGGGTGCTGGAGCTGCGGAGGAGGGGCCCGTCTCTAGGAGACAGGCGGGGAGCGTGAGAGACCGCGCAGCGGCGACAGGACCGGCTTGCCTGTGTGACGTGGGTGCAGTTGCGGGACTGTGAGGGGTGCGTAGTCGACCTTGTGTGACCTGTACATGCCGTGTGTGTCCTTTGTAAAGCGTGCTTCGCTGGGCTCTGTGGGGTCTATTGACCCTTGGCTCCAGGTTCCCTGCTGCTTCCTGTGCCTTCCTCAGCCTAGTACGACTACAACAGAGAAATGGTCCCAATGGGAAATCAGATACTGAGTCTTAGATGAAGATTTCCAGTGAGAAGAAACAGATAGGATGAGAAGCTTAGAAGAGTAATTGCCCTTAAGAAAGGTATGATAGATTCTGTTAAATAAAAAAGTATTCAGTGACACTTGTTAAAGCATGCAAAGAACCCTTTATTCAGGACCATGGTGGTAGGTATTGGGATCCCGGCTGTGAGATTTTGCAGTGGGTAACAGACATTGGGCTCAACTCCGAATTCAGCATGAACAAGTGGGAATTTATAGCCAAGAAGGTTAGGGATCACTGGATGAGAAATTACTAAGAGGAAATGTCTGGGTTAAGGAAGATTCTGACTAAACGCACCTAACAGGATTATTTCTGGAGAGAGAGACCTGGGGGACGGTGGAGGATGAAGATACGGAGGCGAAAGGGTCTTGCTAAACTGACTTAGAATAGTTCTTTGCTATAGCCAGATTTTACAGTGAAGTGTACAGATGGGCCTAGCTGAAGGTGTAGTAGCCTGACTAAAATTTGGTCTGGCAGGGTTTGTCAGTTTCGAGTGTAGGATTCCCTCCTGAAAAGGGTTGTTACTCCGCCCCCACCTCCCGGTTCTTGGAGTTTCATTTACATGTTTAACAAACACGGCCTTGAATTCTGACCCCAAGAACCTGCAGTGAAGGATGATTGCAGGTTCCATCCAACATACTTCCTTCTGGTCGTGTGTATGAAATTACGCGCCTGCAGCCTTGGAGGGGGGAAACATAAGCGCTAAGTATTATGAGGCAATTTTGGATATTCCGTTTTGGATTTCTGTAGATCAAAAGCAACAAGAATATGAACTTAGCCGTGATGTGAAGGAAGTGAGCCAGAATTTAAGTTTTCCAAAATAGGAATTCTCGGTCATTGGTGTACTGTCTGTAGACCAATGCCCTTATGGGCATAAGGGACATCACAAACCCCCTGAAATTCTATAAAGAATTCCTGTACATGTTTGTTAATTTGCATTTTTCTAGGATGTCCATAATCCAAATTATTTAGACTCAGGTTTTAGATCTGGAATCAAAGAGTTTTATACCTTTGAATGGTTTTGCAGAAAACTAATGAACGAGATTATGGGAATGGTTAAGAAAATTATACAGCGTCCAAGGGATTGGATATTATACAAATAATAAGATTTATGTTTGTAAAGAATCTGTCACAGGATAAATAGCTGTGATCTAATGTTTAACACTATTTAGAGTTACAGTGGTGGATCACAGTTCTCAAACTATATATGCAACTCTTTTTCTTTCTTTTTTTTTTTTTTTTTTTTTTTTGAGACTGAGTTCCGCTCTTGTTGCCCAGGCTGGAGTGCAATGGTGCGATCTCTGCTCACTGCAACCTCCGCCTCCCGGGTTCAAGCGATTCTCCTGCCTCAGCCACCTGAGTAGCTGAGATTACAAGCATGGGCCACCATGCCTGGCTATTTTTTTTTTTTTTTTGTATTTTTAGTAGAGACGGGGTTTCTCCATGTGGGTCAGGCTGGTCTTGAACTCCCAACCTCAGGTGATCCACCCACCTTGGCCTCCCAAAGTGTTGGGATTACAGGCGTGAGCCACCACGCCCAGCCGCAGCTCATTTTTTAAAAATGGAATTTTGGGCCTGGCACAGTGGCTTCCGCCTGTAATCCCAGCACTTTGGGAGGCCGAGGCGGGCAGATCATGAGGTCAGGAGATTGAGACCATCCTGGCTAACATGGTGAAACCCCGTCTCTACTAAAAATACAAAAAATTAGCCGGGCGTGGTGGTGGGCGCCTGTAGTCCCAGCTAGTCGGGAGACTGAGGCAGGAGAATGGTGTGAACCTGGGAGGCGGACCTTGCAGTGAGCCGAGATCGAGCCACTGCACGCCAGCCTGGGCGACAGCGCGAGACTCCGTCTCAAAAAAATAAAATTTAAAATTAAAATTAAACAAAGGGAATTTTGCAAAAACTTTTGCAAGGATTGTATCCAAAATGATTATTTAATTGGTTTTTCAGAGAGGAATGAAAGGGTTGTGGCTACATTTACTGAGCATATAATGTGTGCCCCAAATTATTGGACCTATTTTGTGTACCTGTTCCCATTAGATGTGCAGAAGCCATTTCCCTGTCCACTAAGGAAAGAATCTTTATAGTGAATTGTTTCTAGTTATGTAGAAGAAACACAGCTAAAGGCTGTTCAAGAAGACAAAGAGTTACATGTTTTAGTCACGCTGATTTTTCATTCTAGGCCTAATATTTAGATTTCTTTTAATGACACATGTACCCTCTCCCCATAAGGATACTTTTAGAAATAGTTTATTACTACTTTGAAATATCTTGAAGTTATATTTATGATGATGGAATTAAGGCAGTTTCGTCACAAAAATTTCACTCCCTAAGATAGTTTCAAAGAAGAAATTTAGAATAACCCAAACCTCCCTGCCCAGAGAGAATCACTTTACAAATTTGGGTGTATATGTTTTCAGTTTTCATGTGTGAGCACTTGTGTGTGGTTTTGTCTTTACAGAAGAGAATTAATGAAATAGACAGACTCCTACTTTTAGTTAGAAAAAGGAATCTAACCCAACCATGGATATAAAACCAGTATGATGAGACACCATTACTTTGGACTGAGCTTCTGCACTAGGCTCCAACAGACCAGACTAAACCAAAATGAAGTCACTCATGCTAAAAGCCACATTACAAAACTGAAACTTTAAGGGAGCAGGTAGAGTTCCAAACAGATCAGTTTTTCCTGAAAACAGGAGACTCCAGTCTACCTGAGTCAGCATAATAAGGAAATGACCTCCGCTTAACCTTCCAGAAAAAAGTAAACTGAAGTAGCCTGATAGTCACCAATCAATTTTTTTTTCTATAGTTCTCTTATTTGTTTCCACCTTACAAAATCCACTGTTTCTCCATTGCTCAGTAGGAGCTCTTACGCTATTTTGTACAATGGAGGCTACCCCTTTCATGAATCACAAAGCCCATTAGATCTGTAAGTCAATGTGTTGCAACTAGGTCTTTTGACATGGGCTTTCATATATCTCTGCATTTTAAGAGGAGAGGGAGCTACCAGGGACCTCCTTCAGAGGTGAAAAACAATCCAAGTTTTTATACCTTTTAGGTATTAAAAATGCGATTTAAAACTTAACAGGGCACAAATGATGAAGACATCCTCTCAGAATTAGTAGTTTAGAAATGCAAAGTTACTGCAGAGAAAAGCATGGTAATCTATGATTTCCAGATGTCTTGCAAGTATGGTAATATTTCCAAAGATAGTTCAGTAATAATAACAAATAGGTATTGTGATATTTACAAATACTCACATAAATGTTTGTATTTGGCAGGAAAATAAGATTCACTCTCCTTAATATTCTTGACCTAGCACTTTATTAGATCCAGTTCTTTGAATGTATGTGAGGCTGAGTGGTATCTTCCTTGTTTTCTGTACCTGCTGGGGAGTAAGGAAAGGGGCATTTTCTCCTTACTTATCTGATCATCTTTTTTTTTTTTTTTAGATGGAGTTTCATTCTGTGGCCCAGGCTGGAGTGCAATGGCATGATCTCAGCTCACTGCAACCTCCACCTCCTGGGTTCAGCAATTCTCATGCCTCAGCCTCCTGAGTAGCTGGGATTACAGGCATGCATCACCATGCCCAGCTAATTTTGTATTTTTAGTAGAGATGGGGTTTTACCATGTTGGTCAGGCTGGTCTTGAACTCAGATGATCCGCCCGCCTCAGCCTCCTGTAGTGCTGGGATTACAGGCGTGAGCCACCACACCCAGCCAAAAAAAACCTAATTTTTTTTTTTAAAGAAGACTTGTATTTTCTTAAAGGTGGGCCATGAAATTTGTAAATTCGGAATTATGAGTAGGAGAAAGCCCATGAAGCACAAACTTTAAGAAACAGAAAGTGGCTGGGTGCAGTGGCTCATGCCTGTAATCCCAGCACTTTGGGAGGCTGAGGTGGGCAGATCACTAAGTCAGGAGTTCTAGACCAGCCTGGTCAACATAGTGAAAGCCCATCTCTTCTAAAAGTACAAAAAATTAGCCGGGCATGGTGGCACACGCCTGTAGTTCCAGCTACTCGGAGAGCTGAGGCAGGAGAATAGCTTGAACCTGGGAGGTGGAGGTTGCAGTGAGCCAAGATTGTGCCACTGCACTCCAGCCTGGGCGACAGAACGCGACTCCATTTCAAAAAAAGAAAGAAAGAAAGAAAAACAGGAAGCAACAGAATTAAGTTCCTTTTATAATAACGGATTAATGAGCATGTGGTATTTTTTAACATTTGATGATAATGTTATTACAGTAGCTATCATATTTTACTTTTTTCGTGTTTCTATAGATCATCTTGATTAATCTTCAGAACTGTCTCGTTAAGTAGGATATATTCCTATCCCTTATTTGCTGATGGGGAAACAGGCATTCATATGTTAGCATCTCTCATAAGGCAAAACTCAGTATCACTTTTGAGAGTGAGAAGACAGCCTGTCTTCTTAATTTCAGCAGGATACCACGTAACTAATTTTTGCATACTTTTTTTTTTTTTTTTTTTTTGAGATGGGGTCTCACTCTGCCATCCAGGCTGGAGTGCAGTGGCATGATCTTGGCTCACTGCAACCTCGGTCTCCTGGTTCAAGCGAATCTGGTGCCTCAGCCTCCCAAGTAGCTGGGATTACAGGCACCCGCCACCATGCCCAGCTAATTTTTTTTAAAATTATTTTTACTGGAGACAGGGTGAGTATGTTTGTTGTTGCTGCTGCTGCTGCTGCTGCTGCTGTTGTTGTTGTTGTTGTTGTTGTTGTTGTTTTGAGACGGAGTCTTGCTCTGGAGTGCAGTGGCGCGATCTTGGCTCACTGCAAGCTCCGCCTCCTGGGTTCACGCCATTCTCCTGCCTCAGCCTCCCAAGTGGCTGGGACTACAGGCGCCCGCCACCACGCCTGGCTAATTTTTTTTGTATTTTTAGTAGAGACGGGGTTTCACTGTGTTAGCCAGGATGGTCTGGATCTCCTGACCTCGTGATCCGCCCACCTCGGCCTCCCAAAGTGCTGGGATTACAGGCATGAGCCACTGCGCCCGACTGGGTGCATACGTTTTTAAACCTGTCTTATTTACTAACTCATCCTTGGTACTATTTTCCTTTGATTATATGATTTAAGATCAATCTTAGTAATCATGGCATAGGATGTTACCATAGTCCGGAGAATAATATGTTTAACCTACTCCCTATTGTGCTTTTAATATTTGTGTTTTTAATTTCGATAATCAAAAATTATCTTTGATGAATGTATTGTACGTATTGGTTGTGTACTTCTATCGTTATTTCCTTTTTAAAAATTCTTACAAGTGTACCTGTGAATTTTGTGGTAAAAAAGACTTTTGGGCCGGGCGTGGTGGCTCACACCTGTAATCCCAGCACTGTGGGAGGCTGAGGCTGGCAGATCACGAGGTCAAGAGTTTGAGACCAGCCTGGCCAACATGGTGATAACCCCATCTCTACTAAAAATACAAAAATTAGGTGGGTATGGTGGCAGGTGCCTGTAATCCCAGCTAGCTACTTGGGAGGCTGAGGCAGGAGAACCACTTGAAACCAGAAGGCGGAGTTTGCAGTGAGCCAAGATCATGCCACTGCACTCCAGCCTGGGCAAAAGAGTAAAACTTTGCCTCAAAAAAAAAAAAAAAATCAGACTTTTATTAAGTGCTTCTACTACGCCACACCTGAAAATTGCAGTATTTGAAATGGGACAATCACTGAAAAGATGAGTTGCTTCCTCTGAAATACTTTTACAGTCTATGAAGGAAAGTCAAATCTGAATAGGAGGAAGTTTAAGGCAGTGTGTGATAGAGTCTGTTTGGAGAGATTTAGGTGAACTACTTGGTGATGTCACGTAACAGAGACATCAGTCTGAGTATAGCAATAGTCAGGCTATGAACAAATTACACTGAGTCTATGGGCTATGTATGGTGATAAACAGGTTTTATACTACATCTTTTAAACCTTGTAGTTTTCACTGTAATGATACTAGATAGAAAGCAAAATTAATTGCATGAGGAAATTCAGCAGCTATCTAGAGGATATCCTGACCTACCTGCCAGATTTAGGAACGAAATAAACCCTTCTGTTAAGAAGACCTGAAATAAAGCTGTATTGAGACCATCATCCATTCACAGAGGAGATTTCTCAGGGACAGTTCCCCATGTTGTTGGAGACACAATTCTAACATATCTGAGAACCGGTGATGAAGTGAGTTTAGGTTTGGGGACCCAAAGGAACCCACAGAAGATAAGCCATTCAGTAAGATGATTTTAAATTTAGAGAAAAAATAATTTTGTTGAAATTCCCACCTTAACAAATTGGAAACACATACATGTTTCAAGTTAATATGTCCGTGCTTACAATAATCGTGAAGGAAGTATTAATAATGAAAAAATCAAGAGCCACACAAAAGTATAGGGAATGCTATTTATCAAACTCTGATTATGGGAAGTTGCTAAGCAAAGGTTTATTTACTTTTCCTTTAGTTTTATTTAGTTGTTTCATGTATTCAGCCAAAATGGAATACATAGTGAGATATAAGCACTATGACTATAAGCACTTTTTTGTTTCTTGGAGACAGAGTCTTGCTCTGTCACCCAGGCTGGAGTTCAGTAGCACAATCATGGCTCACTGCAACCTTGAACTCCTGGGCTCAAGTGATCCTCTCGCCTCAGCCTCCTGGGTAGCTGGGACTACAGGTGCATGCCACCTTGCCTATTTTATGATTATCTGTCTGCCAGCCTTTCTCTCTGTATTGATGGATATGTATTTATATATTTTACAAAAATAAATGTATTGGTCAGTCTGATCTTTATGTTGACATTGTTTCTGATATTTTTCATGTCCTTGAATTTTTCTCAATTTCACATTTAATGACTAGTTTGTATTCTAGGACAGTGATAGTCTGTTATATATTTAACTAGGAAGCTTTGCTAGACTTAGAATGCTGAACACTCGCCATCTGTCTCCAATATCTTGACCAATTTCCCCAGTTTCAAGACTAAAAAGAGGTTCTGGTATGGATGATGTTCCCTGTTTTTACCCTTAAAGGAGGGAATGGAAAGAGGTAGTTCTGCTCAAAGCAGGACAGGGCTGCCTAATCTGAGGTCCCCATCTGCCTCACCAACATCGTACATTGGCCAGAAAATTTCCTACTGAATTATCTGGGTCTGGTTTCCATGACAGTATGTTTCTAATGTATGACTCTGTGTAGGTGAGGCCCTTGGGTAGTGGGGGAGGAAATGGGTTTATCCAGAATCTTAATCTTCCCAAATTGTATGTGAGAGGAGGTAGTTTGTAACTTGGAATGGAAGAGGAAAACAGTACTATTACCTTGAGTCCTATGGGGACCACTAAAGCACAGCTGGTCTCAAGGTCTTCTCTTCTTTCAGGTCTTGGTTCTTTTGACTTTGCTCTTCTGGTAGAGAAACGCCAAGGACTGATCAACTCTTGCCAGTCTCAAACCATGTCCTATGTAAGTTGATATTTCTCGCCATGTGGAGGTTTGTGTGTGATTTTTTAGGTCATGTATGTCTTCTCATCATTTTTCCTGAAGTTACCTTCGTGAGACGGTGCTCAGTTAACCTAATCTCCAGTTCTCATTCTTCCAGTAAAATATGTACCACATCACCCAGCATCCTCGCTAGGTGGGCCACTGCAAATTCACTAGCATTCATGTTGTTATTGACCAAATTAATGTCCTCTAGGTGCCCATTCTTCTATTTTGGGCAGTGATACAGAGGAAAGGAGTCAAGTTCTTTGAGTACAGATAATACGCATTTCAGGTTGGTTTTGTCATTTGTTGCGATTGAGACAACAGTTCCATTTGACCATCCATGGGAAGTCTTTGAAATTTTCCAGACATCTGAATTTTTCAGCTAGATAAGGTGGAAATTGGCATTGAAGGATCTAAATCTTCAGGTAGGGTAAAATCTCATGTTTTGTGTGAATTAGTCTATTGGATTGGAACTTGTAAACACAGAAATCGTGGATTTGGATAGAAAGTCCTGAAAAACAAATACCATAAAATAATAATGTCATGATAAAATCCTTTGTCAAAACAAACAAAAATGCTCATGGTAAGATTTAATGTAATGAAGTACTTGATGCTTGAAGAAATTATTAATTTTAAGGAAACCTAGTTTTCTGGAGTCAGATGCGTGAGTCAGATGCGCTATTGTTGCACCACGAGGTCACAGGAAACCTAGTTTTCTAAAATTGAGAATCTGTACCATATTTTGCATAAAACATCTCTTGATTAAAAGTTTAAATTCTCTTCCAAGTCAAAATATTCCTCAGTTAACACACATTGATTGAGAAGTTATGAGGCAGATACCACCAGGGCATTATGTGCATAATAATGATTTAGTTTAATAGAAAAACATTATTATTTTGTCATTTTCAAAAAGGTCAGATACCTAAGAAGTGTCCCAGAACAGGCAGAAAGTTTTATTTGTGTTTCAAGCTTCTTCAAAAATATGTATAAATTCTGCTTCATTCCCCTCCCTGATAGCATAGATTTCTGGTCTGTATGCTGGTTATATTGCTCTTCTGCTGCAATGCACTCCTTCATCTCCTCCACTCCATTTTCGTTTTTCTTTTCTTTTTTTTTTTTTTTGAGATGGAGTTTCGCTCTTGTTGCCCAGGCTGGAGTGCAATGGAGCATTCTCAGGTCACTGCAACCTCTGCCTTCTAGGCTCAAGGGATTCTCCTGCCTCAGCCTCCTGAGTAGCTGGGATTACAGGCATGTGCCACCACGCCAGCTAATTTTGTGGTTTTTTTAGTAGAGACAGGGTTTCTCCATCTTGGTCAGGCTGGTCTTGAACTCCCGACCTCAGGTAATCTGCCCGCCTTGGCCTCCCAAAGTTCTGGAATTACAGGCGTGAGCCACCGCGCCCGGCCATCCACTCCATTTTCTTTTAATTTTTTTGAGACGGAGTCTCGCTCTATTGCCCAGGCTGGAGTGCAGTGGCGCAATCTCGGCTCACTGCAACCTGCGCCTCCCAAGTTTAAGTGATTCCCCTATCTCAGCCTCCCGAGTAGCTGGGAGTGCAGGCATGCGCCACCACACCCAGCTAATTTTTTGTATTTTAGTAGAGACGGGGTTTCACCATGTTGACCATGATGGTCTTCATCTCTTGACCTCATGATCTGCCCGCCTCGGCCTCCCAAAGTGCTGGGATTACAGGCGTGAGCCACAGTGCCCGGCCCCTCCACTCCATTTTGGAATTTCCCCAGTAATACATGGGTTTGCTGTTTCAGGGATCAATAACATTCGGGGATGTGGCCATAGACTTCTCTCATCAGGAGTGGGAATATCTCAGCCTGGTTCAGAAGACCTTGTACCAGGAGGTGATGATGGAGAACTATGACAACTTAGTCTCATTGGGTATGTTTATCAACCTGGAATGATTTAGAATAATTTAGAATCATCTGTTTCGTAGGATACATTCTTTTTCTGTTGTGGTTTTCAGGGCTGCCTTTTAAGAAACTAAATTTATTTTCTCTATTTCTATTGAGGTGGTTTCAGCTTTGAGTCAGTAATGGCAGGTCCTTTCAACACTTTCATCTTCTCTATCTTTCAGTGACATTCACACCTCCCTCTGATACCTCTTTTATTTGTCTCTTTAACCCAGTAAGTGGGTTGAACCAGTGGTTTAGCTTGGAATTTTCTGGTGTTCATTGTAGAACCATTGTCAGGGCGTTCAGGTTTCTTATTTATTTTGTGCACAGAATTGCTATAGTGCTCCATTTTATTATCTGATCCATTTGCAGTGATATTACTTTGAAAGAGGGTGCTGAATTGCCGTTATTATTGAAAGAGACTGTTCATATAGGCATAGAGTGGTGGACTGGATAAATGAAACTTACTTAAAATTGAGAAGAAAGTAGTCCATTTCCTGAGACAGAATTCATTTGATTTATGGTTGAAGCTTATAATCCATGAAAATCACATGTAAAATGGGATGAATATACTATAGATATCTCTTCTTGTATAGTCTTAGTAAAATAATTGCAGCAGTGTAATGTGAACAGCTAGCATTGTGATTTCCACACCAACATTTTTCTAATTACTTTACTCATATATCAAGTAATTTAATACTCCCAACAGCTTTATTGTTTTCCCAATTTTATAAGTGAGAATACTGACCAGCAGTGTAAGTAACTTGCCCAAGGTCACACACAGCTGGAAGGTGACAGAGTCAGGAATTGATCCCAGGCTTTTTTTTTTTTTTTTTTGAGACAGAGTCTTCTGTCACCCAGGCTGGAGTGCTGTGGTGCGATCTTAGCTCACTGCAACCTCCGCCTCCCGGGTTAAAGTGATTCTCCTGCCTCACCCTCCTTAGTAGCTGGGATTAGAGGCACTACCACCACACCTACAGATAATTTTTATATTTTTAGTAGAGACAGGGTTTCACCATATTGGCCAGGCTGGTCTCCAACTCCTGACCTCAGGGCCTCCCAAAGTGCTGGGGTTACAAGGCATGAGCCACCGCACCCAGCCAATCCCAGGCTTTAGAGTATGTGTTTTCAACCACTTTATGCTTGCTTTCTACAGTTAGAGGACATATAAGTTTAAATTTCTTTTGAGACTGGGCACGGTGGCTCATGCCTGTAATCCCAGTGCTTTGGGAGGCCCAGATGAGCGGATCACAAGGTCAGGAGTTCGAGACCAGCCTGGCCAACATGGCGAAACCCCATTTCTACTAAAAATACAAAAATTAGCCAGGCATGGTGGTGCACGCCTATAATCCCAGCTACTCAGGAGACTGAGGCAGGAGAATCACTTTAACCTGGGAGGCGGAGGTTGTGGTGTGCCGAGATGGCGCCGTTGCACTCCAGCCTGGGTGACAGAGCGAGACTCCGTCGCAAAAAAAAAAAAAAAATTTTTTTTGAAAACCAGCAAACAAAAACATTGACTCTCCCTGGGTGATCTTTTTCTTTATTTCCCTCACTCTTCTCTAAAATCTTACTCAGTATCACTTTGACCTTTCATTTATTGCAATTGTAATTTTAAATTTTACCTTCAAAGTTGATTTCCGTATTTTGTGGCACTTCTTTTCTTTGTAAGCAGGACATTCCGTATCTAAGCCAGATTTAATCACCTTATTGGAGCAAGGAAAAGAGCCATGGATGATTGTGAGGGAAGAAACAAGAGGAGAGTGTACAGGTAAGAGCAAGTCAGGCAGGGGCAGCCATTTTTGTATGCAAATAGCCCTCGTGGAAGTGGTCATCTCATTTGGTAAACGCATCCTTGAAACATTGGTCATAAATTTCCCTTCTCAGCGAGGAGGCTTCTGATGTGGAGAAGAAATGGATATCTCAGCATGAAATAGCCAATGAAGGCCCAGCGCTGTGGCTCACGCTTGTAATCCCAGCGCTTTGGGAGGCCGAGGCGGGCAGATCACCTGAGGTGATCCACCACAGTAGCTGGGACCACAAGTGCATACCACCACACCTGGCTAATTTTTTTTTCTTTAGAGATGAGGTCTCCCTACATTGCCCGGGCTGTTGTCAAACTCCTGGGCTCAAGTGTTCCTCCTGCCTCAGACTCCCAAAGTGCTGGGATTATAGGTGTAAACCACCGTGCCTGGCCCAGAATTGTTCTATATCCCCCTGCCCAACCTTTTTTTTGTTTTTGAGATAAGGTCTCACTCTGTCACCCAGAGCAGGAGTGCAGTGGCACAGTCTTATCCTCTGAAGTATCTGGGACCACAGGTGTGCACCACCACACCCAGCTAATTTTTGTATTTTTGTAGAGACAGGGTCTCACTATGTTGCCCAGGCTGGTCTTGAACTTCTGGGCTCAAGCGATCCACCCGTCTCAGCCTCCCAACGTGCCAAGATTACAAGTGTGAGCCATCTCACCCGGCCTGTTCTATATCCACATTGTGGTTATGAACAACCATATGCATTTTCCAAATCTCATAGAACTGTATATCAAGAAAAGTGAATTTTGGCCGGGCTCAGTGGCTCACACCTGTAATCCCAGCACTTTGGTAGGCCGAGGCGGGCAGATCACTTGAAGACAGGAGGTCAAGACCACCCTGGCCAACATGGCGAAACCCCATCTCTACAAAAAATATGAAAAATTAGCTAGGTGTGGTGGCACTGCCTATAATCCCAGTTACTTGGGAGGCTAAGGTGGGAGGATCACTTGAGCCTTGGAGGCAGAGGTTGCAGTGAGCTGAGATCACAACACCACACTCCAACCTAAATATGAAAAATTAGCTAGGTGTGGTGGCACTGCCTATAATCCCAGTTACTTGGGAGGCTAAGGTGGGAGGATCACTTGAGCCTTGGAAGTAGAGGTTGCAGTGAGCTGAGATCACAATACCGCACTCCAACCTGGGTGACAGAGTGGGACCCTGTCTCAAAAAAAAAAATTAAGAAATTCTTGTCAAGTTACAACGCGAGCCGTCTGGCCACGGTGGGGAAGAGAGTGCTAATCGTAAGATTACAGAAAGCGTCCCCTCTGAAATACCTTACCTCCTCCTCAGCAGAGCTACAGAGTAAAAATTGTGGATTCCAACTGAGAGACCTGCAAGACAGTCTCCATTTAAGAAAGAATTGCTAGGGAAACCCAAAGAGAAGACATAAATAAAGACTGGAAGAATTGAAGCTGCAACACAAACACAGCTACAGCACACAATGAACACGGCCTAACTCCTACGCAGACGAACCTCAAACTTTGCACTGAAGGTGTATTCACCTCAGTTCCTATTACAGGACACATCATGTCCAGCTATTTCTTTCTTCTTTCTTTTCTTTTGTTTTTCCCTTCCCCCTTCCCCCTTCCCCCTCCTTTCCTTTCCTTTCCTTTTTCCTCTCCTTTTTCTTCTCCTTTCTCCTCTCCTTTCTCCTCTCTTCTCCTCTCTTTTCCATCTTTCGAGATAGAGTCTTGCTCTGTTGCCCAGGCTGGAGAAAAGTGGCGGCATTTTGGCTCACTGCAACCTCCACCTCCTGGGTTCAAGCAATTCTCCTGCCTCCGCCTCTCGAGCAGCTGGAACTATGGGTGTGCTGCCCAGCTAATTTTTGTATTTTTAGTAGAGACAGGGTTTCACCATGTTGGCCAGGCTGGTGTCAAATTCCTGACCTCGGGTGATCCGCCCACCTCGGCCCCCCAAAGTGCTGGGATTACAGATGTAAGCCACCATGCCTGGCATCAACCTGTTTTTATAGGAAGTGTTTGGGTTATTGATTTAATCACTTTATGAGAACAAAAGAGAGAGAAAGAGAGAGAAGGGAGCAGGGGTGGGGGAGAGAGAGAAAGGAAGA
Source organism: Homo sapiens (assembly GCF_000001405.40). Taxonomy (NCBI): domain Eukaryota; kingdom Metazoa; phylum Chordata; class Mammalia; order Primates; family Hominidae; genus Homo; species Homo sapiens. The sequence continues at coordinate 37,705,805 of NC_000019.10, read as the reverse complement.
GAAAGAAATATAGTTTTTTTTCTTTTTCAGATTTTCAATTTCTTCTTAAGTAAAAATTGGTGCTTTGTATTTTTCTTGGAAGTTGAACATGCATCTAAGTTTTTTTTTTTTTTTTTTTTTGGAGAGAGAGTCTTGCTTTCTTGCCCAGGCTGGAGTGCAGTGGTGCGATTTCAGCTCACTGCAACCTCCACCTCCCAAGTTCAAGTGATTCTCCTGCCTCAGCCTCCTAAGCGGCTGAGACTATAAGCGCCCACCATGATGCCTGGCTAACTTTTGTATTTTTAGTAGAGACAGGGTCTCACCATGTTGACCAGGCTGGTTTCAAACGCCTGACCTCAGATGATCTGCCTGCCTTAGCCTCCCAAAGTGCTGGGGCGTGAGCCACCATGCCCGGCCCTGGCAAACTGTTTTCTGAAGGGCCCGACCAGCTTAAATTATTTACTGGATGGTAGTGTTCATTGCTTTATCTACTTCTTGGTCAAGCTTTGGTGGTCTGCTTCTTTCAAGGAATTTGTTCATTTCATCTAAGTTGTCAAATTGATTGGCATGGGGTTGTTCATAATACTTTATGATTTATAGTGATAATCCCTTTTTTATTCCTGAAATGGGTCATTTATGCCTTCTTTCCCTTTTCTCCCCTTTGGGTGGAGGTTTATCAATTTCATTGATCTTTCAAATAATCGGCTTTTGGTTTCATTGATTTTTTTCTCTATTGATTTTCAGTTTTCTATTTTATTATTTTTTCTGATGATTATTATTTTTATTCTTCTTGCTTTGGGTTTGATTTGCTCCTCTTTTTCTGTTAAGGCGAAGACTGAGTTTTGTTTTGTTTTGTTTGTTTGTTTGTTTGTTTTTTAGACAGAGTCTCGCTCTGTTGCCCAGGCTGGAGTGCAGTGGCGCAATCTCGGCTCACTGCAAGCTCCACCTCCTGGGTTCACGCCATTCTCCTGCCTCAGCCTCTTGAATAGCTACAGGCGCCCGCCACCATGCCCGACTAATTTTTTGTATTTTTAGTAGAGACGAGGTTTCACCGTGTTAGCCAGGATGGTCTCTATCTCCTGACCTTGTGATCCGCCCGCTCGCCCGGTGCTGGGATTATAGGCGTGAGCCACTGCACCCAGCCAACTGAGGTCTTTTTTTGTTGTTATTTATGCTAACATAGATGTTAGTGTTGTAAATTTCCCCTAGGTAATTCTTTATTAGTTAGTATTCCATAAAAGTTGATACATTGTGTGTCCATTTTGATTCAGTTCAGATTGCTTTCTAATTTCCTTCTTGATTTCTTCTTTGACCTATGGTTTATTTAGAAGTATGTTGGTTTGTTTTCTAAACAGTTAAGGATGTTTCAGTGTTGGTTAGTGATTTATAATTAGTGCCATTATGATCAGAGAACATGCTTTTTATGACTTGAATTGTTTTAAATAATAATTGAGATTTGTTTTATGTACTGTGTGGGCCCTCTTGGCAAATATTCCACATGGGCTTGAGAATATTGTATATGTTGGTGTTGGGTGGAATGTTCTGTGAATATCTCATGTAGTTTCTTGGTTAATACTGTGCAAATCTTGTATATTTTTACCGTGTTTTTGTGTACTTGTTCTGGGAATTGTTTCTAGAAAAATATTTCCATTTCCAGTTATATATTTTTTTTCTTTATTTTTGTTTTTTTTTTCAGACGGAGTCTTACTCTGTCACCCAGGCTGGAGTGCAATGGCGTGGTCTTGGCCCACTGCAACCTCCGCCTCCGGGGTTCAAGTGATTCTCCTGCTTCAGCCTCTGAGTAGCTGGGACTACAGATGCATACCACCACACCCAGCTAATTTTTGTATTTTTATTAGAGACAGGGTTTCACTATGTTGGCCAGGCTAGTCTCGATCTCCTGACCTCATGATCTGCCCACCTCGGCCTCCCAAAGTGTTGGGATTACAGGTGTGAGCCACCACGCCTGGCCAATTTCCAGTTATGTTTTAACTTACGTATTTTTCATTGCATTTCAATCAGTTGTTGTTTTATGTACTTTGAGAGTCTGTTATCAGGTGCATAAGTGTTTGGGATTTTTATGTTTTCTTGATAGACTGATCCCTTTTATGTTACGACATGCACCTTCTTGAGTCCTCCTGTTTTTCTTTGTCCTGAAATCTATGTTGTCTGATATTAATATAGCCCACCATTTTTTTGGTTTGTTATATTGATTCCATCTTTTTACTTTTAATATTTTGTGTCTTTAAAGTATGTTCCTTGTAGCCATTACATAGTGCATAAGGGTTCCAATTTCTCTGCATCCTCTTCAACATTAGTTATTTTCTGTTTTGTTTTTGTTTTTGTTTTTACCAGTAGCCATCCTGATGGGTGTGAGGTGATGGGTCATTCACTATGTTAATCTTTGCCTTTTAATTAAAGTGTTTTGACCCTAAACATTTTATGTAATTATTAACATGATTACATTTAGGTCTACTACTTTACTTTTTTTCTCTATTTAGTTTCTCTGTCCATTCCTTTTGTAATTTTGATTATTTCAATTTTTTTTTTTTTTGCTATTTATTTAAATTTACCTGTTGGTGGGGTGTGGTAGCTCACGCCTGTAATCTCATCACTCTGGGAGGCCAAGGCGGGCGGATCACCTGAGGTCAGGAGTTCGAGACCAGCCTCAACATGGAGAAACCCCGTCTCTACTAAAAATACAAAATTAGCCAGGCATGGTGATGCATTCCTGTAATTCCAGCTACTCGGGAGGCTGAGGCAGGAGAATTGCTTGAACCTGGGAGGCGGAGGTTGCAGTGAGCCGAGATCACACCATTGCACTCCAACCTGGGCAACAAGAGCGAAACTCCATCTCAAAAAAAAAAAGTAAAAATAAAAATAAATAAATAAATTTACCTGTTGACTTTTGGGTTGTATCTCCTTGAGTAATTTATTTTAGGTAGTGTTATAGGTATTATAGTATACAATATACATGACGTTTCGCCAGCTAGATAGAATTGTTCTTTCTCAACAAATGTATAAACCTTGTATTTTTATAGGTTTATATCCACCTTTACCCTTCATGTTATAATTTCCATGTATATCACATCTTCATATGTTGTAAACCTCACTAGGCAGTGTTATTAGTTTTGCTTTTAACAGTCATATTAAAGAACTTAAGGAGCAAAAAATTATTTTATTTACATCATCTTTTGTGATGCTTTTCTTATATTCTGAAGATTCAGATTTCTCTGATAGTATTTTCTTTGGGCCTAAATAACTTGTTAGCATTTTTTGTATAGTAAGTCTGATGGCAACAAACTAATTTGCTTTTATCAGTAAATGTAACATATCTTACTTGGCATTAAATGAGCATCTTAATTCTACAAATTTATTTCTTTCACTAAATTTGAGATGTTTTCAATTGCTATTTCCTGAGATATTTTTCCTGCCAAAATCTTTGTTTTTTAGTTTATAATTTCAATCATATCTTTTGATTTATTCCCACAGCTGTTTACACATTTTTTCTTCTTTCTTTTTTTTTTTTTTTTTTTTTTGAGATGGAGTTTCGCTGTTGTTGCCCAGGCTGGAGTGCAATGGCGCAATCTCTGCTCACTGCAACCTCTGCCTCCCAGGTTCAAGTGATTTCCTTGCCTCAGCCTCCCGAGTAGCTGGGATTACAGGTGCCCGCCACCATGCCCAGCTAATTTTTTGTATTTTTAATAGAGACAGGATTTCACTATGTTGGCCAGGCTGGTCTCGAACTCCTGACATCAGGTGATCCACCCGCCTCAGCCTCCCAAAGTGCTGGGATTACAGGCATGAGCCATCACACCCAGCTAAAATTTTTTAAACCATTTTTCTCTCTCCATTTCAAGTTGAATAATTTCTATTGATCAATCAAGTTTACTGACTCTTAGTGATTATATGTTTCAGTTGTATAATTTGCATTTTCATCCTTTTCTGTCTCCCCCCCATGGTTATATCTCCTATGTTGTCCATCATTTCCAGTGTGTTTTTCTAAGCTTTGTCTTAATGTTCTGATGTTGCAATCATATTAGCTAGCATGACAGGCATTAGCCATTGAGCCTGGCTCCAAACCTGGGTATGCTACTGTTATAAATAAAGTTTCGATGCTGCAAAAGAAATAGCACTCGAATATAAAATTTTCTTTTTTTTAAATTTTCAGCAAGGTAAGGTACTTGTATAGAAGTGTGCGCTTTCACCGATGGAGCAATGGTGGGCACACATTTGGACAAGGGAGGGGAAGGGGTTCTTATCCCTGACGCACGTGTCCCCTGCTGCTGTGTCGTTCCCCTATTGGCTAGGGTTAGACCGCACAGGCTAAACTAATTCTGATTGGCTAATTTAAAGAGAATGACAGGGTGAGCGCTTTGGCGGGAGTCAGGGCAGAGCAGGTAGTAGGTAACTGGAATGAGTTAGGGTGGAGCAGGTGATCAGAATGATTTAGGGTGGAGTAGGTAATCGAAAAAGGTTGCTTTAGAGGAAGTTAAGTTTAAATGTAGAAGGCAAAGATTGAACATACTGATAGATTAATTCTTTGAAGAGAAATTTAGAATTCATATTCAACACTACTATTTTTATTGTTTTGTTTACTCACAACTCTAAGTCTTTGAAGACTTCCTTTCTTTTTTTAATTATATTTTCAGGTTCATGTTACCTGTTCCCTTCCTGAATTGTTTCTCTGGAATATCTTATGTGCACATTTTAAAAATTCAGATATTGAGAAATTACAAGATAGGGGGTAAAATGTGCTCATATTAACTGTCTTTTTAGCAGCTTTTTGTATTTCATCTATGACAATTGACTATTTAGACTTTTCACTTTTAGGGTCATCTTTGAAGAATATTCCTACAAAATCATTCACTGTTTTTAATACTTTCAAAATATGTATATATACTCTCATAATTTAAATAAAATCTCTTTCTTATTTTCCCTTGTTTCTTATTTTTATTTTTTATTCTTTTTTGGTTGCTTTAGCTCATATTTCACCCGATGATTTTTGTAAACACCATGTCTTTGATTTAGGTGTTGACACTATTCCGTTTCCTAACCCATCACATTCTGCTTTTATCTTTATTTTCCTGCTTTCCTGTACCTTGCTCTTAAATTCCTAAATGTTGGGTAGTGATCTTTTACTTATTTTCTTTCCTTTTTATTGAGATAAATATTCACTCTGAACTCCCTGCCTGCCGATACTGAATGCCCATGATTATGATGTGTACCCATTTTCTCCGTCATGATTTCCTTACCCTTTATGTTATAATTTCCATGTATATCACATCGACATATGCTGTAAACCTGATCATTCTTCAATGAAAATCTTCCCTGAAATATGGGTGTTCCCGAAACTGTAGTTTATTCCTTTCTATGCATGACCGTGTATCCTACTTTTCTCTATATATTAAATAAGATACTGAGTTTCTATTTAGTTATCTTACCCTGACATTTTCTTATTACTTCTGGTCCTACAGATGTTCAATCTGCTGGAATTCTTCCATTTTACTCTTCTATTTCCATATCGATACTTGCCTGTATTCTTAGCATATGATATAAATTTATATACAGGGGGTGTGGTACAGCTGGTCAGTTCTGTCATTCTAGAGCCAGTTATGCACATATATTAATAAATCTGCATTAAATTGACAGCTAGAAATTGCCCTCAGTGGGAGTATTTACACCAGAGATCTTGGCAAACACTACAAAACAGGGCTCTGTGTGTGTGTGTGTCTCTTTGTGTATGTGTGCCTGTGTGTGTAAGGCTGCATTCCACTGCACAAACTCATTTTTTTAGCTCTCCTTTCATTTTTTATATTTTATAACTGTATTTTCGAGTTAGCATCTGTAATAGGTGAGAATTTCTCTTAATTCTACAATAACATTGACATTTTCTCATCCAATAAAATGTTTTTATTTTATGTCTTCTAGATTTGGATTCAAGATGTGAAATAATCAGCGATGGGAAAATGCAGCTTTATAGGAAACACTCATGTGTTACTCTCCATCAGAGAATTCATAATGGACAGAAACCATATGAGTGTAAGCAATGTCAGAAGTCCTTTAGTCATCTTACAGAACTCATGGTACATCAAACAATTCATACTAGTGAGGAACCTGATCAATGTGAAAAGTTTAGGAAGGCATTTAGCCATCTTACAGACCTTAGAAAGCATCAGAAAATTAATGCTCGTGAGAAACCTTATGAATGTGAAGAATGTGGGAAGGTCTTCAGTTATCCTGCAAACCTTGCTCAACATGGGAAAGTTCATGTTGAGAAACCCTATGAATGTAAAGAGTGTGGGGAAGCTTTTAGGACTAGCCGTCAACTTACTGTACATCATAGATTTCATTATGGTGAGAAACCCTACGAATGTAAGGAATGTGGCAAGGCCTTTAGTGTGTATGGACGACTTAGTCGACATCAGAGTATTCACACTGGTGAGAAGCCCTTTGAATGTAACAAATGTGGGAAGTCCTTTAGGCTCAAAGCAGGCCTTAAAGTACATCAGAGTATTCATACTGGAGAGAAGCCACATGAATGTAAGGAATGTGGAAAGGCCTTTCGTCAGTTTTCCCACCTTGTGGGTCATAAAAGAATTCATACTGGAGAAAAACCCTATGAATGCAAGGAATGCGGGAAGGGCTTTACATGTAGGTATCAACTTACCATGCATCAGAGAATTTATTCAGGGGAGAAACACTATGAATGTAAAGAAAATGGGGAGGCTTTTAGTAGTGGCCATCAACTTACTGCACCTCATACATTTGAAAGTGTTGAGAAACCTTATAAGTGTGAGGAATGTGGGAAAGCCTTTAGTGTGCATGGACGACTTACTCGACATCAGGGTATTCATAGTGGTAAGAAACCCTATGAATGTAACAAATGTGGGAAGTCCTTTAGGCTCAATTCATCCCTTAAAATACATCAAAATATTCATACCGGTGAGAAACCCTACAAATGTAAGGAATGTGGGAAGGCCTTCAGTCAGCGTGCACACCTTGCCCATCATAACAGAATTCATACTGGTTACAAACCCTTTGAATGTAAAGAATGTGGGAAGTCCTTTCGTTGTGCCTCATATCTTGTTATACATGAGAGAATTCATACAGGAGAGAAACCCTATGTATGTCAAGAGTGTGGGAAGGGTTTTAGTTATAGCCATAAACTCACTATACATCGCAGAGTTCATACTGGTGAGAAACCTTATGAATGTAAGGAATGTGGGAAGGCCTTTAGTGTATCTGGACAACTTACTCAGCATCTGAGTATTCACAGTGGTAAGAAACCCTTTGAATGCAACAAATGCGGGAAGTCTTTTAGGTTCATTTCTGTACTTAAAGCCCATCAGAATATTCATAGCGCTGAGAAACCCTACGAATGTAAGGAATGTGGCAAGGCCTTTCGTCATGCCACAAGCCTCATATATCATGACCGAACTCATGCTGGTGAAAAGTCCTATGAATGTAAAGAATGTGGGGAAACTTTTAGTCATGCTTCACATCTTATTATTCATGAGAGAATTCATACCAGTGATAAACCCTATGAATGTAAAAGATGTGGGAAGGCATTTCACTGTGCCTCATATCTTGTTAGACATGAAAGCGTTCATGCTGATGGAAATCCCTATATGTGTGAAGAGTGTGGGAAAGCTTTTAATAGTAGCCATGAACTTAGTATACATCATAGAGTTCATACTGGTGAGAAACCCTTTAAATGTAACAAATGCAGAAGGTCCTTTAGGCTTAGATCCATCCTTGAAGTACATCAGAGAATTCATATTTGATAGAGAAATTGTGGCATATACAGGTAGTAAAGAAAGCACATTGTGTCAATGGATTTATCCCACTGAACAATTTGAATGAAGACAATGTGGAATGGCTTTGAGATACAGTTCAGTTTTTATTAGGCATCAATTTGTATTGGTGTGAACTTTTCAAAATGTAAATCATATATGCAGTTTCTTTGGTATGACCTGTGTTAACTCAGATTCAGAGAATTTATAATGTATTTTTTTAATAACATAAGAAAACTTTTCTGATATTCCTCTAGTTTTGGATTGCCAAAATATTCACAGTAGAGGAAAACTGAGAAAACGTAGGAAACCATTCTTTATACTTGCATGTAAACATCTTCCAGCAACAATCATTTATTGTTAAACCTGGAAAAAGCCATTACACAGGAAACCTCTGTTGATATAAGCGATGATGGGAAAGGCTATTTAGCCACTCTGCATATTTAATGCTCATGATCAACATCTGCTTCCTATAGCTGGGATGATATGGGGGAAGATATTTATCCCTTCTGGGGATCATATATAAATGATGATAGTAGTACCTACAGTATAGTGCTGTTAGAATTACATGAGTTAGATGTGGAGGTCAGAGTGGAAGCAGGTGTGAGAGGGTCCCGCAGAAGAAAACATGGCTGCCAAAGTGTTTGAGTCCATCGGCAAGTTTGGCCTGGCCTTAGCTGTTGCAGGAGGCATGGTGAACTCTGCCTTATGTAATGTGGATGCTGGGCACAGAGCTGCCATCTTTGACCAATTCCGTGGAGTACAGAACATTGTGGTAGGGGAAGGGACTCACTTTCTCATCCCATGTGTACAAAAACCAATTATCTTTGACTGCTGTTCTCAACCACGTAGTGCGCCAGTCATCACTGGTAGCAAAGATTTACAGAATGTCAACATCACACTGTGCATCCTCTTCCGGCCCATCACTAGCCAGCTTCCTCGCATCTTCACCAGCATTGGAGAGGACTACGATGAGTGTGTGCTGCCGTTCATTACCACGGAGATCCTCAAGTCACTGGTGGCTCGCTTTGATGCTGGAGAACTAATCACCCAGAGGGAGCTGGTCTCCAGCCAGGTGAGCAACAACCTTATGGAGTGAGCAGCCACCTTTGGGCTCATTCTGGACGACGTGTCTTTGACACATCTGACCTTCTTGAAGGAGTTAACAGACAGGTGGCCCCCCAGGAAGCAGAGAGCGCCAGATTTGTGGTGGAAAAGGCGGCCATCATCTCTGCTGAGGGTGACTCCAAGGCAGCTGAGCTGATCGCCAACTCACTGGCCACTGCAGGGGACGGCCAGAGCGAGCTGTGCAAGCTGGAAGCTGCAGAAGACATTGCATACCAGCTCTCATGCTCTCGGAACATCACCTGCCTGCCGGCAGGGCAGTCCGTGCTCCTCCAGCTGCCCTAGTGAGGCCCCAGCCTACCTGCACCTCCGTGAGGCAACTGGGCCACAGCCCCGATGATTCGTAACACCACCTTTCGCCCTCACCCCAGAAATCACTGAAATTTCATGATTGGCTTAAAGTGAAGGAAGTAAAGGTAAAATCACTTCAGATCTCTAAAAAACAAAGAATTACATGAGTTAGTACATGAAAAAATTATGGGAAACTACATGAAATATACTGTTACGTTCAATAAACATTAGCTTCTGTATATAATAATATCATTACTTGTGTTATTTTTAGTGCATTTTGACGAAATGAAAACCATTAACCATTCAAGTTTAATGAATTCAAAAAAGTTTTATGCTTTTTAAATTTGAATTCATTCTGGGTAAACAGATAATAAGTAAAAACCATAAGAGGGCTTTCATTCCGATCTGTTTAGGTGAATCAGACACTTAATCCTGGAATGAAATTCAGATGTAAGCTGGGCAGTGTGGCTCACGCCTGTAATCCCAACACTTTGGGAGGCCAAAGTGGGTGGATCACTGGAGGTCAGGAGTTCAAGACCAGACTGGCCAACATGGTGAAACCCCGTCTCTACTAAAAATGCAAAAATTAACTGGGCGTGGTGGCAGGCGCCTGTAATCCCAGCTACTCGGGAGGCTGAGGCAGGAGAATTGTTTGAACCCGGGAGGTGGCAATTGCGGTGCGCGGAGATCACACCACTGCACTCCAGCCTGGGTGACAGAGCAAGACTCCATCTCAAAAAAAAAAAAACCTGCCTGAGAAAGCTCAATGCTGTTCTGAAAACATACTGTTCCAGCCAAAACCTGTAAATAGTGATAGGTCCTTAAGCCCCCTCTTAAAGCAGTTACTTTAGAAAGCTTGCAATTATAAACCATTTCTCTGCCCCTTTGAGATGCAAATCTACCACCAAGAGCTGTCTCCTCAGCTGAGTTTGAAATGCAAACATTCAGAGAGCCAGCTCTTGCTCCAGCCTCTCAGTTGCTGTGGGAGTGTAAGGGCCTAACTTTGGTGGCTGTCTTGCTCCAACTTTCACAACTACCTCAGTCGTAAAGATACAAGAAGTTTGTTTCTACTCTGGATAAATACCAATTAGTTAAAAAAAAAAAAAAAAAAAAACCTGATGCCTTAGTCATATGGACCAAACTCCCCCGTAACACCTTTCAGTGTCTTCTTTAGTACACCCCAACATTTTCAACAACTCCTGATTTTTGTTTCCCAAAGTGGAGCTCAGTTCACACTGGATTCTGTTCCCTAATGCAGTAGTTATTACTGAATAAAATCTGTCTTTACTGCCTTTTACTATTGTCTCACTTTGTTTCTTTTTCTTTTCTTTTTTTTTTTTTGTTTTTGTTTTTTTGAGATGCAGTCTGGCTCTGTGGCCCAGGCTGGAGTACAGTGGCCATGATCTCGGCTCACTGCAACCTCTGCCTCCTGGGTTCAAGTGATGCTCCTGCCTCAGCCTCCCAAGTAGCTGGGATTACAGGCATGTGCCACCACACCCCGCTAATTTTTATATTTTTAGTAGAGATGGGCTTTCACTATGTTGGCCAGGCTTGAACTCATAACCTCAGGCAATCCACCCACCTCGGCCTCCCAAAGTGCTGTGATTACAGGCGTACGCCACCACGCTTGGACTCTTTTCTTTTCTTTGAGACGGAGTCTCGCTCTTGTCACCCAGGGTGGAGTGCAATGGTGCAATCTCGGCTCATTGCAACCTCCGCCTCCCAGGTTCAAGCCATTCTCCTGCCTTAGCCTCCTGAGTAGCTGGGATTACAGGTGCACACCACCACGCCTGGCTAATTTTTGTATTTTTAGTAGACACGGGGTTTCACCATGTTGGCTAGTCTGGTCTTGAACTGCTGACCTCAGGCGATCTGCCCACCTTGGCCTCCCAAAGTGCTGGGATTACAGGTGTTAGCCACTGCATCTGGCCTTTTTGTTTCTTAAGACAGGGTCTAGGTCTGTGGCCTAGGCTGCAGTGTAGTCATGCCATCCATAGCTCTTGGGCTCAAGTGATCCTCTGGCCTCAGCCTCCAGAGTAGCTGGGATTATGGGTGTAGACCACCAGGCCCAGCTAATTAAAAAAAAAAAAATTTGTAGGCATGGGGTCTCACTATTTTGCCCAGGCTGCTCTTAAACTTTTGGCCTCAAGCAATCCAGCTGCCTTAACCTCCCAAAGCACTGGATTACAGGCATGAGCCACTGCGCCCAGCCCCACTGTATTTCTCTTTGACAAAACCTAAACATTCTGTTTATTTGAACACCACTTATATTTATGTTAATGTTCTGAGTAAATGTAAATGAATACTGACAAAATAATAGTATAACATCAGAGAGATTTTTGTTTGTTTGTTGAGACGGAGTCTCGCTCTGTCACCAGGCTGGAACGCAGTGGCACAATCTCAGCTCACCACAACCTCTGACTCCCTGGTTCAAGCAATTCTCCTGCCTCAGCCTCCTGTGTAGCTGGTATTCTACTGGTATTAGCTGGGTGTGGAGGCACGCGCCACCACACCCAGCTAATTTTTGTATTTTAGTTTCACCATGTTGGCCAGGATTGTCTTGATCTCCTGACCTTGTGATCGGCCCACCTCGGCCTCCCAAAGTACTGAGATTACAGACGTGAGCCACCACGCCCAGCCTAGAGAGGTTTTTTTAAACAAAACGAATATGTAACTGATATCTTGTATTTTAAATTTAAGAGGGCATATGAAATTGAATGCATTCTGTGAGAGGAGAGTCAGAGTATTGATAAATTTGGACTTATTAAAATTCCTGGAGTAATGACTTAAAGAACCTACAAACTATTAAAGAGAAAATTGGAATAGTAATACATCAATCCAACATAAAGAAAGGAGAGAAAAAGGAAACATGCAACAAAAAGAAAACAAATTAAAATGCCAGGAGCTAATGCCTGTAATCCCAGCACTTTGGGAGGCAGAGGCGGGAGGATCGTTTGAACCCAGGAGTTCAAGGCCAGCCTGGGCAACATAGGGAGACCCTGTTTTTAAAAAGTAATAAATAAGGCTCCGAAGCAGGGAATGGGGGCAAGATGGTTTACATCTCAAACGCACAAGTGTTGGACAACTGGAGTCAGTCTCCATGGAGATTATCTTTGATAACAGATTTCTTCTGGGGAATAGCTGAGTTTGTGGTTTTGTTTTTCAAAACTCTGCTTCGGCAAGATTTGAAAAAAAGAAGAAGCTATGGAAACTCATCTGATTTCAGATACGATGACGATGGAAGAGGGCCACCGGGAAACCCTCCTGGAAGAATGGGTCCAATCAATCATCTGGGTGGCCCCAGTCCTCCTCCAATGGCTGGTGGATGAGGAAGGTGTCTGCTCTAAGAAGCAACTGGACATGCATATTCATAGCAGAAGGAAACCATCAAGAAGTGGAGTGCTGACCATGCTGCAGCAGTAGATGAAAGTGTGTGTCTAAACAAGGACTGCTCTGTGTCCTCACAGATGACTGAGGTCATGCTGGGAGTTCCCTCTGCAGGGAACTGGCCTGATTGACATGCAGTTCCACAAATGCACGTTTGTCTCATTATCTTTAGGGTATTAAAGTATTAATATAGTTTTTGTTGTTGTTGTTGTTGTTGTGGTTTTGAGACAGAGTCTCACTCTGTCGCCCCGGCGAGTGCAGTGGTGCGATCTCGGCTCACCACAACCTCCGCCTCCCGGGTTCAAGCGATTCTCCTGCCTCAGCCTCCCGAGTAGCTGGGACTACAGGCGCACGCCGCCATGCCCAGCTAATTTTTTGTATTTTAGTAAAGACGGGGTTTCACCATGTTGCCCAGGCTGGTCTCGAACTCCTGAGCTCGGGCAATCCGCCTGCCTCGGCCTCCCAAAGTGCTAGGATTACAGGCGTGAGCCATTGCCCCCGGCCTCCTCATCTTTAAATTCACAAAAAGATTGAATATGAAGAAAATAAAAGCCTGTGTATTTAGCACTAAAAAAAAAAAAGAAAATATAATAAAATGGCAGCTTTAAATCTATCAGTGGCTATATTAAATGTAAATAAATTAAATACTCCAGTTAAAAGAGATAGACGTTCGGGGTGTATTTAAAAGCCACAGACACACATGGTCTTCCGACTGCCCTATTCACATGCTCAGCCCCTGACAGCACTGGCTCTGGGACTAAGCCCCTCGGGCAGCCCTGAGCCTCCCAGGGCTGAGCACCTCGCTTTGAGCAGCTCCGCTACCGCGTCCTCCAGTCGGGAGGCGGCTGCGTTCCTGCGCGAAGCACGTCGGCCGCGAAGGCCTCTGGGAAATGTATTCCGGGCTACCAGCCCACAAACGCGGCGGAACCGGTTGCGGGGAGGTTGCTTGAATTCTCTCAGCTGCGCCCCCTGACCTAGTAGTCGCTGGCACAAGCTGCGCCCGGAGACGTGGGAGCGTTCTCTTGTTTTCCGAGTGCGCGGACTCATCGGGTCACAGTTTATGCTTTTATGACGCGGTGAGTCCAGCCACTGATTCCTAACGGTTTAGAGTGGGGAGGTTACGCTTGGGCGTCCTGGACGCTGGCCCAAGTGGTGGCTGTAGAAGACGCACGGATCCCGGGATGGGGCTGGAGGTTTGCAAGAGTCCATCCGAGGGGATTCTGGCTGCGAGTGTGACAGAGTATATGAAAGCCGCATGGAGGATCTGATTGTAGTGTGAGCGAGAGTGAGTGCCCGCGAGGGATCGTCACCTGAATGAAAGTCTCGGATTCACCGCCTCTTATCTTCCCTTCTTCGACTGTAAAATGGTGAAAATAAGGGTGCTTCTTCCAGGACGTCAGTTTACTCGAAAATTTGGAAAAGGCTAAATAATTGATCTGATAAATACTATAAAACAGGATTTCTGTGTAAAAGATAAATTTATTATTGTATAGAATACCAAATCAGTGTGACTTTTAAATACAAGAAGAAATATTTTAAAGGAACTTATTTTGTGGGACTCCTGCTTTTGTGTCAGACCCTCAGAGTAGGCATTTATTCTGTTGTTTAGGGAACACAACAGATTTGAGAAGCCTCGGATTAAGGAATAATTTATGAAGCTCCGTTGACTACCGTGGAGAGATCATAATTTGGGGTTCAAGATTCCAGGTAAGGCGCTATAACTCCACTTTCTGAAAAGCAAACCTTCGTTCAGAGAAGTCCTGGAGCCTTTTAAGGCTTCACCATTCCTCAGTGAGCCTAGTACCAGATTCATTCGGCTAATTTGTTCCAGTTTCCCCAGGCCACAATGTCTTTGGGATGTAAAGAAGCCTATGCTTCTCTCAAAGATCCTCCAAGTATTTCAAAACATTGACTGCACGTAAATTTAAATGATAAATTTATTATTAATTTTTTTTGAGGCGGAGTCTCCCTCTGTTGCCCAGGCTGGAGTGCAGTGGCATGAGGTCGGTTCACTGCAGCCTCGTGGGTTCAAGCGATTCTTCTGCCTCAGCCTCCTGAATAGCTGGGACTACAGGTGCGTGCCACCACACCCGGCTAATTTTTTGTATTTTTAGTAGAGACGGGGTTTCACCATACTGGCCAGGCTGGTCTCGAACTCCTGACCTCGTGATCCGTCTGCCTCAGCTTCCCAAAGTGCTGGGATTACAGGCATGAGCCATCTCACCTGGCCCAATGATAAAATTATAAAGAAATTGAGTACAAAATTAGGATCTGGAAATTTGTAGTCTTTATTTATATATTTTTTAAAGCCAACTAAAAGATGTAATGAAAGAAAATATTTGGACGGATGCGGTGGCTCACGCATGTAATCCTAGCACTTTGGGAGGCCGAGGTGGGAGGATCGCTTGAGCCCAGGAGTTTGAGACCAGCCTGGGCAACATGGTGAGAGCCTGTCTCTATAGAAAATAATTAAAAAAAAAAAATTTTTAGCCATGTGCAGTGGCATGCATATGTAGTCCCAGCTCACTGCACTCCAACTTGGGTGACAGAGTGAGACCCTGTCTCTAAAAACATTAAAAATATTAATAAAGAATATTACTTAGCAATTGTGCATGTTACAACATGGATGAACCTTAAAAATTCTAAGTGAAAGAAGCTAGATGCAAAATACTACATAGTATATGATTCTGTTTATATGATTCAAAGATAAACAGACACTAAAGCAGTGAAATTTTATTTTATTTTATTTTATTTTATTTGAGACAGAGTCTCGCTCTGTTGCCCAAGCTGGAGTACAGTGGCACGATCTCAGCTCACTACAGCCTCCACCTCCCAGGTTTAATAGATTCTCCTGCCACAGTCTTCTGAGAAGCTGAGATTATAGGCGCTCGCCACCACGCCCACGTAATTTTTGTACTTTTAGTAGAGATGGGGTTTTGCCATATTGACCAGGCTGGTCTCGAACTCCTGACCTCAGGTGATCCACCCGCCTCAGCGTCCCAGTGTTGGGATTACAGGGGTGAGCCACCGCACCCAGCTGAGAAGAGATTTTATTCAGTACAGATTAAGCATTCTTAATGTAAAAAATCTGAAATCCAAAATGCTCTAAAATCCAGAACTTGATGTGCACTGACATGATGCTCAAAGGAAAGTTTATTGGAGCATTTCAGATTTTGGAGTTTTGGATTAGGGAGGATTAACTGCTATATAATGCAAATATCTCAAAATCTGAAAAAGTCTGAAATCTTCAGATTCCACTTCTGATTCCAGGCCTTTTGGTTAAGGGAAACTCAACCTGTAATAGCTGCTGCAATGGGGAAGTGAACTGAACTGGACTGGAGTGCAGTGGCATGATCTCGGCTCACTGCAACCTCTGCCTCCTGGGTCCAAGCGATTCTCCTGCCTCAGCCTCCCGAGTAGGTGGGCTTACAGGTGTACAACACTACACCTGGCTAATTTTTGTATTTTTAGTAGAGACTGGGATTCACCGTGTTGGCCGGGCTGATCTCAAACTCCTGACATCAGGTAATTCGCCCGCCTTGGCCTCCCAAAGTGCGGGGATTACAGGCGTGAGCCACTGTGCCCAGCCAAAGGGAGACTTTTTAAAGGCGGGGGTGTGCTAGGGAAAAGCCACTGAAGGGTGCAAAGGGGAGTTTGGTCCATGTACCTAGTTTGCTAATTGCCATTTTTCTGGAGAAGAAACAAAGAAACAGAGTTTTTTCTTTTCTTTTTTCTTTTTTTTTTTTTTTTGAGACAGAGTCTTGCTCTGTCACCCAGGCTGGAGTGCAGTGGCACAATCTCCGCTCACTGCAAGCTCCGCCTCCCGGGTTCACGCCATTCTCCTGCCTCAGCCTCCTGAGTAGCTGGGACTACAGGTGCCCGCCACCGTGCCCAGCTAATTTTTTGTATTTTTAGTAGAGACGGGGTTTAGCTGTGGTCTCAATCTCCTGACCTTGTGATCCGCCTGCCTTGGCCTTCCAAAGTGCTGGGATTACAGGCGTGAGCCACCGCGCCCGGCCTCTTTTTTTTTTTCTTTTTTTAAGACAGGGTCTCACTGTGTTGTCTAGGCTGGAGTGCCATGGTGCGATTGTGGTTTCCTGTAGCCTCGACACCCTGGGCTCAAGCGATACTCCCAGGTCAGCCCCCTAGTAGCTAGGACTACAGGTAAGTGTGACTAAACTGGTAATTAAAAAAAAAATTTTTGTAGAGGCGATCGATCTCACTATATTGCCCAGGCTGGTCTCAAACTACTGAGCTCAAACGATTCTCCCACCTCGGCTTCCCTAAAGTGTTGGGATTGTAGGCATGAGCTACCACACCAGCCAGTTCTCAGATCTTTTTAATTTTTAATTTTATTTTTTCATAATTAAGTATCAAGCAAAGTTCTCAAATCTTTTATTACAGAAGGCCAAGTGGTGCAGCTTGGAGCACTGCACCCACCAAAGTTAGGCCTTTACTCTTCCAGAGGGGCTGGGAGTTATGTCCCTGAATGTTTGCATCTCAGGTCCTTGAGGAAATAGTTCTGAGTGGCACATGGTAGGTATACATCTCAAAGGGCAGAGAAAGCATTTATAATGATAAGCTTTCCTAGCGGTAGCCAGACAGGCCCCTGAACTCCCTCTTTAAGCAGTTAGTTTTTTTTTTAGACAGAGCCTCGCCCTGTCAACCAGACTGGAGTGCAGAGGCACAATCTTGGCTCACTGCAACCTTGGCCTCCTGGATTCAAGCGATTCTCCTTCCTCAGCCTCCAGAGTAGCTGGGACTGCAGGTGCACGCCACCACCCCTGGCTAATTTTTGTATTTTTAGTAGAGATGGTGTTTCACCATGTTGGCCAGCCTGGTCATTAACTCCTGGCTTTAAGTGATCCACCCACCTCAGCCTCCCAAAGTGCTGGGATTACAGGTGTGAGCCACCGCGCCTGGCCAAAAACAGTTACTTTTAAAAGGGAGTTTAGGGGCCTGTCTGCCTACCACTAGGTTTTTAGCTGGAACAAATAGTAAATTCTCCAGGCAGCATTAAACTTTGTCAGGCAGGCATTTTTTTTTTTTTTTTTTTTATTGATCATTCTTGGGTGTTTCTCGCAGAGGGGGATTTGGCAGGGTCATAGGACAATAGTGGAGGGAAGGTCAGCAGATAAACAAGTGAACAAAGGTCTCTGGTTTTCCTAGGCAGAGGACCCTGCGGCCTTCCGCAGTGTTTGTGTCCCTGGGTACTTAAGATTAGGGAGTGGTGATGACTCTTAACGAGCATGCTGCCTTCAAGCGTCTGTTGTCAGGCAGGCATTTTAAGGGGGACTGGGGTCAGCCTAGGAACATGGTCTTAAAATGCTGGAAGCTATTCTAGAATTTGGGCAAGTCTCTTACCATAGGAGTTTGGATAGAGTTGTTATGTGCTATGTGCATGAGTTTATAGTTTACAGAGGCCGTAGGACCTGAAATCAGGCCGGGCGCGGTGGTTCACGCCTGTAATCCCAGCACTTTGGGAGGCCGAGGCGGGTGGATCACGAGGTCAGGAGATCGAGACCATCCTGGCTAACATGGTGAAACCCCGTCTCTACTAAAAATACAAAAAAATTAGCCGGGCATGGTAGCGGGTGCCTGTAGTCCCAGCTACTCGGGAGGCTGAGGCGGGAGAATGGCGTGAACCCAGGAGGCGGGGCTTGCAGTGAGCCAAGATCGCGCCACTGCACTCCAGCCTGGGCGAGAGCGAGACTCCGTCTCTCAAAAAAAAAAAAAAAAAAAAAAAAAAAGAAATCAGCAGGGAGATCCAGTCCTCCTTTTTATTTCTATGAGGTGGACAAATCCAGAGAGAAACCTCTTAGGGTAATGTCGGAAGCTCTCTACGGTCAGTGGCACCCTGAGATTACTGTCTCTGTAGGGGTGGGGGGCATGGGATGAGATATGGGTGTGTGGGGTGTGGTTAGGGTTGGGGGATAGATTAATATTGGGTAGGGTGATGCTGTGGGGTAGGGGAGACTCTCCAGATCATTG
The DNA here is from genome assembly GCF_000001405.40 of Homo sapiens. Taxonomy (NCBI): domain Eukaryota; kingdom Metazoa; phylum Chordata; class Mammalia; order Primates; family Hominidae; genus Homo; species Homo sapiens. The sequence goes on along the minus strand of NC_000019.10, from coordinate 37,687,236 downwards.
ATCTACAGGGTGAAAGTAAACAGCTAATAGTGATTGATTAACCCTGACCCACAGCTCTGGTCTTGGGCTAGAATTTTAGAGCTGGAGGAGATTCGGGGAGAACGCTGGGAGCAGTGGCTCACGCCTGTAATTCCAGCACTTTGGGAGGCTGAGGCGGGTGGATCACCTGAGGTCAGGAGTTCAAGACCAGGCTAGCCAACATGGTGAAACCCTATCTCTACCAAAATACAAAAAACAGCCGGGTGTGGTGGCAGGTGCCTGTAATCCCAGCTACTGGGGAGGCTGAGGCAGAAGAATCACTTGAACCCAGGAGGCAGAGGTTGCAGTGAGCCGAGATTGTGCATTGCACTCCAGCCTGGGTGACAGAGCAAGACTCCATCTCAAAAAAAAAAAAAAAAGAAGGGGAGACACCTGAGAGTCACCAGAAATCGGAATTCCCTTGTCATGAATCCTTCTGGAAGCTCTGTGGAGAAAATTACACTTCCTAGAAGCCCTACCATGCCTGGACTATCTCAGTTAGGTATCTGAGACCGCTGAGAAGTGGCAGCTCCAGGTAGCTTCCATCCTGACTTTTCTTTTTGACACAAAGATAAGTAAAAGATGCTGGTCTCTCTCTGACTTCTATCTGTGTACACAGGCAGAGGACCTGGAGAACAGGCCTCAGTTTATATTGACACAAAACTGGTTTCTCCTAATTCCATTCTCCTTCTCCAGTCTGTGTTTTTCCAGAGGTGCCCTGAGGAGCAGGGAAGCATGGCTATTGTGGATGTAAAAGCCATGTTCAAGGTGAGGGGAGATTTCTTTCTTCTGTTAACTACTTGTTTGTTTTTTCTCGGAAATGCACTTTCCACTTTGTTATAATGATCAAGTTTGGCTTGAGATTTGCCAGCATGATTTGTTTTAGGCCATATATCTACCTGGACCATAAAAGGCGGTATGCTTTTCTTTTTTTACTCAAGCACCTCCTAGGCCATGTGGGGACCTTAATATCTGTGTTCTAGAGAAATGTAATTCTCTGCATCTCAGTTTCCTCATCTGTAAAATGGAGGGAATGATAGCACTCACCTGTAGGTTTGTTAGAATGACTAAATTGATACATGTAAAGCCCTTAGGTATATTGGCACATAAAGTATATTCAATTTATTAATACATGAACTGTTACGATTATATTTTGTACTAAGTTATCTATGGATCAGGGAAAACAAAAATATAAAATTAATTGTGATAGATATTTGCAAATAAGAAAAAGAGCTAGACACTCAAGTAGTATAGAACAGGAGTTTTTAATCTGCAGGTCATTTACTTCATATATTGGCCACAAATCCCTTGAAAATTTTTTTCCTGAAAGAGGTGTAGAATTTATTCTGACTTCAAAGGTATACATCTGTGGCCTAAAAAGATGCCTGGTTTAACCATAGATATGACCTTACAAACAATCTGTGCCTCCCAAATGGAAAGAACTAGAAACATTCTTCTCCATTCATGTGCTAGAATATTTAACACAAAGATGTGAAGTAACTTGCCCAAGCTGGTGCACAGCAGAACTGGAGTGCAAACCAGGCAGTCTGGCTTCACTTGAGCTCTTCTCCGGTGTGCTCTCTGTTTCTTCATTTGGTGACTTTCTAAAAATCCACTTATCAAGAGTCACATCACAGGCATCTATAAGCATAGCTGCATTTTATTTTATTTTATTTATTTTTTTGAGACAGGGTCTTGCTCTGTTACCCAGGCTAGAATGCAGTGGTACAATCACAGCTCACTGCAGCCTCGACCTCCTGTGTTCAAGTGATACTTCTACCTCAGCCTCCCGAGTAGCTAAGACTACAGGTGTGCACCACTGCACATGGCTAATTTTTGTATTTTTTTTGTAGAGACAGGGCCTCACTATGTTGCCCAGGCTGGTCTCGAACTCTTGGGCTCAAACGATCTGCCCCCCTTGGCCTCCCAAAGTTCTGGGATTATAGGCATGAGCCAACGCATCTGGCCTCTGAGCTGCATTTTAAATTATTGTGTTATATGCTCTTCTAAAATTATAGTTGTTTTTTTTTTTTTTGAGACGGAGTCTCACTCTGTCACCAGGCTGGAGTGTAATGGCGCGATCTCACTGCAACCTCCACCTCCCAGGCTGAAGCAATTCTCCTGCCTCAGCCTCCCGAGTAGCTGGGGCTACAGGCGCATGCCACCACACCCAGCTAATTTTTGTATTTGTAGTAGAGACAGGGTTTCACCATGTTGGCCAAGATGGTCTCAATCTCTATTTTTTTTTTCTTTTTTTTGAGATGGAGTCTCGCTCTGTTGCCCAGGCTGGAGTGCAGTGGTGCTATCTCAGCTCATTGCAACCTCCGCCTCCTGGGTTCACGCCATTCTCCTGCCTCAGCCTCCGGAGTGGCTGGGACTACAGGTGCCCGCCACCACACCCGGCTAATTTTTTTTTATTTTTAGTAGAGACGGGGTTTCACCGTGTTAGCCAGGATAGTCTCGATCTCCTGATCTCGTGATCCACCCGCCTCAGCCTCCCAAAATGCTGGGATTACAGGCATGAGCCACCACTCCCAGCCAAATTATAGGTTCTTTTAAAGACCTGCCCCCTTACGTAGTAATTCGTCACGTATATCTTTCCTTTTTACTTAAAATGTTTGGTCATAGCTGTTAATGGTAGTGCAGTCATCTGTCATGTAACTGTTCTGTGATATATTCTTGTGTTCACTAAATTTTGCACTTTTCTAGGTTTCGTTTATTGATAACTTCCCAAGTATAGAATTTTTAGGTAAAATATTAAGCATTTATTAATGCCAGGAATATCAATGATTCTGTGCTAATACTTGGGAGAAATGAAGTGATTAGAAAGCCCTAGTTAAGTTTCTCTCAATCTAGCAAGGGACATATAATCTATACAGAAATAGATTAAAGTGTGACAGGAACTAGCGAAACACAGATGCTTTTCCTTGTGGGCTCATGGGAAGGTGACATTCTGACCACAGTAACCTCTGCTGTTTTATGAGAAAACCATCTTGAATACATAGAAACTCTGGAGATAAAGAGATTTTGTGTCGTAAGCGTTATGCCATGTAATTTTTTTTTTTTTTGAGACTAAGTCTTTCTCTGTCGTCCAGGCTGGAGTACAGTGGTGCAATCTCGGCTCACTGCAACGTCCACTGGCTGGATTCAAGCAATTCCCCTAGCCTCAACCGCCCGAATAGCTGGGATTACAGGCACCCATCACCATGCCTGGCTAATTTTTTTTCTATTTTTAGTAGAGACAGGGTTTCACCATGTTGGCCAGGCTGGTCTTGAACTCCTAACCTCAGGTGATCCGCCCACCTTGGCCTCCCAAAGTGCTGGGATTACAGACGTGAGCCACTCCACCCGGCCTTATGCCATGTAATTTTTAAATAAAGTTTTTTTGTAAATAAAGTTTATTTTTGTAAATAAACTTTTAATGTTAGATATACAGTCAGACGTCACCTAAGAACAGGGATACATTCTTCTGTTGTTAGGTAATGTTGTTGTTAGGTGATGTCATCATTGTGTGAACATCAGAGGGTGGACTTACATACACCTAGATGGGATAGCCTACTACACACCCAGGCTATATAGTATAGCCTGCAGCTCCTAGGCCACCAGCCTGTATAGAATTTTACTGTACTGAATACTGTAGATAGTTGCAACACAATGATTTTATGTATCTAAATATATCTAAATACAGAAAAGGTACAGTAAAAATATGGTATAGGCCAGGCGCAGTGGCTCACGCCTGTAATCCCAACACTTTGGGAGGCCAAGGCAGGTGGATCATGAGGTCAGGAGTTCGAGACCAGCCTGGCCAACGTGGCGAAACCCCGTCTCTACTAAAAATACAAAAATTAGCTGGGTGTGGTGGCAGGTGCCTGTAATCCCAGCTACTCGGGAGGCTGAGGCAGGAGAATCGCTTGAACCTGGGTGGCGGAGGTTGCAGTGAGCCAAGATTGTACCATTGCACTCCAGACTGGGTGACAAGAGCAAGACTCCATCTCAAAAAAAAAAAAAAAAAAAGGTATAAAAAGTAAACAATGGTACACCTGTACAGGGCATTTACCATGAATGGAGCTTGCAGGACTGAAAGTTGCTCTAGGTGAGTCAGTAAGTGAATGGTGAGTGAATGTGAAGGCTAGGACAGTACCATACCCCACTATAGACTAGAAACACTGTATACTTAGGCTACACTAAATATGTGAAAATTTTTTTCTTCAATAATAAATTAACTTTAGCTTACTGTAACTTTTTTTACTTTATGAACTTCTTGATTTTTTAAAACTTGTTGACTCTTCTTTTTTGGAAATGGGGTCTCACTCTGTCTCCCAGGCTGGAATGCAGTGGTGCGATTATGGCTCACTGCAGCCTTGACCTGCTGGGCTTAAGCCATCCTCCCGCCACAGCCTCCTGTGTAGCTGGGACTATAGGCACGCACCATCATGCCCAGCTAATTTTTGTATTGTTTGTAGAGATGGGGTTTTACCATGTTGCCTGGGCTTAGTGGTGTTTTTTATGATGGTAAAAGATAGTATATCCTCAATGCAAAAATTCAGAAAATGTGGAAAATCACAAAGTAAAGATTACCTATAGTACGACAACAACGAAAAATCTTTCCAGATCTTATATATATCCACACACGTGTGGGTTTTCTGCCAAAAGTGGTTGACAGTCACTCTTCTGTTTGATAACTCTAGGATGACAATGACTATTCCGTTTAATAATGCTCTCTGTTCACTAGAAAATTGAGGTAAAAGATTTTTCATGTTACAAATTAAGGAGAAACTTTTTTTTTTTTTTTTGAGATTTGAGATGGGGTCTCCCTTTGTCTCCCAGGCTGGAGTGCAATGGTGCAATCATAACTCACTGCAGCCTCAATGTCCTGGGCTCAAGGATTCTCCTGCTTCAGCCTCCCAAGTAGTTAGGACTATAGGTGTGGGCTACCACACCTGGCTAGTTTATATATATATATTTTAGAGACAGGGGGTCTCTCTACATTGCCCAGGCTGGTCATGAATTCCTGGTTTCGAGTGATCCTCCCACCTCGGCCTCCCAAAGTGCTGGAATTACAGGTGTGAGTCACTGCGCCCCACCCCAAAGCTATCTTTTTTTTTTTTTTTTTTTTTTTGAGATGGGGCCTCACTCTGTTGCCCAGGCTGGAGTGCAGTGGCATGATCTTGGCTCACTGCAACCTCCGCCTCCTGGGTTCAAGTGATTCTTCTGCCTCAGCCTCCTGAGTAGCTGGGACTACAGGTGCACGCCACCACACCCAGCTAATTTTTTTTGTATTTTTAGTAGAGACGGGGTTTCACCATGTTGGCCAGGATGGTCTCGATTTCCTGACTTGGTGATCCGCCTGCCTCGGCCTCCCAAAGTGCTGAGATTGCAGGCATGAGCCACCGTGCCTGGCAAAGCTATCAGTTTTATGATTATCTTGTTTTTCATTATATTAATACAATAATGGTTTGTTAAACTGTTTCCTCTTTGTACACATTTAAATCTTCATTTGAATAGAATCTAAGATGTATAATTGCTGAGTTTAAGGCATGCCTGTACATGCTCATACATTTTTCTAAATATAATCTTATGTGCAGGATGCCCTGAGATTATTTCTCATGTAATCATATGGGGTGTAACCAGTTGTCTCATTTTGCTAATCTCATAACTGGGAAATGATATTTCTTTGTTGCTCTACTGTGGGCGGCAAGCCACCCAGGCGCCGAGGCAAGAGATCGAGGACACGAGCTGTTCCAGTATAATAAAATATAAAACAAGAATAGTTATACCAGATATAGATCTTAGAGATATATGAATATCATTAATCATTAGTTTCTAGTAATTACTCTTTATCCCAATATTATAATAATCCTCGCTCTACAATCATAACCTAGGAAAAACCAGGCCATACAGAGATAGAAGCTGAGGGGACATAGTGAGGTGTGACCAGAAGAGAAGAGTGCGAGCCTTCTGTTATGCCCGGACAGGGCCAGCAGAAGGGTTCCTTGGTCTAGCGGTAACGCCAGTGTCTGGGAAGACGCCCGTTGCCGAGCGGACGGTGGTCTAGCAGTAGCGAAAAGTGTCAAGGAACAATACCTGCTACTTAGCAGACCGGGAAAGGGAGGCTCCCTTTCCCCGGGGGAGTTTAGAGAAGACTGTGCTCCTCCACCTCTTGTGGAGGGCCTGACATCAGTCAGGCTTGCCCGCAGTTATCCAGAGGCCTGACCGTCTCCCTGTGATGCTGTGCTTCAGTGGTCACGCTCCTAGTCCGCCTTCATGTTCCATCCTGTACACCTGGCTCTGCCTTCTAGATAGCAGTAGTCAATTAGTGAAAATACTAATAGTCCCTGATATGCAGAAATAATGGCGTAAGCTGTCTTTCTCTCTGTCTCCTCTCCCTCTCTGCCTCGGCTGCCAGGCAGGGAAGGGCCCCCTGTCCAGTGGACACGTGACCCACGTGACCTTACCTATCATTGGAGGCGACTCACATTCTTTACCCTGCCCCTTCTGCCTTGTATCCAATAAATAACAGCACAGCCAGACATTCGGGGCCACTACCGGTCTCCGCGCATTGGTGGTAGTGGTCCCCCGGGCCCAGCTGCCTTTTCTTTTATCTCTTTATCGTGTGTCTTTATTTCTACACTCTCTCGTCGCCGTGCACAGGGAGAGACCCACCGACCCTGTGGGGCTGGTCCCTACACTCTACCATTCAAATCCTTGATTTCAAGTAGCATCTTACCTCTCTATTGAAATTTCTTTAGTAGTTGTTGTTTTAGAATTCTTCAAATTTATTTGCATCTTCTGCAAGGAAGTCTTCAAATTTATTTGTATCCTCTTTATTAAGATAGAGCGGGGGTCCCCAAAACCTGGGCCACAGACCAGTACTGGTCCTTGGCCTGTGAGGAACCAGGCCACACAGCAGGAGGTGAGTGGCAAGCAAGTGAGCAAAGCTTTCTCTGTATTTACAACCGCTCCTTATCACTCACATTACTGCCTGAGCTCCACCTCCTGTCAGATCAGCGGCGGCATTTGATTCTCATAGGAGCGTGAACCCTATTGTGAGCTGTGCATGTGAGGGATCTAGGTTGTGGGCTCCTTATGAGAATCTAATGCCTGATGATCTGTCACTGTCTCTCATCACCCCCAGATGGGACTGTCTAGTTGCAGAAAACAAGCTCAGGGCTCCCACTGATTCTACATTATGCTGAGTTGTATAATTATTCCATTATATATTACAATGTAATAATAATACAAATAAAGTGTACAATAAATGTAATGCACTTGAATCATCCTGAAACCACCCTGTCCCTACTCTGTGGAAAAATTGTCTTCATGAAACCAGTCCCTGATGCCAAAAATGTTGGGGACCGCTGAGATGGAGGTACTCCCTGCCCATCTTTACTGAGGTATAATTGACACATAAAAATTTTATATATTTAAATATATATTTATATATTTAATCTTTTGATAGAAATGTACATTGTGAAGTCATTGCCACTATCAAGCTAATTAACATATTCATTACACGATAGAGGTTTTAATAAGATATTTTGGGAAGATTCCCTCAAATGTTCCATTTTATTTTGTGAAAAGAGAAACTGTACTAAGAACTTTAGAGACTATCAGCCTCAAAGATTTGCTAAGATGCAGAAAAGCTGTTATTCTTACAGTTATGGTTTATTCTAGTAAAAGGATACATACTAAAGTCACCAGAAAGAAAAGGTACATGGACAAAGGTTAGGAGAAACCAGGTACAAGCTTTCAGGTGGCTGCTTCCAGAGGAGCTATACAGGGACACACTTAATGCTCCTAACAATGACATGTCACAACATTGTGTGAACTATTGCCAGCCAGGGAAGCTCACTTGAGCCTTGGTTTCCAGAGTTTTTATTGGGGAGTCAGTCTTGCAGGGATTTATCACTCAATACCTGACTTTAGCTACTCAGTCTCCAGTTCCCCAGATGTCAAACTGATACAGCATGCTCCAAGGCCTGTGGCATACAAAAACAATCTTATCAGGTAGGATATTTTAAGGGCTCAGAGGTTATCTCCCAAGAGCCAGTCAAGGGCCAGTTCTTTCTTTGGCACGTGCAGGATTTGAGCATTCCAGGTGTACTGAGTTACCTGTCCACTCACCCAGGCCTTGGCTTAGGCTCTCTTGTAGCAAAACTACCTGAGCAGCTACACAGAAACAGCAATAGTATCAGGATGTAGATGGCTATCATTTCAAGGAGCCAGTATGGAGTAGCAATGGATTTAAAGAAACAACTAACCTATCCAATAAAGCCATTACATGCATTCTCATATTTTTGTATTAATTTGATTACTCATTTCCCTCCTTGAATCTACTGTTATGTGCCACATGATAAACTTGTACAGAACTATTGAGCGTAGAAATTAGCTGATGGTTGGTTAAATTCTCCCTGAAGCCAGTCTTTTTCACTGTTACTTCATTAGCCAGGTATGGTGGTATGTGCCTGCAGTCCCAGCTACTCGGGAGGCTGAGATGGGAGGATCCACTTGAGCCCAGGAGGTCAAGTCCAGCCTGGACAACTATCAAGACCCCATCTCTAAAAATAAATAAATAACATTTTAAAAAAGATTGAAAGGTAAAGTTCCAGTTTCTTGTTTAGGGATCACCCCTGCTTCTGTCACTTGGAGTTACAGTCATAGTCCCAGGGCCACTGCATCAGGTAGGAAAAAAGAAAGTTGAGGTTATTTGGGGAAGATTTGTGTAACTGTGCCAGCATTCTGCCATGCACCCTCTCCTCCTAATTGCCCACGACAGTAGAGGAATCTCTCTAGTGGAGACTGTCTTTGGCTTTCCCCATCTTGAGAGTAAGCACATCCTCATGAAGGAATGCAAGCCAGCCCATACTTTACTTTCCCTTACTTTAGCCAACAACTCTATAGCTCTCCTATTCTAATTGTCTACCAAACCACTACTTTGAGGATGATATGCATCATGGTATATCCAATTGATGTGAGAACTCTTTGGACATTGTTGGACACTGCGGGGTGTAAAGTGTTTCTTTTGGTCTGAATAAATATAACACAGCAATGCCAATTGGCACGTTTCTATTCAAGGAGTTTTATAGTATTTTGAGCCTTTACATCTACCACAGGGGAAGTGTGTCTATCCACTGCCAGGATCCTTTTGTAGGCTCCCAGGGCTACCAGTGGCCATCGGATAGAGTCTACATGCTATGCTACCTCTCCGCGTGGGCCTTCCCTGCTGGAAATCAGACCTAATTTGTTCTTCAGGTTCTGATGTTATCATTATCATCAATGTAGTATATTGTTACACTTAGGACTGGTCTCAAGTCCACGCTTTCCTAATCAAATTGTAATAGTAAGCTAGTGAATTCAAATAACCTGTGAGAATACAGTAGATATAAATTGGGATTGTCCCCTCATGAAGGCAAACTATGGTTGTCTCTTTCCCAAGATTGGGATAATGAAAAAAGCATTTGCAAGATTAGTCAGAGTACTGGTGTCCTTTAATTCGGTGGTACTACTTCATTCAAGCCTCGACAATCTACTGTTAGTCTCCCCCTTTGGCACAGACCTATCAGGGTTATTGTATAGAGAATTGGTTGGTACCAGCACTCTAGCTTCTAACATGTTATTAATGAAGTGGTAATCTCTTGTATCTACCAGGTATTCTATACAGCTTCAAATTAACAACCTACATAGGCTGGGTGTGGTGGCTCATGCCTGTAATCCCAGCACTTTGAGAGGCCAAGGCGGGTGGATCACCTGAGGTCAGGAGTTCAAGACCAGCCTGGCCAACATGGTGAAACCCTGTCTCTACTAAAAATACAAAAATTAGCCAGGCGTGGTGGCACACGTCTGTAATCCCAGCTACTTGGGAGGCTGAGGCACAAGAACTGCTTGAACCCGGGAGATGGAGGTTGCAGTGAGCTGAGATTGCGCCACTGCACTCCAGCCTGGGTGACAAAGCAAGACTCCGTCTCAAAAAAAAAAAAAATTAACAACCTATGTGGGCTTCAGCAATTCTATAGGTTCCTGTTTGGCCTGTCTAATAACATTGATTGAAGGACAAACTTACATGCCTTTAGTTTTAAAATACTAGGTAGGAGAAGTGTTCCTCAGTCAGACATAATACCCTTCCCCATTATGTATTCAGGTAAGGAGATGTAACCACTTCACATAAGGTCCATTCAGACCTTCTAGTTTTCATTTAAACTTTCACCTTAATAACAATCAACCACTGCATCCCCATATCCTCCCAATCTAACTGTAGTCCCTATTAGGGTATCACCAACAGATTTTGGAATCACACTGCACTGGGCTCCATGTCAAGGAGTCCTAGAAATGTTTCTTTTCCATCCCTGGTCTTAACTCACACACATGGATATAGCCTTGGTCCTAGCTTGGTTCGTCATCCTGATTAATTTGTCAGGCTGTTGCCTTAGCGATTCAAGATCAGGTTTCTCAGTGTCATCTTTGCATTTCAGCCTTTTAAGTTCCTTCAAATTAGGAGAAATAAAACATGGTCCTGGGATTACAGGCAAGAGCCACTGCGCCTGGCCCAGTTTCAATTTACATTGTTTTACACTGTTGGCTTCTCAACATGTTCCGATTAATAGAAATTTCCCACAGTGGCAGGATGTTGTATCTACCTCACAGCACAGGACTGCTCAACAATATGTGTGTATTCATTTCCTTATTGCCGCCTCCATAAGTTTCCAATTTCAACCTACTGCTTACTATAGAATGCCTTCTAGGAAAATCCCTTTTTATGTCCTTATCATTCACCTAAAATATATTTTCTTTATTATTACATATGTTAAATGGACTTTTCCTTTAAAGGATTGGTGACATTCAGGGATGTGGCTATAGATTTCTCTAAGGGAGAGTGGGAATGCCTGGGCCCTGCTCAGAGAGACTTGTACAGAGATGTCATGTTGGAGAACTACAGCAACTTTGTGTCACCGGGTAAGATCACCTGTTCCCTGTAATTCAGAAAATATTCTCTCCACTGGGAATTCTGGGGCTGCATTAAATATCTAAATTTCTGTTCCATGTTCCAAAAAACTGGTTTGAGTTTTGTTTTCTTGGAATAGATTGCTACTCTCAAGCACCTTCATATTTCTTGTTCTTCACTGACCTTCACTCTTTCCCTGGGCTCCTTATGTAACTGAGTTTTTTCTTGATTTTTAAGGAGCTAGATGATGGTCGAGGGACATTTATATAATAACCTGTAGGATTTAAGACGTGATGGTTCATCTACAATTTAGGAAAACACATACCCTGTTATGTTTATGTTTGAGAGCTACATTCTAGGAATTTGACATTTCACAGGAAGACACATTGATTCTGTCTTGAGGCTTCTTGCTTTTTCTTACCCAAATAAGTAGAGATAGAGCCCACGTAGATTTAAATTTAACTAAGACCTTTCTGCCTCATTTGTCTCTTTGTTCCTTGTGTTCCTTAGGTCAGCTTAATGTGAATGTATTCTGACGTCTTCATCATTCTTTTATCCAAAAGCTTCTCTGGGGCCCATTTTTAAATTTTATTTATTATTATTATTATTATTATTATTATTATTATTATTATTTTGAGTCAAGGTCTCACTCTGTTACCCAGGCTACAGTACAGTGGTATGATTGTGGCTCACTGCAGCCTCAAACTCCTGGGCTCAAGTGATTCCCTCACCTCTGCCTCCCAAGTAGCTGGGACTACAAGTGTGCCACCGTGCCCAGCTAATTTTTTAAATTTGTGTAGAGATACGGTCTTGCTATGTTGCCTAGGCTTATCTTAAACTCCTGGCCTCAAGTGATCCTCCTGCCTTGGCCTCCTAAAGTGCTGGGATTACAGGCGAGAGCCAATATGCCCAGCCAAACTTTTTTTTTTTTTTTTGAGACGGAGTCTCGCTCTGTTGCCCAGGCTGGAGTGCAGTGGTGCAATCTCGGCTCACTGCAATCTCTGCCTCCCGAGTTCAAGCGATTCTCCTGCCTCAGCCTCCCAGGTAGCTGGGACTACAGGCATGTGCCACCACGCCCAGCTAATTTTTTGTATTTTTAGTAGAGACGAGGTTTCACTGTATTAGCCAGGATGGTCTCGATCTCCTGACCTCATGATCAGCCTGCCTCGCCCTCCTAAAGTGTTGGGATTACAGGCATGAGCCACCATGCCTGGCCAAAACTTTTTATTTTGAAATGATTTCGAGAGCTAGAACTAACCAGTATGCCAAATGTCCATCTACTCTTCAGTCAGTTTTCCCTAATGCTAATAATTTACATAAGCATAGTACAAATATCTAAACCAAAAAGTAAAATTGATATAATATTAAGTTATCTATTTCCTTTTTTCAAATGTCATTAATTATCCTGGTACTGATCCAGGATCCCACTTGTACTGATCCAGGATCCCACATTGCATTTAGTTGTCTTGTATCTGTAGCCCTCTTCAATCTTGGAAATGTTTTTTCTCTTTTATGACCCTAATTAACACTTTTAAACTGTGCTGGCCTGTTATTACATAGATTATTCCTGGATTTAGATTTGTCCTTTTTTTTTTTTTTTTTTTTTTGAGACGGAGTCTTGCTCTGTCGCCGAGGCTGGAGTGCAGTGGCGCGATCTCAGCTCACTGCAAGCTCCGCCTCCCGGGTTCATGCCATTCTCCAGCCTCAGCCTCCCAAGCAGCTGGGACCACAGGCGCCCGCCACCATGCCCGGCTAATTTTTTTGTATTTTTAGTAGAGATGGGGTTTCACCGTGTTAGCCAGGATGGTCTCGATCTCCTGACCTCGTGATCCACCTGCCTCAGCCTCCCAAAGTGCTGGGATTACAGGCGTGAGCCACCGCGCCCGGCCTTGACCCATATTTTTATGATTACTTTAAAGTTATGTATTTTTGGGAAGAATACTACAGAAGTGATGCCTTTTTCAGTGCATTGTATCAGGACATAAATAATGGCCAATCAAAAACAGTATCTTGTTTTGATGCTTGAAATGGTATCCTCTAGGGTTCCGCATAGTAAAGCCACTATTTTTACCTTTGCAATCAGTAAGTAACTTGTAAAGAAATTTGAGGCTCTACAAATACCCTCTTGCTCATGACATTTTTATCACTTTAGTTTCATCAGTGATTCCTGCAGAGAACAGTTATGGTTATTATGTTTTTGAGACAGGGTCTTGCTCTGTGACTCAGGCTGGAGTGCAGTGGCATGATCTTGGCTCATTATAGCCTTGACCTCCTGGATTCAAGCAGTCTTCCCGCCTCAGACTCCCAAGTAGCTGGGACCACTGGCGTGTGCCACTACACTTGGCTCTGACAGTAGTTATTTCCTCTGGTGTTTGCCAAATTATGATTTTCTGTTTCCATCAGTCTTCAGAGGAACCTGAATTAGCTTTAGGTTAAACCAATTCTAAATAAGAACATTTTTTGGCTTATTTATTTTTAGTATCCTATTTCTTTGAGCAGGACTTGCCATTTCTAAGCCATCAGTGATTTCCCTATTGGAACAAGGGAAAGAACCCTGGATGGCTGGGAAAACAGGGTGGTATCCAGGTGGGTAAGGGTGTTGGGGTACTCCCAGCAGAAGTGCATTTTAGGGAAGCCCAAACTGGTCAGAGTGGTGATGTCTTTTGTTTGAGATATTGTGTGGAAACCTTCCCTCAGAGGCCCAAGGTCTTGGGAGAAAAAGTTTGACAAATGGGAAGTATTTCAAATATTTACAAAGAACTTTTTTTTATAGCAGATGTATTGAGGCATAATTGACATATAATGAACCAGCTATGTTATAAAGTACATGGTTTGACAAATTTTGATGTGTGAAATGGTATACTTTATATGTGTACATGTTTGCTCATGAAACCATCACCATAATTAAGATAAAAAAACCTATTAATCACTCCCATTGCTTCTGATCTAAGGAAAAAAGACTTCTTTATTATTATGATGATGAGACAGAGTCTCACCCTCTTGTGCAGGCTGGAGTGCAGTGGTATGATCTTGGCTCACTGCAACCTCCACCTCCTGGGTTTAAGTGATTCTCCTGCCTCAGCCTCCCGAGTAGCTGGGACTACAGGCGTGTGCCACCATGCCCAGCTAATTTTTGTATTTTTAGTCGAGATGGGGTTTCACCATGTTGGTCAGGCTGGTCTCGAATTCCTGACCTCGAGTGATCTGCCCACCTCAGCCTCCTAAAGTGCTGGGATTATAAACATGAGCCACCGCGCCCAGTCAATATTTTTTTTACTGACTACGATATTTCTTGTAGATTTTTGAATGATGTCCTTTACTTGAGAAAGTAAGTTCCTTCTGTTTTTAGTTTGGCAAGAATTTTTATGATGATTCTGTGTTGAATTTTTTAAGAGTATTTTGTTTTTATTCAAGTGATCATGTCATTTGACTTTTAAAATATGTTAATATGTTGAATTACATTAATTGATATTCAAATGCTAAGCTGACTTGTTCATGAGGTAAATGCCATTGAATGTTGTGTTATGGATTTAATATATATATTATTGGATTCTATTTGCTATTATTTTAAAAGGATTTTTGCATGATCATTCAGGAGGAAAATTTGTAGTTTTTGAATGGTTTTTTGGTTTCAGTTGCAGGGTAGTGGTGGGCTTCTGTAATTAGCTGTGAGTTATTTCTTCTTTGACTATTTGATAGGATTTGCCATTAAAGTCATTGGGCCATGTTTGTCCTTGGGGCAATGTTTTTACTATAAATTCAGCTTCAGTGATAAATAGACAGCTATTTCCTTCCTTCCTTCCTTCTTTCCTTCCTTCCTCCCTCCCTTCCTCCCTTCCCTCCTTCCCTCCCTTCCTCCCTCCCTCCATCCCTCCCCCCTATCCATCCCTCCCTCACTCCCAGGGTCTTGCTCTGTCACTCAGGCTGGAGTGCAGTGGCATGATTACATCTCACTGCAGCCTCAACTTTCTGGGCTCAGCCTCCCATGTAGCTGGGACTACAGGCATACACCACCATGCCGGGCTAATTTTTCTATTTTTTGTAGAGATGGGGTTTTGCCATGTTGGCTAGCCTGGTGTCAAGTCAAAGTCCTGGGCTCAAGCGATCCATCTGTCTTGGCCTCCCAAAGTGCTGGGATGACAGATGTGAGCCACTGCACCTGGCTTGTTTTACTTATTTCTTCTTGACTGATCCTTGGTAGTTTGTGTCTTTCAAAGAATGTGTCCATTTTCTCTAACTTCTTATACTTCTGGATATTAAATGGTTCATATTTTCTTATGTAATTATGTTTAATTTTTACTTTTATTATTTATGTAGGGTTTATAATTAGAAACCCCTTTTTGTTCCTGGTATTTGTGTTTTTCTTCTTGTTTTTTATTGGTAGTTTGGCTCCAAGGTTTATCAAGTTTGCTAATCTATTCCATAAACCAGTTTTTGACTATTAATTATCTCTGTTATGGTCACTTTTCTCATTCATTGATTTCTGCTCTTATCCTTGTTATTTCTTTACTTCTACTAATTGTAGATTTACTTTGCTCTTTTTTTTTTTTTTTTTTTTGGAGATGGAGTTTTTGCTCTTGTTGCCCAGGCTGGAGTGCAATGGCACGATCTTGGCTCACTGCAACCTCCACCTCCTGGGTTTAAGCGATTCTCCTGCCTCTGCCTCCTGAGTAGCTGGGATTACAGGCATCCACCACCACGCCCGGCTAATTTTTGTATTTTTAGTAGAGACGGGGTTTTACCATGTTGGTCAGGCTGGTCTCAAATTCATGACCTCGTGATCCACCTGCCTCGGCCTCCCAAAGTGCTGGGATTACAGACATGAGCCACCTTGCCTGGCCTGCTTTGCTCTTCTTTATCTACTGTCTTGCAGTAAAACCTTAGGTTGTTTATTTTATACATTTTTCTTTTCTAATATAAGCATTTAAAGCTATAGGTTTCACTATAAATGTTACCTTAGCTATATAACATATTTTGGTGTGCTATACTTTTATATTGTTCATTTCTAAGTATTTTCTAATTTCCATGTGTATTCTTTAGTTTTCAAGTATTGGGGGACAGGTTCCAGAAATTTTAATAATTTCAAACTGAGTTCCATTGTGATCAAAGAAAATATTCTGTGTGACATTGATCCTTTTTAGTGTATTGAGACTTGTTTAATGTCCCAGCATATGGTCTATTTTGAATGTATAGGTATTTGAAGAGAATGTACATTCTGCAGTTTTTGATATTGTGTTTTGTGTATATCAACTAGTTGAAGGTGGTGGACAGTGTTACTTATATGCTCTATTACTTTACTAATTTTCTGGGGGAGGGGGATGTTCCAGTCGTTCTATCAGTTATTGAGAGATGGTTGCAAAATCTCCAACTATGATTGTAGAATTATCTATTTCCTGCTTTACTTTTGTCAATTTTTGCTTCATATATTTTCAGGCTCTGTTATTCTGCACCTACACATTTCTGATTGCCAAGTCTTCCTGATGAGTTATTATAACTCTTTTATCATTATGAGAAAATTATCTTTGATAATATAGAGTAACTTGAAGTCTGTTTCATCTGATATTAATATAGCCATTCCAACAATTTTTTTCTGCAAATTAAATGCCAAGATTTAAAAGTTATCTAAGCCATTTCTTGCTTAAGGGCAATATTATCTGTTTGACTGCTTCTATGCAGTTTTATTTCTCATAAAAGAGGAAAACATGATGTTTATTTTCTTTAAGATATGCTGTCTAGATATGAGACCAAGGAGTTAACTCTTAAGAATGGCACTTTTGAAAAGGAATCATTAAAATGGAAAATAATAGAAAGTGTCAGAAGTTCTTGCCTTGAGGAATCTTTTTTGGGAAATGATTGGAAATGCAAAGGACTCTTTGAGAGACAACAGGAAACTACAGAGGAATATTTCAGGCATGTAACTGTGCCATTTGAAAAAATATCCGAATTCATCCAGCCTACATATTTTCTTCTAAATCAAATAATTCATACTGGAAAGAAACTCTATGAACAAAAAAAAAAATGAGAAAATGTTACTCAACAGGGAAGAATTCATATCAGTGACAAGCTTGACGAAATGTGTGGGAACACCTCTGTATTTTGCACAAATCATATGAAACATCAGACAAATTTTAATGCAAAGAAATGCAATGTATTTAAAGAATGTGGCAGAGACTGCTTGTAACTTTCAACTAACTCAATATCAAATAAGTCATGCTAATCAGAAACCCTATGAATGTCAGATATGTGGAAAGCCCTTTAGAAAGCGTGCCCACCTTACCCAACATAATCGAATTCACACTGGTGGGAAACCATATGAATGCAAAGAATGTGGGAAAGTGTTTATCTGTTGTTCAACATTGATTCAACATAAGAGAACTCACACTAGTGAGAAACCCTATGAATGTCTGGAATGTAGAAAGACGTTTAGGCGGAGTGCACATCTTATTCGACATCAAAGAATTCATACTGGTGAGAAACCTTATAAATGTAAGCAATGTTGGAAGGCCTTTGCTTCTGTTTCTGATTTAATAGACATCGGAAAATTCACACTGATGAGAGACTTTACGAATGTACAGAATGTGGGAAGGCATTTAACAATCGCTCAACTCTTATTCAGCATCAGAGAATTCACACTGGTGAGAAGTCCTTTGAATGTAAGGAATGTGGCAAAGCATTCAATAATTGCTCAACACTTACTCAACACCAGAGAACTCATACTAATGAGAAATCTTATGAATGTCAGGAATGTAAAAAGGCTTTTAGGCAAAGTGCACATCTTACTCAACATCAAAGAATTCATACTGGTGAGAAACCATATGAGTGTAAGTAATGTGGGAAGGCTTTCACTTGTGTTTCTGATTTTAATAGACATCAGAGAATTCACACTGGTGAAAAACCCTATGAATGTAAAGAATGTGGTAGAGCTTTTAACAATTGTTCAGCTCTTATTCAACACCAGAGAATTCACACTGGTGAGAAGGCTTATGAATATAAGCAGTGTGGGAAGGTTTTTGTCTCCTGTCCAACACTTGTTCAACATCAGAGAACACATACTAATGAAAAACCTTATGAATGTCAGTAATGCAAGAAGGCCTTCAAGCATAATGCACATCTAATGAGACATCAGAGAATTCACAGTGGGGAGAAACCCTATGAATGTAATGAATGTGGGAATGCCTTCATTTGTTTTTTTGATTTTAATAGACATCAGAGAATTCACAAAGGAGAGAAACCCTATCAGTGTAAAGAATGTGGGAAGGTTTTTAATAATTATCCAACTCTTACTCAACATCAAAGAATTCATACCAGTGTGAAACCCTATGAATGTAAGGAATGTGTAAAGACCTTTACTTGGCTTTCAAACTTGAATAAACATCAGACAATTCACACTGGTGACAAACCCTATGAATGTAAAGATTGTAAAAAAGCTTTTCTTTGTTATTCAACATTTATTCAACACTATAGAACTCATACTAATGAGAAACCTATGAATGTCAGGAATGCAGCAAGGCCTTTAAGCAGAGAGCCCATCTTAGTCAACATCAAAATATTCATACTGGTGAGAAACCCTATGAGTTTAAGGAATGTGGGAAGGCCTTTGCTTGTTTCCTACCTTAATAGAAATCAGAGAATTCACACTAGTGAGAAACCGTATCAGTGTAAAAAATGTAGAAAATCCTTTATTGATTGTTCAACTCTTAACACCAGAGAATTCACACTGGTGAGAAACCCTTTGAATGTCAGGAATGTAGGAAGGCCTTTAGGCAGAGGGCGCATCTTACTCAACATCAAAGAATTCCTACTGGTGAGAAACCCTATGAATGTAATGAATGTGAGAAGGCCTCTTCTTGTCTTTCATAGGTGAAAAAGCACCAGAGAATACATACATGAAGGGACAAATCTTATGTATTTGAATAGCGTCTTTTTATTTAACAATCCTTATCTAACATCACCAAATTCACATTGCAGAGAAACTTCAGAAATATAAGAAATGTGGGAAACACTTTTACCTGTCCCTCAGCTATACTTTTTCATAACAGAATTTGTACAGGTGAGAAGCCTAATGAAAGCCCGATATGTGTAAAGATCTACTCTCACAATATACTCAACATTATATAATGTATAGTGTGATTAATATAGGAAATCCTTGATTTTGAAATTATCAATTATGGAATAGCAAACAATTTGTAAGTGAAGAAAATCCAGTGACTGTAAATTTTTTTACCTCATAATTCACAATTTATTAAGCATCAGAATTTATATGGAAAAAATAGAATATCAATTATTAATAAAAACATTACCACTAAAATTTTATTTGACTTATAGAGAATAGCATATAGAGAATAATCATGTTGACTTTGTGAATGTAGAAAAGCTTTTATCTATTACACGAATCTTTTTCAGCATCATTATACTTTCACCAGTTTCCACGTCTGTTTTATTACCAAGTAATTTAAACTGTATACTTCAGATTACAAATTTCTTACATTGTGATAAGGTTATTGTGAAGATTAAATGAGTTTATCCAAAGACTTTGGGAATAGTTATTGGCAAATAGAAACTATTCAGTAAATATTGGCTGTCATGATTATCACCTTCATTACTACTCTTGGAATATTTATATAAGAACATTTAATTATGCAGATTTTACTAATATAATGAAATCCACCATCACAATTTCTCTGACTGCAAATCTATGATAATTTATTCTGGAATGAAAATTATTAGAATATAGTGAGTATGAGGAAACATTCATTTAAATTTATTTTAGTTGAATCAGAAAATTCACTCTGGAAACACTGAATGGATATAGTAAGTAAATTTTTTTAGAGTAAAGTTGATATGAGAAGTGATATATCTGAAGCAAGTTTCAAAAAGCAGTGTACGTTTTCTGACAGTAACTCAAGACAGGCTGGGTGTGGTAGCTCATGCCTCTCATCTTAGCACTTTGGGAGGCCGAGGCAGGTGGATCACTTTAGGTCAGGAGTTCGAGACCAGCCTGGCCAGGCTGGGCCTGGTGGCTCACGCCTGTAATCTCAGTACTTTGGGAGGCTGAGGTGGGCGGATCACGAGGTCAGGAGATCAAGACCATCCTGGCTAACACAGTGAAACCCCATCTCTACTAAAAATACAAAAAATTAGCCAAGCGTGGTGGCGGGTGCCTGTAGTCCCAGCTACTCGGGAGGCTGAGGCAGGAGAATGGTGTGAACCCGAGAGGCGGAGTTTGCAGTGAGCTGAGATTGTGCCACTGCACTCCAGCCTGGGTAACAGAGCAAGACTCTGTCTAAAAAAAAAAAGAAAAAAACAATGAGACCAGCCTGGCCAACACGGCAAAACCTCATCTCTACTAAAAATACAAAAATTAGGTGGGTATGGTGGTGTGCACTTGTAGTCCCAGCTACTCGGGAGGCTGAGGCAGGAGAATTGCTTCAGCCTGGGAGATGGAGGTAGCAGTGAGCCGAGATCTCACCACTCCACTCCAGCCTGGGCAACAGAGTGAGATTTTATCTCAAAAAAAAAAACAAGACAAGTAGATACAAAAGGTAAATTTTAAAAATTTGCAGTTTATAAACACCACCATATATAGTTCTTGGATTAAGTGAAAAATGTAATCTGAAATAACAAGCTGTTTAGATATGAAAGATAGTGAGAGTGTTGCATAATAAAACCTGAGGTATATGGCTCATCTGAATAAACATTCAAGCAGAAAAGTAACAAACCCAAAATTGACGCTGGAAACGTATTCACAAATCAATCTGTTTATTCAGTGAATTTGAATGAATTACTTAAAAAGAAAATGAGCTAAACAGAAAGTGGACTTTATCTAAAAGTGGTTTGAAATAACCAGTAATATAGACTAAATTTGCCAGTTATGATTGAGATGAGTAAGAGAAATAACATAAATGCATCAGTGCAAATGGGAACATGGAAATTTTACAGGCATTTTTAATATTATGAATTATTTTGTTTAGTATTTCAATTAAATTTAAAATATCTATGGTAAACTTCATTTTACAGGAATATGTAAATGTTTCTAGTTGGTTCACTGAGGTATAGAAAATCTGAATGAAGCCAAACTTGAAGCTATAGAAAGTCTGAATGAAGCCAAAATGTGAAAACTTTACTCCACAAGGAAGAATCCATGCCAGTGATAAGCTTAATGAAATGTGTGGGAGCACCTTTATATTTTGCACAAATCATATGGAACATCAGAGAAATTTCACTGGAAAGAAATGCAGAGAATATAAGGAATGTGGCAGAGACTTTGGTCATAACTTTCAGTTAACTCAGTATCAAGTAAGTCATACTAATCAGAAACCCTATGAATGTTAGATATGGGGAAAGACCTTCAGAAAGGTCTTTCAAAAAAATTATCCCTTCAAAAACATTGAAAAATTAATCAAAGATAATTACCTTTAAAAGCTATTACTTAGGCCAGGCATGGTAGCTCACACCTGTAATTCCAGTGCTTTGGGAAGCCATGGCTGGTGTATTGTTTGAGGGCAGGAGCTTGATAACCAGCCTGGGCAAGATAGTGAGACCTCAACTCTATTAAAAAATTTTTTTTGGCAGGACATAGTGGAGCAGTTCCTCAGTCTTTTTGTCATTTACGACATTGACATTTTTGGAAAATACTGGCCATTTGTTTTATAAAACATCCTTCAATTTGAGCTTTTCTAATGTTTCCTAATTATTATATTCAGATTATGTATGCTTTGGCACCCATATACTGTACTACACTATACCATACTGTACTATATACACAGTGCTTTTCCATTTTATTTTATTTTATTTTTGAGAGGGAGTTTTGCTCTGTCACCCAGGCTGGAGTGCAGTGGTGTGATCTCAGCTCACTGCAACCTCTGCCTCCCAGTTCAAGCAATTCTCCTGACTCAGCCTCCCGAGTAGCTGGGACTACAGGTGCACGCCGCCACGCCCGGCTAATTTTTGTATTTTTAGTAGAGATGGGGTTTCGCCATAGTGGCCAGGCTGGTCTCAAACTCCTAACCTCAGGTAATCTGCCTGCCTTGGCCTCCCAAAGTGCTGGAATTACAGGCATGAGCCACCGTGCCCCAGCCTTTCCTTTTTTATTAACAGTGCATCACATTAGTGATGCTAACCTGTATCTCTTGATTAAAGTATTGTTGACCAGGTTTGTCCATTCTAAAATTATCATATTCCCCTTTTTAATTACTAAGTGTTTTGTGGGAAGATACTTTGAAACTGTAAATGATCAAAACCGCTAATTTTTGTATTTTTAGTAGAGATAGGGTTTCATGATGTTGGCCAGGCTGGTCTCAAACTCCTGATCTCATCATCCGCCTGCCTCGGCCTCCCAAAGTGCTGGGATTACAGGTGTGAGCCACTGCACCCGGCCCAGATTAGTATTTTCTAATTAAAAAAAAGTTTCAACTATAACAGTCCACTCACTTTTGGAATTACTGACAAGGTTTATGTCTATCAATGCTTTTATGTAATTTTCATTTAAGTTGCCTATTCTATATTCATTTTTCTTTCCTTACTTGTCTCCTAATTTTCATTGATTACTGGTAATTTTTATAGCTAGCTTCATAAAAAGACACAAAAGACATAAAAGTGTATCATAGAATTTTGGGATGCCACCATTGTCCATTTTTGGAAAAGTAATTTAATCTTATAGAAATAATTGATAAACATTTAATGGTGATTACCTGTTCCTTCCAAATTTGCTTGGTAAACACTATGTCATACTTAAAAATTTTTTTTTTGAGATGGACTCTCGCTCTGTCACCCACGCTGGAGTGCAGTGGCGTGATCTTGGCTCACTGCAACCTCCTTCCCCGGGGTTCAAGCAATTTTCCTGCCTCAGCCTCCCCAGTAGCTGGGACTACAGGCACCCACCACCATGCCTGGCTAATTTTTGTATTTTTAGTAGAGACGGATTTCCCTATATTGGCCAGGCTGGTCTCAAACTCCTGACTTTGTGATCTGCCCACCTCAGCCTCCCAAAGTGTTGGGATTACAGGTACATGTATATGCCACCATGGCTTTTTTTTTTTTTTTTTAAGAGACAGACTCTTGCTGTGTCACCCAGGCTGGAGTGCAGTAGCACAATCTCAGCTCACTGCAACCTCCACCTCCTGGGCTCAAGCAATCCTCCTGCCTCAGCCTTCCGAGTAGCCGAGACCACAGGTGCATGTCACCATGCCCAGCTGTTGTTTTTTTATTTTTAGTAGAGACAAGGTCTTGCTATGTTGTCCAGGCTCATCTCCAACTTCTGGCCTCAGGCGATCTACCCACCTCAGCCTCCCAAAGTCCTGGGATTACAGGCATGAGCCACAGCACCAGCCATGCCTGGCTAATTAAAAAATATTTTTTTGTAGTGAAGGGTCTTGCTATGTTGCCCAGGCTGGTCTCAAACTCCTGGCCTCAAGTTATTGTCCTGCTTCAGCTTCCCAAAGCACTGGAATTACAGGCATGGGCCCTGTTCCCTGACAGTATTGGTTAATTGTAACAAATGTATCATATTAAGGTAAGTGTTACTACTAGGGGAAACCTGGTGTGAGTGTATGAAATTGTCATATCTTTGTGTCTTACATAAATCTAAAACCATTGTAAAAAATAGTTCATTTAGCAAAAAAATTAATGACTTTTTTTTTTTTTGGCTTTTGTAACCAAAAAGTCCAAAGATAAATGGAGCTTCAGGTATGGCATGATCAAGATGTTCACTATGTCATCAGGTTTCAACACTGAACACTCAGCTCTCCCTTTGCCAGTGTTTTGGCTTTGGCTTGAGGCTAATTTCCTCATGACTGCATCAGTTCCAGGCCTCCTATCTGGACATATCCCCTCCAGTACAAGAGGGAGAGCACCTTTGCCTGGCATTCCAAAATAATCCTCTGAGATTCACCTTGACTGGGTCAAGTTAATTGATACGCCCAATTGTAAACCAAGAGCTTTGGCTTGCAGGGAGCCCTCCCTACACAGAGGCACACACTGTCCCACATCTTTTGAGCTCCAGATGTCAAAGCTCCGAGTGTGGCTCGGACCTGCTTCCCTTCTCTCTCATCATCTTGGGTCCAGTTAACCCCATCACCAACAACCTGGGAAAGGGGAAAAAACAGGACCTCATGGCCAAAGGCTGTTCGCTGCTTATGGCACCCCTGCAACTGGACCGGAGACTCTTGCCAGGGCTGGCATGTACAGGTACAAGCCACACTTACACTCCATTCATGACTCAATAATGACTTCACTTCAATCTCATAGTGAAATCCCCAACTGCTTCCACACCACCAAGTCCCCAGCACAGGCAACACCTCTCCTAGGGAAGTCCCAGCCAACAAGCTCTGCCATTCTTCTACCTGCAATTCTGCCCTGAAAATGTCTGGGCCTCAGTTCCGTGAAACAGGCCGGGCAATTTCTGCCCTACTGTGTAGCCACTTGAGAAATCAAGTCAAAGAATTTACTCACATACTGACATCCTGCAGGGTAAAGCTGTACCCTTTTTTTTTTTTTTTTTTTTGAGATGGAGGCTTACTCTGACACCCAGGCTGGAGTGCAGTGACATGATCTTGGCTCACTGCAACCTCTGCCACCCGGGTTCAAACGATTCTCCTGCCTCAGCCTCCTGAGTAGCTGGAATTACAGGCGCCTGCCACTATGCCTGGCTAATTTGTGTATTTTTAGTAGAGATGGGGTTTCACCATAATGGCCAGGCTGGTCTCAAACTCCTAACCTCAGGTGACCCACCTGCCTTGGCCTCCCAAAGTGCTGGGATTACAGCCGTGAGCCACTGTGCCCAGCCAAGGCTGTACCTTTTATGGGTTGTCAGCAGCTCAATGTCTTGCTATTAAAACAAGAGGTTTAGTAGATATATCCAAACATGAGAAGAGTGGGGCACAGGATTCTACTCCAGACAGCAACACCAGCTATGCGGGCTCCTTCCCCACAGGGGTCACAGCAGTCCTGGGACGGATCACTGTAGAAGAAACCAGCACTCACACACCAGGACTCTGTTTATGAGCTCACTCTGAGATCTACCTGCCCCACTCTCCTACTCCAAGAGAAGGCTTATCATTGGTCCTGCTTCTTGTACCTTGCATGGAAATTCTGTCTTCAAAGGCAACCCTGTAGTAATTGAAGCAAAGCAGATGTCTGATGCGTCAGAGTGACCCTGGACCAGGCGGCATCCCATTGATTGGCAATGCCCAGCTGACCATGGGGCTTCTGGGATGGAAAATTCATGGAACAGGACAGTACATCAGATTCCTGTCAAGAGCCCTCTCCATATACTTAGTAATAATAATAATAATAATAATTTTATAGTTGGTGAAAAGGTAACACATGTTCATAGTTCTTTTCAAAAGCAAATCAAACTGTTAAAAAGCATGTCCCATTAAAGGTAAGTTTCTCTCCTGTTCTGACCAGTCCTTCAGTTCTATCCCAGTCCCAGAAATCCACTTAATCATTTTCTTGCATCTCATTCCAGATATCCCATCCGTACACAAGCACATGTATGCATCTAAGTGTACTTCCTATTTTTTGCACATTTCTAGTTTTTTTTTACTTAAACAATTGTTATTCAATTCCCATATTAAACTTTCTTAGAGACTATTTTATTTTTATTTTTCTATTTCTGAGACAGGGTCTCACTCTATTACCCAGGCTAGAGTGCAGTGGCATGACCACAGCTCACTGCAGCCTCAATTTCCTAGGCTCAAGCCATTCTCCCACTTCAGCCTCCTGAGTAGCTGGGACTACAGGTGCATGCCACCATGCCTAGCTAATTTTTAAAATTTTTTGTAGAGATGGGATCTCATTATGTTACCCAGGCTGGTCTCCAACTCCTGAGCTCAAGCAATCCCCCTGCCTAGGCCTCCCAAAGTGCTAGGATTACAGGCATGAGCCACCACTCCCAGCATCTTAGAGACTTTTTTTTTTTTTTTTGAGAGAGAGAGAGAGGGTCTCACTCTATCACCCAGGCTGGAGTGCAGTGGCATGATCTCAGCTCACTGCAACCTCCGCCTCCCAGGTTCAAGCAATTCTCCTGCCTCGGCCTCCTGAGTAGCTGGGATTACAGGCGTGTACCACCACATCTGGCTAATTTTTGTGTTTTCAGTAGAGATGGGGTTTCGCCATGTTGGCCAGGCTGGTCTCGAACTCCTGACCTCAAGTCATCTGCCTGTCTCAGCCTTCCAAAGTGCTGGAATTACAAGTGTGGCGCCCAGCCTCTTAGAGACAATTTTATATCTACATGTATAGACCTAAAGAGTAACCAGATTATGTAACATTCAAAGCAGTATGCTTTTGAGAGTGAAAGTGGGTGATATCATTTACTCCAGGACAAGGACATAAACCAGGACTGTCCTCAACAAATACAAACATACAGTTATCCTAGATAATTATAATCCAATGCACAAAGGTATCCAATTTTTATAACCAGTGACCCATTGATAATTGTAGGATGCTTTCAGACTTCTGCTATTGCAGTGAGTATCCTTGAATGTACAGTGTGTGTGTCTTTGCACACTGTTCCCAATGCCTGACATATATTAAGTAACTTAACCTCACAACAGCCCCATGATTTACCCAAGCAATAGGCACTAATATTATCTCCACATGACAGGTAAGGCCTCTGAATAGTTCCAAATAGGAAGAGTGGTTGTTTGTGGAAATGTTTCTGGTTGTTATAGTGTTTAGGGTGAGTCAGGGGGAAGAGGGAAGACGTGATGGTCCTGCAAGCCTAGGATGACCTGATGTCCTGCTTTGCCTGGGACAGTCTGGCCAATGCCTGCTGTCCACATGTTAATGACAGCATCTCCTTTGACTTTTTTTTTTTTTTTAGACAGAGTTTCCCTCTGACACCCAGGCTGGAGTGCAATGGCACAATCTCGGCTCACTGCAACCTCCACCTCCTGGGCTCAAGTGATTCTTGTGCCTCAGCTTCCCGAGCAGCTGGGATTATAGGCGTGTGCCACCAAGCCCAGCTAATTTTTGTATTTTTAGTAGAGATGGGGTTTCACCATGTTGGCCAGGATGGCCTCAGGATCACCTGAGGTCAAGAGTTTGAGACCAGCCTGGCCAACATGGTGAAACCCCGTGTCTACTAAAAATACAAAAATTAGCTGGGCATGGTAGCGTGCGGCTTTAGTCCCAGCTACTTGGGGAAGCTGAGACAGGAGAATCGCTTGAACCCGGGAGGCGGAGGTTGCAGTTAGCCGAGATTGCACTGCTGCACTCCAGCCTGGGTGACAGAGCAAAACTCCATCTCAAAAATAAAATGGAAAAGCACTGTGTATATAGTACAGTATGGTATAGTGTAGTACAGTATATGGGTGCCAAAGCATACATAGTCTGAATCTAATTAGGAAACATTAGAAAAACTCAAATTGAAGGATATTTTACAAACAAATGGCCAGTATTTTCCAAAAATATCAATGTCATAAATGACAAAAAAGACTGAGGAACTGCTCTAGATGAAAGACTAAATATACTTATCAGCCAAATTCAATCAGTGATAATACAATGAATTCTAGACAAATAAAAAAGTGCTATTCAAGAATACTGCAGGTACAACTGGCAAAATATATTAATAAAGGGCATTCATTAGATTTTTGTAATATTAAATTTCCTGATTTTAATACTTAATGGTAAAGTAACTAAATGTCTTTGAGCTTAGGACAGACTCACTTCAGTAATTAGATGTAAAGGGTATGATTGGAATTTACTCTCATGTGGTCCACTAAAAAATATAAATATGGACAGAGTATGATAAGGCACATGTGGAAAACCATGAACAACTGGTGAATCTGGGGGAAGGCTATAGGAGAATGAAAATTCAAAATTATTTCAAAATAAAAAATATGTCACATTGAGTTTTAGGAGTGTAAATTTTTTCCTATGTAAATATTAGCCAAAAACATATTAAGAGACCTTCATATTTTATGAAGTTATGGTACAAGAATTAGTTTCATTATTTTCATTCATTCAACTGTAAACACATTTATACATTCTCTTGTGTATCTGTAATTTTTCAGAATTAATTTTAAAAAATAATAATTGGGCTAAAAAAGGAGTGAAAATACTGAAACAGCTAGAGAACATCTCTCAGCAAGTTGGAAGTTAAGACCAAGGGTTTTTTTCAGAATACAACCTGATGAATTTGAAAGGAATAGAAAACTGTAAATAAAAAGGTAGAAAATACACCCTGAGAAGTCATCAGAAGAAACTGATAAAGATAAAAGTGGAAATTAATGAAACAGAAAACAAAAGCAGTAACTAAAAGAAATAAGCTGGTGTAAAAAAAAAAAGTCCGGTACAAGCAAAATCTTACTTAAAAGAGTAATGAAAGGCTTCTCCATAAACAGAGTAAGTAGATGCATTGATTTCCCATTTCTCCTCTGCAAAAAAAAAATATTAAAATGAATATATTAAGTAAAGGAATATAAAAAGTATTAACATGTAAGAACCAAAGAAAATGAGGAGGGAGACTGCAAAAACAAAACAACAACAACAACAAAAAAAAACGCACACACAAAAACAGGAGAACTGTCCAAGAATTCTGGTATGAAAGGGCTTAGGAGTCAGATTTCTATTAATGAGGCAATTCAATGCATAAACCCCTGGAAGCTCAGGCACCAAAGAGCATGACCCTGGAGAGATGTGGATCTGGAAACAGGAGATTGGTTGAAAGTTTGAACACAAACTGGCTGTTCACCTTTTTTACTTTTCCTCTCTTATGTGATCAAATACACTAAATTGGGGTAGGGGGGTGATCTGTGGATAAAATGACCCAGAGAGGATGTATACCTGCATAAAGAAAGACAGAACTGAGTCATAGGCAAACTAAATGAAAAACTACACTCAAAACTGGGGGCCTCTGAGAGGTCTTTGAGGTCTCAGACATCACTAACTCACTGTCCTCAAAGGAGGAACTAAAGAACAGCTCACATCTCCCAATGAAACGGCTGGCTCTGAAGTCAGGTTGAGAAGATTCACTCCATGACTAGAGGCAAGGATTACCACACATTTCAGGGAAGTATCCAGTATAAAAAGAGAACAATTCAAACTTTTTTGTAAAGGGGGAATTTGATTTGGATATAAAAGACAAAAATAGATTAAAAAAAAAAGCACCAGAAAACTTTAAACTAATTGCCCTCTGAGAGATTAGAGGTTTTATTGCATCCATAATAAAAACGAAAGGCTATGAAGAAATAAAAATTACAGAATATAAAGGAGCTCTTGGAAATTAGAAATGATTATCAAATTAAAAATAAATACAATTGTACTGTAAAGTCAACAAAATTTCCCAAAGTAAGAGAAAAAGAGAAAAAATAGGAGACAAAACATACAGCTCATGAAAAGTCCTTCCATGAAATACAAATTCCAGGACAAGAGAACAAAAATTCAGAAGGATAGAGGACTGTCAAAAAAGAAAAAGAGGAAGAAAAATGTTCAGACCTATAAAGTGCTGCCCTATAACTAGCAGAAAAAAATGTTTAAACATACATGCCAAGTGCATAAATTATGAAATGTAAGTGCATTGTGGATTACAGGTGGCAATAGGTATCTGGGCGTTGGTGGGAGTGGGACATGAAATTAAAAAGGAACAGAAAACAATTGGTATTAGACTTGACAACATTAGCTACTAGAACACTGTGAAGTGACGCCTCCAAATTCTGAATCTAGGCAAAGTGTGAAGGCAGAATAAAGACATTTTCAGGCCCAGCGCGGTAGCTCACGCCTGTAATCCCAGCACTTTGGGAGGCCTAAGTGGGCGAATCACCCGAGGTCTGGAGTTCGAAATCAGCCTGGCCAACATGGTGAAACCCCATCTCTACTTAAACTATAAAAAAAAAAAAAAAAAAAAAAAAATGGCCAGGCGTGGTGGTGCACGTCTTTAATCCCAGCTACTCGGGAGGCTGAGGCAGAAGAATCGCTTGAACTGGGGAGGCAGAGGTTGTAGTGAGCTAAGATTGCACCACTGCACTCCAGCCTGGACAACAGAGTGAGACTCCGTCTCAAAAAAAAAAAAAATTTCAAACATGAAAGAACTAAAAAACATCTTTAATACATGCATCTTAAGGAACTTATTGGAAAAGAACTTTAGCAAAAATTAGCTGAATTCTAGGAAACAAGAATCAAACTTAGGAAAACAATGACGGTAAATTTTAGGACAACTGTACAGTCCAATTGCAGCCACAGAATGGAAGAGAGATTCTACTCCGATGTTTGAACCACTGAAAAAATAATCGATGAACATTTAACATATCTGTTGGAACATTTCTAAAAAATAGCAACAAGTACAAAGAAAACCAATAAATCCTTGATAAACAAACTCATGTAAGAAATGTACTTGGTTTTAAAGAGAAAATAATTGACGTAATTAGTACATATACTCCACATATTCACTTAACCAAAACTTGAGATATCTGGAAGAGATCAAGGAGAAAGAAGAAAGTTTTAAATATTTTAAATGAAGTATTACAATGAACATTTTTATTACTAAAGGTATTTTTAGCTACGAAAATGAGGCTGATCTTTCAACTAAAGATCAAAGAAACTTACTATCCAAGAATGCTTGGAGACATTGAATTTATCCAAGAGTTCATCCAGGAACAAAGGGGAAAAAACAAATCTCATTTGTTAGAATATTCCAAGACCAGGTATGGAAGAAAATAAAATGCCTCTCCCTCCCGTTTCATGGTGTCCTATTCAATTTTCTGACACAGTCCTACAATTCCATCATTTGGAAGTAATAGCAACCTTATTCCTTTCCAATTTTTTTTCCTGCAATTATTTTACTTGCCTAACACCACAGTCCTGAGGGCACACAAGGGCCAGATGCAGATAATCAAAATCCCAACACTCAGTTTCATAGGGACCCACAAACCGTCTCCATGGAAAACCAGAACCAGAAGCGCTGCCCTATCAGAAGGATTCTGGAAATAACGCTGGATGAGGCAGAGCCACAGTCACAGATCCGATGTCAGGTACGTCACAAACGCAGACACAAACCGCAAAGACCCCAGAGACCCGCTACAGCCAGCGTCAGAGTCAGGCACCACCGCGCAGCCTTCTCTGCGGCACCATCCTAATCCCCCGCTAGAGAACGGCACACGCGCACGCAGCAGCCCCGTGCACGGAAACACTACTCCGCCAGCGGCCAGGCACTCGGTCCAGGTACGCGGGGGCGCGGCGGCCGTCACTCAGCAAACACCACAGGCAGCACGCGCCGCGCCTTGGTCCAGGCTCGCGATACTGGGGTTTCCTCCATCCAACTCACGCCAGGGTCACGGCTACAGGCCTAGATTTGAACACTCCATCCCCATCGGGATCCTGTAGCCAACCTCCACCCTCCTCCAAACCTCCCGACCCCTCGGCAGGTGCGGCCCCACACTTCTCCCTTGCTCCCTGAAGGGCCCCAGCGTTCGCCCCCCGCGCGCTTGCGCACTCGAGGCAGAAGCCGATTTCCAAAGGTTCCGGTGAGGCGTCGCTGGGGGCGGGGCGGGGCTCGCAGCCTCCGCCTGTCTCCGAGCCGAGAACCAAATGAAAAATAAAAAGGCGGAATATTGTTTTTTTAAATTTTGGACCGCAGTGTCCACAGGGGAGCAGGCCTGGATTATCTTTAATGGCACTGGTCAGTCACGGGGCGGCCATTACAGGTAGAGGCCTGAGGCGAGGGACACTGCGGCCCCTCTGGCTCCGTCTCCCCGGCCCGACTATCCCCGCCGAGACCCGGCCCCACGCGCCCCTCCCGGCCCGGAGCAGCTGCGGGACTTGCCTCCGCCCCCCCGCGCGCTAGCGCATTCGCGACGGAGACAGGCGCTCTCCCGTATTCTGGCGCCGCTGACTCCCAGGGCTGGGCTATCCTCTGAGTCGGGTGAGGCTGGGGCTGGGAGCCGGGCGCCACTGTGGCCGCTGCTTTTCTGAGGGAAAAGAGCGCGGAGTGGGCCAGGTTTTGCAGGCCGGGCCAAGGTGGAGAAAAGGTTCCTGTGGAGCCTCAGGCCGGTGTGCTTTTTTTCCCGGGACTGAGCTTCTGCAGCCCTGAGGCCTGGAGGCCCGGGCGGTAGTAACTGTGCCGGACCAGGTTCGTGGGTGCGGCCTGTGGTGCAGTTGGAGACCGAGGCCCCGCGCATCCTCGTCCGCGCTTCAGCCACTTAGGCTCGGCCGTAGCGAAAAGGCCCAAGAGGGAAGTCAGAGGTGAACGCCCCAGGATGAAGGTCCCCTGCAAAACGCTGGGACCTAGATTTGGGGTGGGTGTCTGGGGTCTAGGAGGACACGCTGGACAGTTCCGAAAAGACACAGTGGGTGGTCCCGGGCGTGGGCAACCGGGTGCGGAACTACAGCGTACCCGGAGCTGCGAACCCAGACGCGGGTGACTGCTGACCCTCTGCCCTGTCGTTTCCATTTGTGCATGCAGGTGGCGGTTAGTTGGGGCCAGGGAAGCGTGGAGGGTGGGTTCCAATCGAGTCAAGAAAAGCCTGGGGTGTCCTGAACTCTGCCTGCTTCCCCAGCCCTGCCAGTTTCCAGAGAAGGCGCTTGAGAAGGAGAAACGAATCGCTGCTGCTCTTCTAAAAGCCGGTTCCCTGTGAGTTCGTGCTGCTGCTTTGTTTCTGTGAAATGCATTCGAGTT
The DNA here is from genome assembly GCF_000001405.40 of Homo sapiens. Taxonomy (NCBI): domain Eukaryota; kingdom Metazoa; phylum Chordata; class Mammalia; order Primates; family Hominidae; genus Homo; species Homo sapiens. The sequence continues at coordinate 37,654,666 of NC_000019.10, read as the reverse complement.
CCTTCCGTTTAAAATCCTGCTTAGGAATGATCTATTTATTCATTGATTTGGGCCTTAGGATTTCCCTACCTAGTTAACGGCAGGGGACCTAATTAATAGATTTCCCGTTGTTAGTGCCCACTTCATGCTGTTCTATAGTTAGACACATGGTTAGTTAACTGTAGGCTGCAAATTCAATTACTCTGTGAGCGCTGTTTTTCTAAGGATCTTGATGATATGGAAATACCCGTGCTGGAGATTAATGTTCATACTTTGTTTTTATTTGTTTTTTAGGGTTTAGATATGTTTAATGGTTCTGGGGTAGGAGTGGAGATTTCTTTTTTTCCAGGAAATTCATGAGTGGAAGTTTTTGGTACCAGCCAGATGTGGTTTGAGGTCTGGCAGCATGAGTTTATTTTGGGTATATCTTGGATCGACTGAGGGAGGTGTAGTGTAGTGGTTAAGAATTTCGAGCCTAGATTAAGTGGAATTGAATCCTGACTGCCACTTAAATCTGAACGAGTTTAAGCAATCTGTGCTTCAATTTCCTCAGAATTGTAATAGTGTATACTTTACGGTGTTGTTTTGAAGATTACATGAATTAATATTTGTGAAGCTCTTAGGAGAGTGCCTGGCACATAGTGAGTCCTTAATTCATACTAGCTACTGGTATTAAAATGATGATGCTCAGTCATTTCCTATCAGCTTTGTGTATTTCCAAGACCAATGCAAATGTGAAGGTAATTATGATGGATGCTTGCAAGCAGGAAAATGAGCCAGACCCTGCAGTGGACCAGAACAGGGATTGGTAACATAAGTCCTTGGACTCTGTTTATGAGCTTTCAGGGCAACAAAGATATTTTAAGATTATATACAGAATTGTTGTATGTATTTGTAAATGGTTAATTTTTTCAGTGGAGCGAGGAAGTCTATCATTTCATGGTATTATCAGAGTTGTATAAGCTCCAACAACATTGATTCTCACTGTCTAGAAATGAAATAACTGGTAATGACTTTCGGGATGTTCTTTTATAAAATTAATATCTAGCAGTATGGAAATGGTTAAATCACACTCCATGTGATGGAATGTTATGCAATAATAAGAATTTTGTTTATATTTAGTCATAAGAAAAAAGTATAATGTAATATTGAGAAGTATTGTTGTAAATAAGAATCATCAAGAAATTGTTACATATGAATCTTGTATACTACAATAAAGGTTTTTAAGTTATTTTGCAACAATGTAATATTTAAATATTAAATTGCTAGGTATTTAATGATTAGTTATTTATTGGAGCTGAGGAGGGGTAAATGCAAGTTATTAAGTAGCTGCTGTGAAATGAGCATTTGTTTTTGTCTGCAGTTCTTACTGGCTCTTAATCACTTTGGAAATGACATGAACCAGGATTGTAATCCTTCACAGAACTATTTCAGGGTCTTGATGAGATACAATACTCAGGAACTGGTAGAAATTATTTTTTCAGTCACACTGATTTCCCTGTTGTCACCATTTATGCAGGGCCTGTTTAATCACAATTTTCTTTTTTCTTTCTTTTTTTTTTTTTTTTTGAGACGGAGTTTTCGATTTTGTTGCCCGGGTTGGAGTGCAATGCCGAAATCTCAGTTCACTGCAACCGCTGCCTCCCGGGTTCAAGCGATTCTCCTGCCTCAGCCTCCCAAGTAGCTGGGATTACAGGTGCCCGCCACCATGCCAGGCTAATTTTTTGTATTTAGTAGAGACGGGGTTTCACCATGTTGGTCAGGCTGGTCTTGAACTCCTAACCTCAAGTGATCCACCTGCCTCGGCCTCCCAAAGTGTTGGGATTACAGGCGTGAGCCACCGCACCTGGCCCACAATTTTCTTAATGACTGTAAGGTAGCCTATCTTCCCAGTCATTTAAAATTTTTTGGAATAGCTTTTTAAAATATTTCTGATGACAGAATTAATACAAGCTTGTGAAATATTAGTAACTACGGAACCTATAAAGAAAATTAAAATGATCAATGGTCCCAATGTCCAGAAATAATAATTATTAATGTTTTAGAGCATATTTTCCCAAAATATTTCTACAAGTCTGTGTGGTTTTGTGTGTGGTTTTATTTATTTATTTATTTTTTTGAGGTGGAGTTTCGCTCTTGTTTCCCAGGCTGGAGTGCAGTGGCGCGATCTTGGCCCACTGCAACCTCCGCCTCCCGGGTTCAAGTGATTCTCCTGCCTCAGTCTCCCAAGTAGCTGGGATTACGGGCACCTGCCATCACGCCCAGCTAATTTTTTGTATTTTTAGTAGGGACAGGGTTTCACTATGTTGACCAAGCTGGTCTCGAACTCCTGACCTCAGACAATCCACCTGCCTCAGCCTCCCAAAGTGCTGGGATTACAGGTGTGAGCCACCGTACCCGGCTGGTGGTTTTCTCTCTGAAGAACAGGCTAATACTAATTGCAAATTTAAAAGAAACTAAGACCTCTAGTTCTTAGTTTAAAAGAGGAATTCAGTGCTCTTGTGGATTATATGACTCCATGGATGTATGGAGAAAAGTGACATCCCAGTGATCCACTTCTGGTTTGACAGACCTTCCAAATATTTACAGTTCTTCAAATTATGGAAATTTCAGTTAAGTTGAGATTTAAATCTGATTTTAAAATTAATTTTAAAATCTCAGAATTGAAATTTTAAGAGTTTTTTTCATCTGTTCAAGTCTGTTTCCCTTTAATGGTCTAAAAAATCTAATCATATATTGTTTTGTAAACTTTTTTTTTCTTTCAGTGTATCTTGAATATTTTCCTTTCCTTAACTGTTTTCTAAAATTTAGCATTTAGTGATTACCTTAGTATTCCATTTTATGGATGTTTTGTAAATTTTTTAAGAAATGACTTATTGGACAGGAATATTCCAAACTGCCCAAGCAATTCCTTCAGGAGGATTTCTGGCTCCTATGACTTGATCAACTTTTCACCTCAGAGTCATGTGAATTTCAGAGTTAGGCATATTTAGGAATTGACTTTTGCCAGGTGGGATACAGGTATTTGAAGTATTTGACTGTATTTCTGAAGGATTGATTTTTCATTCTTAGAATATAAAATAGACAGCTGTGCTATTTTTTTTTTTTTTTTGAGATGGAGTCTTGCTCTGTCGCCCAGGCTAGAGTGCAGTGGCGTGATCTCGGCTCACTGCAACCTCCGCCTCCCGGGTTCAAGCAATTCTCCTGCCTCAGCCTCCCAAGTAGCTGGGACCACAGGCACATGCCACCATGCTCAGGTAATTTTTTGTATTTTTAGTAGAGATGGGGTTTCACCGTTTTAGCCAGGATGGCCTTGATCTCCTGACCTCGTGATCTACCCGCCTTGGCCTCCCAAAATGCTGGGATTACAGGTGTGAGCCACTGTGCCCGGCCAGCTGTGCTATTTTATACCAGGAGCTTCATCCTTCAATTACATGATTCGGGGAAATGAATTAATGATAATTTCTTAGAAAACTAAACTTACAAAAAACAAGATCATTTTAATCTCAGAAAAAAAAGTCATATGCAAAAAAGGCAAAATAACCTGAGTATACTGCATAGTTCAGTTGGTAACAATGTTTAGTCACAGTAATGTAAACTGAATTTAAAAACTGATTTACTCTGAAATAGAATAAAACCATATTGAGGCTGGGTGCAGTGGCTCACACCTATAATCCCAACACTTTGGGAGGCCGAGGCTGGTGGATCGATCACATGAGCCCAGGAGTTCAAGACCAGCCTGGCCAACATGACAAAACCCCATCTCTACAAAAAACACAAAAATTAGCTGGGCGTGGTGGTGTGTGCCTGTAATCCCAGCTACTCGGGAGGCTGGGACAGGCAGAGAATCGGTTGAACCCAGGAGGCGGAGGTTGCAGTGAGTTGAGATTGTGCCACTGCACTCCAGCCTGGGTGACAGAGTGAAACTCTGTCTCAAAAAAAAAAAAAAGGAAAAGAAAATCATATTGAAAGGACAAAGGGACTGCAACTATGCATATGTGGGTGGGAGTTGAGTAGGTAAAAGACAGCTAAAACTATGCCTCTTATAGTAGTAAGTGAATATGTAATGATTACAACTGAAAATTCAGAAGTGGAAATATTAGCATGTTTTTTAAATACCAAAAGGAATGGCTAATAGAGGTAAAAATTACTGCCTCTAGATTTGGAAGATGGGGCAGAGTAGCAGGGATGGAACTGTTGGAGCTTTTTGTGATATTCCTTGCATAGCTGTTTTGAATTTTTGTTCAGGTATAAGTGATAAAAATTTTTAATTAAAAAATTCAGGCCAGGTGCAGTGGCTCAAGCCTGTAATCCCAGAACTTTGGGAGGTGGAGGCAGGTGGATCACTTGAGTCCAGGAGTTTGAGAGCAGGCTAGGCAACATAGACTGCATCGCGGTAAAAAATAGCCAGGGTGGTGTCATGTGCCTTTAGTCCCAGCTACTCAGGAGGCTGAGGTAGGAGGGTCGCTTGAGCCCTGGAAGTGGAGGTTGCAGTGAGCTGAGATCCGAGATTGCACTTTAGCCTGAGCGACAGAGCAAAAGCCTGCCTAAAAAAAAAAAAAATGTAAAGATTCCAGGGAAGAACAAATAAAGATCACCTAGGACTGGGATACCATCAAGTAAAGGTAACAATAAAATTTTATTCCAATTCACAGATCATTTTATACACATGCATATACATGTATGCATGTGTATGTAGTTTACCTGCCGAAATACAATTACATTACAATCATATTTTCTAACCTGTCTTCTTCCCCCAACAATATGTAGTGGCCATCTTCCCATGACATCAAATATGAATTTTATCTTCATTTTTAATGGGTGTTTATTTTTCTTTTTTTTTTCTTTTCTTTCTTTTTTTTTTAAGACGGGGTATCACTCTATTGCCCAGGCTGGAGTTCAGTGGCATGAACGGGGCTCACTGCAGCCTTGACCTCCTGGGCTCAGGCGATCCTCCCACCTTGACCTCCCAGGGAGCTGGGACCACAGGTGTGCACCACCATGCCCCGTTAATTTTTTGTAGAGATGGAGTTTTGCCATGTTGGCCAGGCTGGTCTTGAACTCCTGGACTTATTAAGCGGTCACCTGCCTTGGCCTCCCAAAGTGCTGGGATTACAGGTGTGAGCCACTGCACTCGGCTGTTTAATTTTCCATTGTGTGAATGCATGATAATTTATTTGACATTGCTGAAGGACATTTAGGTTCTTTCCAGCTTTTTTGGTCCCATTTTAAACACTCTATCCACATATTATTTCATTCTTTGTACATCATATCATTGAGTATCCATTTCCCCAACAGCTTAGTAACTATGAGGTGTCATAGCTTTTTGAAATCTGCCAATCCAGTTCCTTCAATATGCTCTCTAGTTACGAGTAGATTTTGACTGATAAGCTGATAGGTTATTTCTTTTTCCTATTTTGTTCTTTTTTTTTTTTTTTTTTAAGAGACAGGGTCTTACTTTGTCACCCAGGCTGGAGTGCAGTGGAAAGATCATAGCTCACTGCAGCCCTGAACTCCTGGGCTCAAGCAATTCTCCTGCCTCAGCCTCCCAAGTAACTAGGGATACAGGCAGGTGCCAACACACCCAGCTAATTTAAAAAAATTTTTTTGTTGTTAGAGACAGTATCTTACTATGTTGTTGAGGCTGGTTTTCAATTCCTGGCATCAAGCAATCCTCCCATCTGGGCCTCCCAAAGTGCTGGGACTACAGGCATGAGCCACTGCACCCAGCCTATTTCTAGCTTCTAGAACATTATCCACACTCAGGCTTCATAAATTTACTTCTCTAAGTCTGAGTACCAAGAAAGATTGCTTGGTAATTGAGATCATGCAGGCAATATTGATGATCCTGAATAGGAAAATAAGGAGCAGAGAGCTCTGAGTTAAGCCTTGGGGAAGGGATCCCAATGTGCACCTGCAGTTTTGCCATAATAAAGGCTGCTATATAGCCTTTCTACAGGTGTTTTATACCTGTGGTTCTCAAAGTGTGGCATCTGGACCAGCAGCATCAGCATCACCTGGAAACTTTTTAGAAATGCAAAGTCTCAAGTCCAATCCCAGACGTACTGAATGCCAAACTCTGGGAGTGAGACCTAGCAAGTTGTGTTTTAAGAAGCCCTCTGGGTGATTCTGATGCATACTAAAGTTTGACTACCAAACTTTGCTGCCCATTATAAGCACCCATGGGAGGAGGAGGTAGTTAAAAAAAAAATCCTAAATCCCACGTCACACTAATTAAATCAGTGTGTTTAAGGGTGGGAGCCAGGCAACAGTATATTTTAAAGATATCCAGGTGATTCCAATTTGAGCAAAGTTTGGGAAATTCTTGTCTATGCTATTTTTTGTCTTCATGTTTGGGGAGGCCAGCCAGATTCCTAAGGCCAAGAAGGAAGTTTTGGTTTAGATGGTGTAGCCCCTTTTCAGCTGGGAAGGTGGGGATGGAGGGAGGAGGATCTGTTCAGGACAGGTCTGCACAACCCATTCTTTGGTCCAAACCAGCCCGCCTTGGGGTCAGAGCTGGGGACCAACTGGCAGCCCTCCTGCTGAAGTGTCTAGACATATGCTTTGATGCCGCAGAGTCTCTGCTCTTCAATTCCTTGTGCAGCTGAGCTGATTTCGCTGTGGTTTTGGGGAGGACATCTTTGTCTAAACTACCTCTTACCTATCAAAACTTGTCTGTGTGTTGGGGGTGGGAGTTGCATATAGGAATGGAGAAGTAGTACCAGTTTTTAAAATTTGGAAACTCTGAGGCAGTTCTCTTCTCATGATTTTACATGTTCTTTCTGCAGCTCTGGTGTCTGTGGACCCTGCTTCTGAAGTACATGAACCTTGAGGAAAATTGACCAGTTCTAGCAGTTCTAAAATCATGGCTCGTGTAAGTTGGAATTTCTCTCTACTTTGGAATTCTGTCATTTTTTTCAGGTTATGTGAACATTCTCATTTGTTATTCTGCAACTTTCTAACAGAGCCCCATTCAACAGCTTCTCCCCAGTCTTCCCCATTCCAGCACGGGATGGAGCCAGCCAGATTCCTAAGTGCCCCTGTCTTCTCCATCTGTATCTGTATTAGTCCATTTTCACGCTGCTGATAAAGACATTCCTGAGACTGGGTAATTTATAAGGAAAAAGAGGTTTAATGGACTCACAGTTCCACATAGCTGGGGAGACCTTACAATCATGGTGGAAGGTGAAAGGCATGTCTTACATGGTGGCAGGCAAAGAGTGAATGAATGCCAAGAGAAAGAGGAAACCCCTTATAAAATCATTAGATCCCGTGAGACTTACTCACTGCCATGAAAACAGTATAGGGGCAACTGCCCCCATGATTGAATTATCTCCCACCGGCTCCCTCCCACAACACATGGGAATTATGGGAGCTACAATTCAAGATGAGATTTGGGTGGGGACACAGCCAAATTGTACCAGTATCCATGTGTGCATTGACCAAATCATTCAGCATCTCTTGTGTGCTCCTTATCTGTCTAGAGCAGAGATGGGGCAGAAATGAAGTTCCTAGAAGTGGGCATTTTATCTGAAATTCTCAGGATTAAAATAGCACTGTCCAAAATAATTGTAATTCAAGCTACAAATATAATTTAAAATTTTCTAGTAGTCAAATTTTAAAAGTGTAGACTAGTATGCAAGGTCAAATATTTTAAATACTTTAGTAGTCACATTAAAAAAAGTAAAAAGAAACACATGTAGTTTATTTTAATGTCTTTTATTTAACCCAATATGGCCAAAATATTATTTCACAGTGTAATCAATATAAAAGTCATGGTCAGGCCCTGACAGTGGTGGCTCATGCCTGTAATCTCAGTACTTTGGAATTGGAAGGCTGAGGCAGGAGGACTACTTGAGCAGAGGAGTTCGAGACAACCTTGAGCAACTTAATGAGATCCCATCTCTTAAAAAAACAAAACAAAGCAAAACAAAACAAAACAAAACTGGCCAGATGTGGTGGCATATGCCTGTGGTCTCAGCAATTTGGGAAACTGAGGTGGGAGAATTGCTTGAACCCAGGAGTTCGAGGCTGCAGTGAGCTGTAATCAATAAATGGGCTGTGATTGTGCCACGCCATTCCAACCTAGGTGACAGAGTGAGACCCTGCCTCAAAACCAAGATAAAATAAAGAATATATATATAAATCATCAATATGTTTTACCTTGTTTTTTTGCTTCTAAAGTCTTCACTATCTGGTATCTGGTATATATTTTACATTTACAGCACATGTGAATTTGGACTAGTCCCAGTTCAAGTGCTCAGTATCCACATATTGCTAAACTAGAATATTGGGCATTGAAGCAGCTTTAGATATTTTTTGTAATGTAAATTCTAAATATAATATATTTAAAAGTATAGCTATATCTAAATATAATCACTATTAAGTGTAACATATCCATCAGATGGAGTACAGCAGTCCCTCGTTACCCAAGGGGGATACATTCCAAGACCCCCAGTGGATGCCTCAAAACCTCAGATAGTATGGAACCCTATATTTATGATGTTGTTTTGATCTGATAATCAGGTAGTATATACAATGTTGATATGCTGGACAAAGCATATCACATCCCAGGTGGGGCGGAGTGGTTAGTGTGAGATTTCGTCATGCTACTCAGAATGGCATGGAGTTGAAAACTTATGAATTGTTTATTTCTGGAATTTTTCCATTTTATATTTTTGGACCATGGTTGACTGTGGGTAACTGAAATTGAGGAAAGCAAAACCATGAGTAAGGGAGAACTACTGTATCATGCAGTAAACTGTAAATATTAAATAAAGAATCTGTTATAATAAAAATGCTAATGATACATTATGATAAAGTTACATCTAGAAGACATTTTTAAGTTTTATGCAAACTATACTTTTTAAAAATAGGCATTTTACAGTTCATTTTTTGGGGAGAATACCATCAATTATTATTATTTTTTAAAAATCTTTAAAGGAAAAGAAGATAGAGTAAATCCCATTTATTGAGAATTTTTTAGGTCCTTTGCAAGTACTGTTCCTATGAACCTATTTCAGTTAATTGAAAAATTCTGATAATTACCCGAATATGTCTGGAAATAAATAAAATTATCTCCTATTCCATAGTACGTAGGAAGTTTTGGCCATAGCAGTGGTGGGCAAACTAGATACACTATAAATCTGGCCCACAAGCTGTAGCTTGTTTGGAACAGCCTGCAAGCTAATTACATTTTGAAATAATTGTTACAAAAAAAAAGAAGAATGTGGAACAGAGACCATATGTGGTATACAAAGCCTAAAATATTGGCCCTTTACAGAAAATGTTGCCAAACCCTGGTCTTTTGTTTATAGAAATCTTCAAGAACACATATTCTGCTTCAGTCACACTCACATCTTTATTGCCACCTTCCCACATCACAGGCTTCCAGCCCTAGTCTATTCATTTGATGTATGAAGTGAACATGTATCATCAAAACCCTTCTTCCACTTTTTTTTTCTTTTTTTTTTTTGAGACGGAGTCTCGCTCTGTCGCTCTGTCACCCAGGCTGGAGTGCAGTAGCGCGATCTCGGCTCACTGCAAGCTCCGTCTTCCAGGTTCACACCATTCTCCTGCCTCAACCTCCCGAGTAGCTGGGACTACAGGCGCCCGCCACCATGCCTGGCTAATTTTTTATATTTTTAGTAGAGACGGGGTTTCACTATGTTGGCCAGGATGGTCTTGATCTCCTGACCTCGTGATCTGCCTGCCTCGGCCTCCCAAAGTGCTGGATTACAGGTGTGAGCCACCGCGCCGGCCTTTTTTTTTGAGACAAGTTCTTGGTATGTTGTCTAGGCTGGTCTCAAACTCCTGGCCTCAAGCAGTCCTCCTGCTTCAGGCTCCCAAAGCTAGAATTATAAGCATTGAGCCACTACACCCAGCCACCTTCTTCCATCTTCAAAATATTTTCATTTATCTTACAAATAATACATGCGTTTATCATTTCAGGATTTGGTGATGTTCAGAGATGTGGCTGTAGACTTTTCTCAGGAAGAATGGGAATGCCTGAACTCATATCAGAGGAATTTGTACAGAGATGTGATATTAGAGAACTATAGCAACTTGGTGTCACTGGGTAAGCCTAGCATATCTGTGTCAGATAATTTAGACATTCACAGGACTGAATTTCTGGGCTGTCTTTGTTTTTTTCCAAAGACGAAGTCTCGCTGAGTCACCAGGCTGAAGTGCAGTGGCGCAATCTTGGCTTACTGCAACCTCTACCTCCTGGGTTCAAGCGATTCTACTGCCTCAGCCTCCCGAGTAGCTGGGACTACAGGCGCACACCACCACACCCAGCTAATTTTTGTATTTTAAGTAGAGACGGGGTTTCACCAGGTTGGCCGGGATGGTCTTGATCTCTTGACCTCATGATCTGCCCACCTCAGCCTCCCAAAGTGCTGGGATTACAGGTGTGAGCCACCGCGTCTGGGCTGTCTTTCTAAAAACTAGCTAAATGTCTGCTTTGTGCTTTGACAGTAAGTACCACTATTAAGCACCTTCATCTTTCTGTATAATTCAGTGACCGTTATATTTTTCTTCGACTTTTCTGTTATTACCGGTCTTTAATGACAGCTGGATATAAATTCTTAGACACTCATGGCAAAACCATTGTCAAAACAATCTGATTTCATACTGCTATGGATGGTCCATGTTATTTGTAACTCATTTACAGTGAGAATAGGAAGACAGAGGTGTCTGGCTCTACATAGCTATTAAAAGAGCTTTTACAGTGTATGTGATGCTGGGTTGAATTGACAGTTTGTTAAAACTCAAGTGGACAGTATTCAGTTTCCTACAACAGACATATTTTAACTGCTTTGTGATTAAGTTTAAAATACATGAATTTGCATTTAATATTGTATGCATATCCTGGCAAGAAACTTATTTTTCTTTAAAAAAAAAATCAAAAAATAGCAAATGTAGTACCTCATGAACATATATGATGGTTAACATGTACCAGGTACTCATCTAAACACTTACATTAAATCGAATCTCACAACAATGCTATATATACGCATTACTGTTATCCCTTTTTCACGTCTGAGAAAAATGAGGTGCAGAGAGATTGAATTAGTTGCTCTACTGACATGGGAAAGAGAGGCAGGATTTGAAACCAGTGCTTTCAACTATTCTTTTCTCTCAAGAGACAGAGCCTGTGTAAGTTTAAATTAAAATAAAACCAGGTCCCTACTTCTGTGTTCTTGTTTTTCCTTGTGATCCTGAAGTAACTCTATGCTATGAATGTTTTTCAATCCTGATAGTCTTCTTTGTTTTGAAGCCTTAAATAAATTCTTTATTATATTCTATTATTTATTTTTAAGCAGGATGTTCTATTTCTAAGCCAGATGTGATCACCCTATTGGAACAAGGGAAAGAGCCCTGGATGGTTGTGAGGGATGAGAAAAGAAGATGGACTCTAGGTAAGTGCTGATCAGGCAGAGGTCAGCCATTATGGCATGGCCAGACCTGCTGGTTGAGGAGGAGACACACCCCTTAGATGTCAATTGTGAAGAAGAGACCTGAAACTTGGGAAGAAAATTTAGATCTTCTCAGCATGAGCCATCAAAGACATTTCATCCATACTTCCACTTATCACTCGTTTCTTTTTTTTTCTTTTTTTTTTTTTTTTTTTGAGACGGAGTCTCGCTCTGTCGCCCAGGCTAGAGTGCAGTGGCGCGATCTCTGCTCACTGCAAGCTCCGCCTCCCGGGTTCACGCCATTCTCCTGCCTCAGCCTCCCCAGTAGCTGGGACCACAGGCACCTGCCACCATGCCTGGCTAATTTTTTTGAATTTTTAGTAGAGACGGGGTTTCACCATGTTAGCCAGGATGGTCTTGATCTGACCTCGTGATCCACCCGCCTCGGCCTCCCAAAGTGCTGGGATTACAGGCGTGAGCCACCGCGCCTGGCCTCAGTCGTTTCTTTTCTATCTTGTTTCCCTCCCTTTTCTTTCCCCTATTTCAGTAGAGGAAAGCTTTCTGCCCTAGTGATTCCATTTTACCTGTATTTTGAATCTAATCCCTTTCTAGCTCATCTTTTATATTTTGACTTTTATGTATACATTTTTTCATTGCCCATGTTCATGGAGTTTAAATTGTAGTGGGGAGTCACACAGTAAACAAGTAAATAAAATCAGTAAATGGATTACTAAAATATCCTGAAGTAATTAGGTATTATGAAGAAAAGTGAGTAAGGTAAGGATATGGAGAATTATAATGAATGAATAGAGTAATTTTAGATGGGTTGGTCAGGCTCCAGTTGGCCAAAGATGGGACTATTTGAACGTCATTACATATAATGACTGCAGTGTATTGCAATGCATAAAATACACTTAATTTTATAAATTCTTGATACTAACAGCAAATTATTCATCATTGAAAGTTACTAGAAAACTAACATTTAAAAAGCATAAATTAAAAGGAAAAGAAGCATTTATCCTGCCTTTCTTATAAGAATTATATGAATAGGTAGTAGATGGAGGTATGTTTCTCTTAATAAAAGTGTTCAGTGAATAAATGAAGAAGAAATGATAGAATATTACCATTGTGGAACCCATAAGAACTATTGGATTTAGATATTGAATATCAGTGCTGATAGCATCAAAGAAATAGAGGCAATCGGGTGTTGTTTCTCCTAATGAAAGAGCACGATATCACCTATGAGGTAACTTTGCCAACAAAAGGTCCTAAGTCTTATCAAGCATCTAAAGCCAATTGCCAACTTACGGGAAGAAGACAGAGGACTATGTTCTACACCTTGGGAATGTAGTGAGCCAAATTCAGAATATGGGAAACTACAGGACCAAAAACAGGTTCTTCAACAAATAAATTACAAGGGAAATAAATAAATGATAGGAAAACCTATAGATTAAAAGAGATGTAAAAGACACGTCAACAGTTGTATTCTGTGAACTCTGTTTGGATGAGTTATTCTTTTTAGGTTGTTTAAAATTTTATCAGATGGAAGTGTGGACATTGACTTTTGATGATATTTAATAATTCATTTTTTGGGTTTGGATAATGGTATTGTGGTTATGTGTAAAAGTGCTTTTTGAGATGCAAACTTTGTACACATGAAACGATGTAATATCCAAGATTTGCTTCAAATAATACGAAGGAAGTAGATTGGGAGGTGCGTAGGCCAAGATTGGGCATGGGGTTAATGCTGGATACATGGAGATATTATTATGCCGTTCTGTCTACTTTTTGATATGTTAGAAATGCTCTGTTATAAAGGTTTTTCATTTGTTTGTTTTAGAGTTACTGAGAGATAAAAAGAAAATGGTGGTGAGGCAATGATGAAAATAAGGTTAAACTATTCTTTGGATGAATTTTGCCATAGAAGGGAAGCAGATACATAAGAGTACAAGGAATATATTTTACGATGTGAAATATTAGAACATGTTTATAGGCTACGAGAATGATTTCAAAGAGAGGAACATTGATGAAGTAGAGAGAGAGGGTAGTTTTGTAGGCAGCGACCTTCAGTAGATGGGAAGGAGTGGAACCAATTGATGAAGTAAAACCACATATATGGTAAGAATTCAGACATAGATTGATTGGAGAATGTGGTGAAGAGAATACATATTTTTCTTTCAGTTGTTTCTGGTTCCTTGGTGAAATGGCAGTAAGATTATCGTCTGAACCTGAGGATTATTCAGTATTTCATTGGAATTCAGTATGGATTATGCAGTATTAGATCAGTGTTAATTTTCAGAAGTACAATTTTGTGGTCATAGGGTTTTAACATTTTCAGATCTCTGATGTTAATATAATTAGAATTGTCTTGGTCATAAATATTCTGTATCCTGTATAATCTTGTATCAGCCAGAAAAAAAAGGGGTGGGGGAGACATTATACCTCAGGAAATAGCATACCTCCGGGGATGACAAGATAATTTGCTCCCTATTTTATTTTATTTTATTATTTTATTTTACTTTATTTTATTTTATTTTATTTTATTTTGAGACGAGGTTTCTCCATGTTGCCCAGACTGGTTTCAGACTCCTGGGTTCATGCAATCTGTCTGCCTCGGCCTGCCAGAGTGCTTGTATTACAGGTGTGAGCCACCACACCCTGCCCCTATTTTATTTTTAATTAAAGCTGATGCCCTGTAAATGGAAATAACACTTCTTTCATTTTGATCTAAGATGGACTAATATTTTGTTTTCACATTAGCAGTGCTTACTAGACTAAACTCTTTGATTCAGTAGAATCCAAACTAGTATTTGGCTTATTAATTTTATTAGTTAATATTAAATTATATAGTATTATATAATTAAATAATGTTAATATTAAAATTAAAATATATACATATTTTACATACATGTTTTTGGAGGTAGAACATTAAAATTGTCTATCATAGTCCAATCTTTTGATGTTTGGCCCAGCATTTTGTTTCAGTGTAGGTCTAGCCCATTCTGTCTTGATTAAAGTACTTATGAAACATAGGCTATTCTTTCCCATTTCAACTTCTTTGAAGTAGAACAGGAATGTAAAGATACTTGTGAAGCAATCTGAGGGCAGAATTCTTGAATTTTTATGTTTTCTGTCTTTTACTATTTTCTCACCCATGCCTACGTTGACAAAAATGAAATGTTTATGTATAGCCAATACTACGAAACATCCAACTTAGTTTTCATAGAAATAATTGTCTTTAAACATTAATAATTTTAGTTGCTTGCAGCAGTAAGAACTGTAATAGGCAAACTTGGGAACAAACATGGCTATTTGGTAGCGTACAGCTCAGCTGTGTATATTATAGAACAGCCTTCTAACTGAGAATGTTCAAAATACCAAGATCTTGATCTGGCTTGTCACTTAAGTAGGGAGCCATATATGACAATCTCAAGTTCACCTTATCAACACTGGCAATTTTTTTTTTTTTATGAAAACCTTCAAATTTTACAGGATAAATTTTACAACCTATTCTAATTTGATTATTAGTGAATACAGACATTTTGTCCTAATTTGTTTATGCTTATATTTACTTTTCCATTGTCTTCTCACTTCCTTTATTCCATTACCTTTTCCATTGTTTATTATTTCTTATGCCAATTTGTATGGGCTTAAATTTCTTTCTTTTAATTTTAGTTTTTCGAGATTGGGGTCTCATTACATTGGCCAGGCTGGTCTTGACTTCCTGGCCTCAAATAATCCTTCCACCCCAAGTGATCCTCCCACCACAGCCTCCCCAAGTAGTTGGGGATTACAGGTGCGAGCCATGGTGCCCAGTTTGTGTGGACTTTAATGCTATAAACAGTAACACGTTCTCACTTTCTTATGAATGTTTTAGCCTTTAATTCGATTTTTGACTGGCTTTCCTTTTAGATTACTGGTTTTATTTTTAATTTGCAGGTAAATCCTTTGAAATGAGCATCTTATTTCTTAACCTTTGTATTACCTTCATAACTACTTACTTATTTACTACCATTATTTAGCTAATTATGATGCTTTTATTAATATCACTTATATCTTATTTGTCTTATTGAGGCCATAAATGGACTTTATCCCCAAAATTCTAGACAACTGCCATATTTTGTATTGCTTTTTTTGGATGGGGAGACAGAGAAAGAGACAGAGAGAGAGAAACACGATTATATAGCAGTATTTTCTGTTCCATTCATTTACCTGTCCCTGGTCACATTTTATCCACAGCATTTAAATTATTGTTGTCTTTTACTATCTTTTTAGCGTATACTTTTTAAAAGTAAACTTATTGAAATATAAATATATACAAAAATATACAGATAATTAGTGAATTGTCACAGTGACCACACCCATCTAATTAGTACACAGATTCAGAAATAGAGCTTTACTAGGATACCAGAAGCCCCTCTTGACTTCTTTCGGTCATTCCTCCCCACCAAGACTAACCACTGTCCTGACACCACCATAGATTATTAATTATCATTTTTTAACTTTATAAAAATGGAATTGTACAGTATAGATTGTTGTATGTCTAGTTTTGTTTATTCACCATTATGTTTTTGAGATTAGCCCTTGCTGCATGTAGTTGTAGTTTGTTAATTCTTGTTGTTGTATAGTATTGCGATGTATTAATATGCCATCATTTATTAGCTGTTCTTCCATTGATGAACACTTGGACTCTTTCCAGTTTGGGTATATTACAAATAACGTTGCTTTAACCCTAACTCTAACCCTAACCCTAAAGCAACATTATTTAAAATACCTTTTCCTTTTTGAAGAGTATTGAATTCCTATTGCAAAGATTTTGAGAACAGGTGCATTTGCAAAAAACATCTCTTTGCTCAGAATTTTACTAGCCTTTTACCATAGTATAAACCTGTTGTTACACCTGGAAAATCACTGAAATATTCTCTAGGAAGTACACAAATGGCATTATGGGGACTTTCAGGAAGATACGGGGAACCTGTAACATAGATGTGCAAGTTACGTAAACTCAAGTAAAGATAAATATTTAGAGACTCTTATTACCTTGGTCGTGAAAGGGGGCAAAGTTCACTTATGATTATGCAAAGTAGGAATTGAACTGCAGTGGAGGTATCTGCAAGTGTACATGAAGAGGCAATTGGAAGGATGATGAAGTGTAAAGAAATCACTATTTTCCATTTATATATTTTACTGAGATAGCTTAGATGTACTTGTTTCCCATCTCTGTAGGAAGTGATAAAAAGAATGTTTAATCAGTGTAGTAAGGTTTAAGATTGGAGGCAGGATACCATATGCCATAATTGTTGACTAATTATGAGAATTTAATTCACAGTTAATATGTACTGTGGATTTGCTATTCACTGGTGAGTGAAAAATTGTTTCTGCCCTTGGGGAAGTTTAAGGTAAGAAAATAAAGAGAATAATAAGTGGAGAAATTAATGAATAACAACCCAGTTGAGAAAAGTGTTCAGCAAGAAATAAGTAGCCAGGCATGGTGGCTCACACCTGTAATCCCAGCACTTTGGGAGGCTGAGGCGGGCAGATCACTTGAGGACAGGAGTTCGAGATCAGCCTGGCCAACATTGTGAAACTGTCTCTACTAAAAATACAAAAATTAGCCAGGTGTGGTGGCGGGCACTTGTAATCCCAGTTACTTGGGAGGCTGAGACACGAGAATTGCTTGAACCCTGGGGTAGAGATTGCAGTGAACCGAGATCATGCCACTGCACTTCAGCTTGGGCAACACAGTGAGACTCTGTCTCAAAAAAAAAGGAAAGAAGTAGGCTGGGCGCGGTGGCTGACGCCTGTAATTCTGACACTTTGGGAGGCCGAGGCAGGTGGATCACGAGGTCAGGAGTTCAAGACCAGCTTGGCCAAGATGGTGAAACCCCATCTCTACTAAAAATACAGCGGTGGCACATGCCTGTAATCCTACCTACTTGGGAGGCTCAGGCAGGAGAATCACTTGAACCCAGAAGGCAGAGGTTGCAGTAAGCCGAGATTGCGCCATTCCACTCCAGCTTGGGCAACAAGAGCGAAACTCTGTCTTTAAAAAAAAAAAAAAAAAGAAAAAAAGAAAAAAGAAAGAAGTGACTGGGATAGAAAACAAAGGATATATATTACATGAAGTCAGCAGGGATCATTTTTCTGATTTTTAAAATGAAACCTGATGGATGAAAGAAACCCAACCATGCAAACCCAAGTCAGGATTCCTGGGAGATTTAATAGCCAGTGAAAAGCTCCAAAAAGTGGAAAGATTGGGTCGGATGTGGTGGCTCACGCCTGTAATCCCAGCACTTTGGGAGGCCGAGGCAGGCGGATCACTTGAGGTCAGGAGTTCGAGACCAGCCTGGCCAACATGGTGAAACCCTGTCTCTACTAAAAATACAAAAGTTAGCCAAGTATGGTGGCGCACTCCTGTAATTCCAGCTACTAGGGAGGCTGAGGCAGGAGAATTGCTTGAACCTGGGAGGCAGAGGTTACAGTGAGCTGAGATCGAGCCACTGCACTACAACCTGGGCGACAGAGACTCCGTCTCGAAAAAAAAAAAAGAAAAGAAAGATTGTGACACATTCTAGGAGCAGAAAGGAGGCAGGCAAGTGTCATAGGGACATGGACAGCAAAGGGGACAGTGGCTTGAGTTGATACCTTGTGTTCGACAGAGTCCATGTTACTCCTGATAAAGTATTTGCTCTGTATTCTAACTGAAAAGAGAAATTGAAAAATTTAAGTGGGGAGTCTCAAACTTTGATCTGCACCCAAATAACCTGGTCTTAACTCATCATTTTCTTATTTCCTTTTAGCTTCTTTTAAATTACCTATTTTAGAGATTTTGAGCCCATTTACTTCAATTGGGCTTTCTTTTTCTTTTTTTTTTTTTTTGGTCACCGATTTCTATTATAAAGTTTTCGTTTGTTTATTTTGTGTAGAACAGGAAAATATGTTTTGGTCTTGTTTTCTTTCAGATTTGGAATCCAGATATGACACTAAAAAGTTATTTCAAGGAAAGGATATTTATGAAATGAACTTATCTCAGTGGAAGGTAATGGAAAGAATTAAAAGCTGTGGACTTGAAGAACAAGAAAGTCCTCATGAGGTGTGTTTCAGGCAAGTGACAAAAACCACCTCTGAAAAAATGCCTACTTACAGAAAACTCACATCTCTTCCTCTGTATCAGAAAAGTCATAACAGAGAGAAACCCTACGAATGTGGGGAATGTGGGAAGGCTTTTAGAGTACGACAACAACTTACTTTCCATCAAAGAATTCATACTGGTGAGAAACCCTATGAATGTAAAGAATGTGGAAAAGCCTTTAGACAGTGTGCCCACCTCAGTCGACATCAGAGAATTCATACTTCTGACAAACTCTATGAATGTAAAAAATGTGGAAAGATCTTCACATGTGGCTCAGACCTTCGAGTACATCAGAGAATTCATATTGGTGAGAAGCCGTATGAATGTAAAGAATGTGGGAAAGCCTTTAGAGTTAGAGGACAACTTAATCTCCATCAAAGGATTCACACGGGTGAGAAACCCTATGAATGTAAAGAATGTGGGAAGGCCTTTAGGCAGTATGCACACCTTACTCGACATCAGAGACTGAACATTGCTGAGAAGTGCTATGAGTGTAAGGAATGTGGTCAGGCCTTTCTGTGTAGTACAGGCCTTCGACTACATCACAAACTTCATACTGGAGAAAAACCCTATGAATGTAAGGAGTGTGGAAAGGCCTTTAGAGTGCGGCAGCAACTTACTCTCCATCAGAGAATTCACACTGGTGAGAAGCCTTATGATTGTAAGGAATGTGGGAAGACTTTCAGTCGTGGCTATCATCTAACTCTCCATCAGAGAATACATACTGGTGAAAAGCCCTATGAATGTAAGGAATGTCAGAAGTTCTTTCGTCGTTACTCAGAACTTATTTCACATCAGGGTATTCACATTGGAGAGAAACCTTATGAATGTAAGGAATGTGGGAAGGCATTTAGGCTGTTCTCACAGCTTACTCAACATCAGAGTATTCATTTTGGTGAGAAACCCTTTAAGTGTAAGGAATGTGAGAAGACTTTTAGACTGCTTTCACAACTTACCCAACATCAAAGTATTCATACTGGTGAAAAGCCCTATGACTGTAAGGAATGTGGAAAGGCCTTTAGACTTCATTCATCACTGATTCAACATCAGAGAATTCATTCTGGTGAGAAACCATACAAATGTAAGGAATGTAAAAAGGCATTTAGACAACATTCACATCTTACTTACCATCAGCGAATTCATAATGTAACTTAATAATTATTAGAACTCTTCCTTTGCGAATTTTATGTTGAGCATAGGAAGTACATTCTAGAGGAAAGGTTTTTGAACGTGGGAATCCCTTTTGCTTCATGCTCACAACTAAGCATAGGAAGTTTTATTTAAAGGAAAGAATATGTTAATGAACATATAGAAGCCTTTCATCACCTTTGAAACCATGTTAAACTTTAGGAAATTCATCCTAGAAAAGAACTTTATTACAGGACTGAATGTGGAAAAGCTTTTGATCTTACCTATTATTATCTCCATATTCTTCCATCTGTGTATATACACACGAAGGTTGCTAGGGAACCACTTCATTCTGAAAATGTGTAAATGAAAGGAAAGTCATTTAGTCTGCATTTCCTGTAGGAACTGTATTTCAGGGCAACCAGAAGTTAAGGAGGTAAAGTTCTTCTTTATTAGAAAATTCCAGGCTAATGAATGCAGAAAGAATAATAGAAAATTATATTAGAAAAACTATTGTGTAACACATAATGAAATAATGGATCTAGGCATGATTCTCTGTACAGGTTGACACCATTCAGTGAAGGTTGTGAACTTTATAGTGAATAGATGAGACTGACAACGTCTGAACCCACTCATCATCTCAACTTCACAAAAAGCAAGAGAGTAAAAATTACGTGCCTCCTAATGTGCTACAGTAAGATATACACATCTTGCCAAAAATATTGAACCTGAATTTAAGCCTCAAGAGCCAACTCCCAGTTTAGAGAAAATTCAAGGAATGGAAGAGTAAATTACATGACACAAAAAGGAGCAATTAAATCTAAAATAAGGGTAATTCTACAAGAGGAATCACCTGGTTTCCCAACCAATAAAATGGCATTTTAAGAAATAAGGTGGAACTCCTAGGTATTGACAGACTTGAGACATCAGTCAAATGCAATGAAACAGTGGTTTTTACTTAGATCATGAGTTGAACAAACATGTAAAAGAAGAGATACTTAACAATAATTGGGAGAATGGAATATTGACAATATTAGATAATATTAAGAAACTTTGTTATGTGTGATAATAGCATTGTGGTTATGTAAAAGTGTATTTGTTAGAGATAATTTCTGAAGTCTATACACAGGAGATGATATATCTGGAATGTCCTTTTGTTCATACAAAAGAAAAATGAGGATGAATAACAAGTTTGGCAAAATGATGGTAACCTAAGTCTTGGATACATGGTTTTTATTTGTTTTGTTTTTGCTATTCTACTTTTGTGTATTTAAAATTTTCCATGATGTTCTTTTAAAGATCAAATTATCCATGAAATTATAGCCAGTTTAAAATGAATTATTTTAAAAAAAATTTCTGGCTGGGCCCGGTGGCTCATGCCTGTAATCCCAGCACTTTGGGAGGCCGGTGGGCAGATCATGAGGTCAGGAGTTCGAGACCAGCCTGACCATCATGGTGAAACCTCATCTCCACTAAAAATACAAAAATTAGCCAGGCGTGGTCACATGCGCCTGTAATCCCAGCTACTCGGGCAGCTGAGACAGGAGAATCACTTGAACCCAGGAGGCAGAGGTTGCAGTGAGCCGAGATCACGCCATTGCACTCCAGCCTGGGCAACAAGAGCAAAACTCTATCTCAAAGAAAAAAAGAAAATTTCTACATATTAAAACTTGTGGATGTTGCCAAAGCTCTACACATTGGGATTGGAATATTAATTACACTATAATGACGATAATGTATTCAGGAAGTTAAAATGTAGGTCCACATTTTATTTAGTTGACCTCTCTATCTCTATATTATAGTACCCATGGTATGCACCTTTTTTTTTTTTTTTTTTGAGACGGAGTCTCGCTCTTTCGCCCAGGCTGGCGTGCAGTGGCACAGTCTCGGCTCACTGCAAGCTCTGCCTCCCGGGTTCAAGCCATTCTCCTCCCTCAGACTTCCGAGTGGCTGGGATTACAGGCGCCCGCCACCACACCAGGTTGATTTTTGTATTTTTAGTAGAGATGGGGTTTCACCATGTTGGCCAAGCTGGTCTCAACTCCTGACCTCAGGTGATCCACCTGCCTTGGCCTCCCAAGGTGCTGGGATTACAGGCGTGAGCCACCATGCCCGACTCTCACTTCATATGTTTAAAGAATGAGTAAAAGAAAGCAATTACTACTGCTAAATGTGGGAAATAATGGACTAGACCTGTACTAATATATGGTAGTCACTAGCAACCTGTTGAGCACTTGAAATTGAGTTATTGAGCACTGAAATGTGGCTAGTCCAAATTCAAATGGTGTTTTTTTGTAAAACACAAGATTCTGAAGACTTAGTTATTTTAAAAAAGTTAAGTATCTCAATTTTTCATATTGAGTACATATTGAAATAATATTTTAGATATATTGGTTCAAATAAAATACATTAAAATGAATAACACTTTTTTGTTTTTAAAATTGTTATAGGAAAATTTATATATGTAGCTCACGTATTTCTATTGTCAGCGCTGGCATAAACAATAAAAAGTAGACTTGGTTTTTTTGTGTGTGTTTCTTTAAAAGATACCAATATAGTCAAGACCTTTGCAGTTTTGATCACAGAAATATGAAAGATTACACAGCTACAGCTATATGAATGATAAAAGTGACAGCTATGGATTTTTAAAGTTATAAGTTGCTATACTACATATATGTAATGTGTGTGTGTATAGTGTGTAGGTATATATATTTATATTTATACACACACTATACATGTATTTTAAAATATTGAAAATCCAGAATTATTTTATGGTAAAAATTACTAAAATTGACTTCACATGCTGAATGAAGAGAGCCTGAGTAGACCAACAAACAAATGAAAAATTAAGACGGTTAGAAGATACGCTTTCTAAAAGAATACATTTAGAATCTAACTTTAAAAAAAAAAAATCCTACTCTCCTGAGCCAGAGTGGTCTCAGAGAGACTCCGAGAACCTAATTTTTTACAAGTAAAATCTTTGAAGAATTGGTAATTGCTAAATTTTTCCAACATACTATTCTACAAGACTAACCTAAAACTGATTATAAGAACTAGGTGAGGAGGGCTGGCAAAACGAAAATCTAGACATTTTCCGTATGAAGAGAAATCTGGTAATTCTAATTTCTATGGGAAATTATATCCAACAGTTTAGAATAGAAAATCATTTAT
This sequence comes from Homo sapiens, assembly GCF_000001405.40. NCBI lineage: Eukaryota > Metazoa > Chordata > Mammalia > Primates > Hominidae > Homo > Homo sapiens. Next base: position 37,631,836 of record NC_000019.10, on the reverse strand, counting down.
GTGGAATAACTTGGACCAGATCCATCCAGCTTTAATTATATATTTAGATTCTAGGCATTCTACCTTCAGAACATCATAATGATAGTAAAAGAGATACGATTCTGGCCCAGTATCATCTCAATTCATGCTTATTGTCTTTTTTTTTTTTTTTTTTTTAGCTTTCTATGTATTAAGAATGGAATGAATTTTATGTATGTAAAAGTGTAACCCAACACCTTAAAATTACCTTCTCAAAATTAATAAAGACAGAGTTCTTATAAATGATTGCATCAGTTGGACTTCGGTGATTTCACCGTGGTCATCCATTATGAACTGTATTTGCTGTTATAATTGGGAAGCCATGATGTTCAGTGTATTACATCATTATATTCCATTTCTCAAATGGAATATGAAACTTGATAGCATTTGAAACCATTTCCCAGGAAACACTAGTGCTTGATGGTATTTTTAGAAAGCATTCTGTGGTTAAATGAGCATATTAAAATTAATAATTAAGAAAATAAAACTATAGCTTCTCCAAATAATGAAGTAATGAGAGTTTAATTGATTTTATTTAACTTAATGTATCTGAAGCACCTTTTACCCTGTAACTTTCACTCTTAATGCTTGTGAGTATGGGATATGAACCCATTTTAACAGATAAGTGCTGTAACCAAAACAGGTGACAGCAAAGGTGGAAAGTTCGGACCTCATGTCAGGTGGTTAGTTGTGTTGGAAGGTGGATGTGAGGTATGTTTCCCTGGATGTGGCATCATGTTCTAAAGTCACCTGTTCTTTCTGAATATTGAACTGTTGCTTTTCTGCAGAAATAAAATTTCTGAATCAACACTATACTGCAATGAAAATGAACAACCTATGACTGTGTACAATACAGATAAATCTCAAAAGCATAATGCTGGGCAAAAGAAGCCAGACATAAAAGAGTGTGGGGAAAAGCAAGAGAGATCAGATTGTTACTGTGTCTGTGTAGAAAGAAGTAGACATAGGAGACTCCATTTTGTTCTGTACTAAGAAAAATTCTTCTGCCTTGAGATTCTGTTAATCTATAACCTTACCCCCAACCCCGTGCTCTCTGAAACATGTGCTGTGTCAACTCAGAGTTAAATGGATTAAGGGCGGTGCAAGATGTGCTTTGTTAAACAGCTGCTTGAAGGCAGCATGCTCCTTGAGAGTCATCACCACTCCCTAATCTCAAGTACCCAGGGACACAAACACTGCGGAAGGCCGCAGGGACCTCTGCCTAGGAAAGCCAGGTATTGTCCAAGGTTTCTCCCCATGTGATAGTCTGAAATATGGCCTCGTGGGAAGGGAAAGACCTGACCGTCCCCCAGCCCGACACCCGTAAAGGGTCTGTGCTGAGGAGGATTAGTAAAAGAGGAAGGAATGCCTCTTGCAGTTGAGACAAGAGGAAGGCATCTGTCTCCTGCCCGTCCCTGGGCAATGGAATGTCTTGGTATAAAACCCGATTGTACGTTCCATCTACTGAGATAGGGAAAAACCGCCTTAGGGCTGGAGGTAGGACCTGCGGGCAGCAATACTGCTTTGTAAAGCATTGAGATGTTTATGTGTATGCATATCTAAAAGCACAGCACTTAATCCTTTACATTGTCTATGATGCAAAGACCTTTGTTCACGTGTTTGTCTGCTGACCCTCTCCCCACAATTGTCTTGTGACCCTGACATATCCCCCTCTCGGAGAAACACCCACGAATGATGAATAAATACTAAGGGAACTCAGAGGCTGGCGAGATCCTCCATATGCTGAACGCTGGTTCCCCGGGTCCCCTTATTTCTTTCTCTATACTTTGTGTCTTTTTCTTTCCTAAGTCTCTCGTTCCACCTTACGAGAAACACCCACAGGTGTGGAGGGGCAACCCACCCCTTCAAAAGAGGACATACTATATGATTATATGGAATACAAAAATTGAGAACTTTTTAATGTAGTTAGAAGTCAGGATACGGCCAGGCACCGTGGCTCACGCCTGTAATCCCAGCACTTTGGGAGGCCGAGGCGGGCGGATCACGAGGTTAGGAGATCGATGAAAACCCGTCTCTACTAAAAATACAAAAAAATTAGCTGGGCGTGGTGGCGGGCGCCTGTAGGCCCAGCTGCTGGGGAGGCTGAGGCAGGAGAATGGCGTGAACCCGGGAGGTGGAGCTTGCGGTGAGCTGAGATTGCGCCACTGCACTCCAGCCTGGGCGACAGAGCGAGACTCCGTCTCAAAAAAAAAAAAAAAAATACTGAAAATACAAAAAATTAGCCGGGCGTGGTGGCGGGCGCCTGTAATCCCAGCACTTTGGGAGGCTGAGGCGGGCGGATCATGATGTCAGGAGATCGAGACCATCCGGGCTAACACGGTGAAACCCTGTCTCTACTAAAAATACAAAAACAAAATTAGCGGGGCATGGTGGCGGGCGCCTGTAGTCCCCGCTACTCAGGTGGCTGAGGCAGGAGAATGGCGTGAACCCAGGAGGCGGAGCTTGCAGTGAGCCGAGATCGCGCCACTGCACTCCAACCTGGGCAACAGAGAGAGACTCCGTCTCTAAAAAAAAAAAAAAGATACTGGTGGGGGTGAGGGGGGTAGGGGTACATGGCAGGAGGGATAGTGATGGTAAGAGCAATGGGAGGTTTCTGTAGATGCTAGTAATGTTTTGTTGCTTGATTTGCGTGCTGATTACTCTGATGTATTCAGTTTGTGAAAATTCATTGAGTTGTACATTTGTATACTTTACGTTTATTATAGTTCAATTAAAAGTTTTTTTAACTTAGGAGAATAAAAACTGAGTTTATATTGATACTTCCAATTCAAATTTAATACCACATTATTTTTAACTTTAATTTTATTCTCGCGTCTTTTGCTTTTCCCCTGAACATCTTGTTGGATTTTAACAATGAACTAATGTATGTGCTGTGATCTATAAACAGTATAAAATACTTACAACAGAATACGAGCATTACTACCAAACATGAATGCTGAATGAAGTTGAAGATTTCTTGGCATCACTCTCCGTCCTTCAAATATCATTCACTACGAATGTAGAGGGAAAATGCTTAGTTCTAACCAACCTGATTTCCAGCTAGATTCATTCGTTTCTATTTATTTTCAGTGTTCAAGGACTGCCATTTTTATTTCTGATTCAATTTTACTTTTAAAGACTATAACATTTTCATGATTTTAAAGTTAAAAACATAAAATGTGTTCAGAGAAATTTTGCATCAGTTTGTGTTCCATACAATCTGTTCCATCAATTCCCTCTTAAAAAAAACCATTTTATTACTCTTTGGTATAACTTTCCAGTGGTTCTTTTTGAGAAGGGTTTAAGTGCTCTGATGATTGCTGCGTAACAAGCCACCCAAAACTTCGTGCCATAAGACAAGCATGTTATGCTCATAGGTTCTGTGGGTCAAAAATCCAGAGAGAATACAGCAGGGATGTTTTTTCTTTGCTTCATGATGTCTGGAGTCTCAGCTGGGGTTATTTGAATGACTAGTCCAGGTAGGGCTAGAATATCCACTTCCAGGCTTCTTCTCTCTCATGCTTGAATTTTGGACTTGGAGGACTTGAATACCAATCTTAGCTAGAACTGGCAGCAGGAACACCTACATGGTCACAGATTTTTCACAGAATGTTTATTCCAAGATGAACATCCCAAGAGTGAACATTCTAAGAGAACCAGGTGGAAGCTGGCCTTTTCTGACCTAGCTTTGGAAGTATTACAGCATCACTTCTGCATTTTAATGGTTACTAGTGAGACTTAAATCCAGCCCAAATTCAAAGGAAGGGGAATTTGAGTTTACCTCTTGATGGAAAAGTGCTAAGAACATACTGTAGAAGACCATGTGGGATGGGAAATATTATTGTATCCATCTTTGAAAAATACAGTCTGCCACATTTTGCCTCCTGGCCACCATTCACATCCTGCCCCATGAAAATACACTCATGCACTTCCCTCAGGCTTCCAAAGTCTCATCCTATTACAGTATCAATTTGAAGTCTAGGACCTTATCTAAATCAAACCCAGCTAGATAAAGAAAATGTGTGTGTGTGTGTGTGTGTATATATATATACACACACATACACCATATATATATACACATACACCATATATATATATACACACACACACATACATACATACATACATACATACATACACCATGGAATACTACACAGCTATAAAAAAGAACAAAATCATATCCTTTGCAGCAACAAGGATGGAGCTGGAGGCCATTATTCTAAGCAAGTTAACACAGGAACAGAAAACCAAAACCAGCATGTTCTCACTTATAAGTGGGAGCTAAACACAGAGTACACATGGACACAAGGCAGGGAACAATAGATACCAGGGACTACTTGAAGACAGAGGGTGGGAGGATGAGAATCAAAAAACTACCTCTTGGGTAGTACCCTTATTACCTGGGTGATGAATAATCTGCACCAAACCCCTACAACACACAATTTACCCATGTAACACACCTGCACATGTACCCCCTGCACCTAAAATTAAATTTGGAAAGAAAAAAAATCAAGTCCAGGTGTGGATAAGCCTCCTTCAGTGCAGTTCCTGGGATACACTCCTTGAGTATGAGCCCTCTCAGTCCACAATATTGGGAACTAACTTCAATCTACAGTTTCTTGACACACCCACATCCAGTGGTGGAACAGCCATAGAATAATAAGCATTCAGATTCAGAAAGTTGGTGGGTAAAACAGTTGAAGGAAATTGCTAATCGTAACAATTCTGAAATCTGGCTGGGCACACATAACCAGCTCCTTGATCAGCGTTCCCTGGAAATGATTTTCTATGGCTCTTGTCCTGCCATCTGATCTTTTGGTTGCACTTTCTGAGTCACGCTGGGGTTTTCTTTTTTTTCTTCATAAAAAGTAGCCCATGTTTACAACTGAGTACTATTCTCATACTTTTTTCTTGTAGATATTTGGGAACCCAAAGATCCTTTCTCACTTTGTACCGTTTCTGCCCCTGTAAGCTCAAGCTTGTAGTGCATCAAGTAGTACAATTCTCTTGAAAATTCTGTGTATACTGTGAATTTTATTAGGGTTCATTAAATGAAACAAAAGACACACCACAGGCTCTTCTCTTTATTGTGCTCCCTAAGAGGCCACTGTGGAAAAATGACAGATACTTTTTTTTTTTTTTTTTTGAGACAGAGTCTCTCTCTGTTGCCCAGGCTGGAGTGCAGTGGTGCAATCTCGGCTCACTGCAAGCTCCGCCTCCCAGGTTCACACCATTCTCCTGTCTCAGCCTCCTGAGTAGCTGGGACTACAGGTGCCCGCCACCACGCCCAGCTAATTTTTTTGTATTTTTAATAGAGACGGGGTTTCACCATGTTGGCCAGGATGGTCTCGATCTCCTGACCTCGTGATCCGCCCGCCTCAGCCTCCCAAAGTGCTGGGATTACAGGCGTGAGCCACCATGCCTGGCCCAAAAATGACAGATTCTTAGAGGCCCTGCTGTTTCACAGAAAGAATAAACATTGGCTTCATCTTTTCCCTGAGGCTACATTTTCATGACTGCACTATAGATGTGTTTTTCCCCCAACTCAGGCCCTTTATAACTTTGAGAACGCTCCCAATTGCTGAGAGAGATGTATAAAAGTTCTCAACTATAATGAGTTCTGATAGCTTTTTGTTTATGTATTTTGAAACTCTGATATATGAGGCATAGCATTTAGGATTATTATGTTTTCTTGGTGAACTGATCTTTTTATAATTTTCGTTATTTTTTTTGAGGGCTCACTGCAACCTCTGCACCCTGTGTTCAAGCAATCTCCTGCCTCAGCCTCCCGAGTAGCTGGGATTATGGGCGTATGCTACCACGCCTGGCTAATTTTTGTATTTTTAGTAGAGACAAGGTTTTGCCATGTTGGCCAGGCTGGTCTCAAACTCCTGACCTCAAGTGATCCGCCCACCTCAGTCTCCCAAAGTGCTAGGATTACAGGCGTGAGCCACTGCACCAGGTCTTTTTTAAATAATTTTGTATAATTTCATAATCTCTGCTCTGATTTTCTCTGAAACTGGCATTTTCTGATATTAGTAATGCCACTCAGCTTTCTTTTGGTTAGTATTTACATGGTGTATCTTTTTTCCTATTCTCTTTTAACTTATCAATATCATTATATTTGAAATTAATTTATTTTAATTTTTAATTTTTTTTTTTTTTTAGAGACAGGGCCTCAGTCTGTGGCGCAGGCTGGAATTCAGTGGCATGATCCTAGCTCACTGCAGCCTTGAGCTCTAATGGTAGCTCAAGCAGTCCTTCCGTCTCAGCCTGCTGCATAGCCAGGACTACACACATGTGCCACCACATCCAGCTAATTATTTTATTTTTTGTAGAGATGGAGTCTTGCTATGTTGCCCAGGCTGGTCTTGAACAACTCCCGTCTTGGCCTTTCAAAGTGCTGGGAGTACAGGTGTGAGCTGCTGTCCTTGGCCAAGATCTTTTAAAATTGGGTCTATTTGGAGATCTCTGAGCCTCCTGAATCTGCAAGTTCAAATCTCTCTTGCTAGACTTGGGATGTTTTCATCTATTATTTCATTAAATAGGTTTTCCAGCCCTTTTGTTTTCTCTTCACCTCCTGGAACATCTAAAATTCTAATATTTGTTCTCCTATATTGGTGTCCCAATATGTCATGTAGGTTTTCTTCATTTTCAAAAATTCTTTTTTTTTTTTTTTTTTTGTCTGACAGGGTTATTTCAAAAGACTTGTCTTCAAGTTCTGAGATTCTTTCTTCTGCTTGATGTAGTGTATTGTTGAAGCTTTTGAATGTATTTTATATTTTATTCAGTGAATTCTTCAGCTCCAGAATTTGTTTTTTTAAATGATATCTGTTTGAAAATGTCTCATTAATATCCTGAATTGGTTTTTTTCTGATTCCTTTGTTTTGTTTTTCATTATTATCTTGTGTCTCACTGAGCTTCTTTAAAATCAGTATTTTTGGTTGGGTAGAGTGGCTCACACCGGTAATCTCAGCACTTTGGGAGGCTGACGGGAGAGAATCACTTGAGCCCAGGAATTCAAGACCAGCCTGGGGAACATAAGGAGAACCTCATCTCTAATTAAAAAAAAAAAAAAAAAGTGGAATATGGTGATGTGTGCCTATAGTCGCAGCCCTTCTGGAGGCTGAGGTGGGAGGACCGCTTGAGGCTGGGGTGGGAGGATCACTCAAGGCTGGGAGGTCGAAGCTGCACTGAGCCATGATCACACCACTGCATTCCAGCCTGGGTGACAGAATGAGACCCTATCTCAAAATAAATAAATAAAAGTAAGATAAATATTTTGAATTATTTTTTCAGATTTTATAAATTTCTTTTTGATTGGGATCTTTGCTGGAGAATTAATGTGTTCCTTTGGTTATGTCATATTTCCTTGCTTTTTCATGTTTCTTGTGTTCTTACATTGAGATCTTCACATCTGGTGTAATAGTTGCTTCTTCCAATGTTTTGAATTTGCTTTCATAGGGGAGGAATTTTTCTTGAAGATGTATCTGTGGTGTTGGTTGGATAGGCACCTTGTCTTTGATTCTAGGTGCATGAAGTAGTGTAGTCTCTGTATGATTGCTTCAACTGCAAACGGTGTCAGTGGTTTCTGTGATTTCCTCAGTGGCTCAGGGTGCTGTTGTCAGTGTAGGCTGTGGTGAAGTTTTACTTGGGACTGGGTTGCCAGCCACATGGACCAGTCTCCAGGCCCCATTGTTGGCAGCAGTGGGCTGAGCATGCCTGTCTTTTGGTCCCACGGTAGCATATGCTGGCACTGGTGTTAGAGGGGTCCAGGCAGATTGGTTCTTTTTTTATTCAGACAAGATCTCACTCTGACTCAAGCTGGGGTATAGTGGTGCAATCATGGCTCACTGCAGCCTCAACCTCCCAGGCTCAAATAGTCCTCTCACCTCAGCCTCCTGAATAGCCATCACTACAGGCGTGAGCCATCACACCCAGCTAATTAAAAATTATTTTTGTACAGATGGGGTCTTGCCATGTTGCCTATGCTGGTCTTGAACTCCCGGGCTCAAGTGCTCCTCTCACCTCTATCAGGGAACCTGCCCCGATATTCACGTAGGTTCTTTTCTATTTTCCTTAAGTATCAGCCAGCTTGAGAAATAAAGGGACAAAGTACAAAAGAGAGAAATTTTAAAGCTGGGCATCCGGGGGAGACATCACATGTCGGTAGGTTCCATGATGCCCCACAAGCCACAAAACCCAGCAAGTTTTTATTAGGGAGTTTCAAAAGGGGAGGGAGTGTGCGAACAGGTGTGGGTCACAGACATCAAGTACTTTACAAGGTAATAGAATATCACAAGGCAAGTGGAGGCAGGGCAAGATCACAGGACCACAGGACCGAGGTGAAATTAAAATTGCTAATGAAGTTTCAGGCACCACTGTCATTGATAACATCTTATCAGGAGACAGGGTTTTGAGATCAGCTGGTCTGACCAGAAATTATTAGGTGGGAATTTCCTCTTCCTTATAAGCCTGGGAGCACTATGGGAGACTGGAGTCTATTTCACCTCTGCAGTCTCAACCATAAGAGATGACCACGCCCGGGGGGCCAGGTCAGAGACCCACCCCCAGGTGTGCATTCTCTTTCTCAGGGATGTTCCATGCTGAGAAAAATAATTCAGCGATATTTCTCCCATTTGCTTTTGAAAGAAGAGAAATATGGCTCTGTTTTGCCCGGCTCACTGGTGGTCACAGTTTAAGGTTATCCCTCTTATTCCCTGAACAATTGCTGTTATCCTATTGTTTTTTCAAGGTGCCCACATTTCATATTGCTCAAACACACATGCTGTACAATTTGTGCAGTTAATGCAATTATTACAGGGTTCTGAGGCGATATACATCCTCCTCAGCTGACAGGATTAAGAGATTAAAGTAAAGACAGGCATAGGAAATCACAAGGGTATTGACTGGGGAAGTGATAAGTGTCCATGAAATCTTTACAATTTATGTTTAGAGACTGCAGTAAAGACAGGCATAAGAAATTATAAAAGTATTAATTTGGGGAACTAATAAATGTCCATGAAATCTTCACAATCCACGTTCTTCTGCCATGGCTTCAGCCGGTCCCTCCGTTTGGGGTCCCTGACTTCCCACAACAACCTTGGTCTTCCAAAGTGTTGGGATTACAGGCATGAGCCACTGTGGCCAATTCTTGGGCCTTCAGGTGGCTTGCTTGAGTGCCAGGAGTGGCAGCAATGGGCTGGGTGGTTAGGTGGGTCCCTAACCCCCTGTGCAGCTGAATTGTGTGGCCTATGCCAGTAGCAGTGGTGGGACAACCTTCTGGAACCTATGCAGTCCATGCTGGTGTTGGCAGTGGCTACAATGGGCTGGGCAGACAAGTCCCCAGGTCTGCAGGTGGTGTGTGCAGGTGGCTGCCAGCTGTGGTGGTAGTGGCAGGTTGTGTAGGCCTGACCTCAGACCCTGGGAGGAGTGCTCAGGTGCCAACGGTTGTGGACTGGGCTGGGCGATCCCCAGACCCCTGGATGGCACTCTCAGGCCAGGGACTGTCCTTGAGCCATCTGGTGGTGCTTGCAGGTGCTGACTGTGGTAGGCAGGGATGGGGTTATCCCCAGGCCACCAATGGAAAGCACGGAGGGGCAGGGGGAGTAGCAGCTGTGCTACAACCATGCTATTGGGGACATCACAGTTGCTTTCAAATGGTAGCAGCCATAGGGAGCTGGGGGAAATGTGTTTTGCTCACCTCTTGGTCCTGCAGAAGCCTACAGTGGTGGCCAATGCAGGCAGTGGATTTGTCCTTAGTGCTCCTGAAAATGTGCAGCCACCACTCTGCTTGTGGGAAGTGGGGTCACTGCCAGTGGCTCCTGCCTCATCCCTGCTGGGATAGCTATGGGTGGCAAATGTGATGGGGTTCCAGGGATGTGGAGATGCAGGGCCTGTTGGGCCCCAGGGCAGGATGCATTCTGGTGGGGATTGGGCTATCAAAATGGTGCCATGCAGCAGCTGCTTAGGACTCAAGGGTTTGTGGGACCCAAAATGCACTCCCTCTCTGGAGCAATGCCCTTGTGCAGTCTTCAGGCAGCTACCTGTGTTAGTCTCAGGGCTCATGAGGGTAGAGGGGGTCTCCCTTGGCGAAGATTAGCCATTGATGGGAATGTGGACCACTGGGGGTCTCTCACTTAACCGTTTCCCTGCATTAGGGAGCCTCTCCAGGCTCCCAGACTCTCCTGGCCAAGCAGGCTGCCTCTCCTTCTTTCAACTTTTCCCATCACTTCTCTGTGGCATTCCAGTGTTCTCCCTCAGATGATCTATTCAAAGTGTGATTATCTATATGCTAATTTGGTTCCTTTCTGTGGAAGAGGCTAGTACTAGATGGATCTAGTCAGCCACCTTGAAGCCCTTCAAAAATAGATTACTCTGGCTGGGCGTGGTGGCTCACGCCTGGAATCCCAGCACTTTGGGAGGCCAAGGCTGGAGGATCACCTGAGGTCAGGAGTTTGAGACCAGCCTGGCCAACGTAGCGAAACCCTGTCTCTACAAAAAATACAAAAATTAGCCAGGCTTGGTGACGGGTTCCAGTAATCCCAGCTACTCAGGAGGCTGAGGCGGGAGAATCGCTTGAATCCGGGAGGCAGAGGTTGCAGTGAGTACACTCCAGCCTGGGAGACAGAGTCTTGCTCTGTCTCAGAAAAAAAAAAAAAAAAAAAAAAAAAAAAAAAAAAAAAGATTAATCTGGGCTGGGTGTGGTGGCTCATGCCTGTAATCCCAGCACTTTGGGAAGCCGAGGCAGGTGGATCACCTGAGGTCACAAGTTCGAGACCAGCCTGGCCAACATGGTGAAACCCTGACTGGGCTGGGTGTGGTGGCACAGGCCTGGAGTCCCAGCTACTCGGGAGGCTGAGGCAGGAGAATCACTTGAACCCGGGAGGTGGAGGTTTCAGTGAGCCAAGATTGCACCACCGCACTCCAGCCTGGGAAACAGAGCAAGACTCTGTCTCAAAAAACAAACAAAAAAAAAAGTAGATTACTCTGGTTTCTAAATTTTTCAAGAGTTGATTCTGTAAGTTTTTATTTGTTTATTCATTGCTTTTGTGAAGGGATGAGTTGTTGGTTTCCTCCTCTGCCATTTTCTTATTTATAGTGTTTTTGGGTGGATCACTTGTATCAATTTTTTTAGCAGTAGCTGTAGCCAAGTTTATCTGACTTGCGGCCTGTGGGCCTCATGCAGCCCAGCAAGGCTTTGAATGCGGCCCAAGACAAATTTGTGAACTTTCTTAAAACATTATGAGATTGTTTTATGATTTTTTTTTTTTTAGCTCATCAGCTATCGTTATTGTTAGTGTATTTTATGTGTGGCCCAAGACAGTTCTTCCAATGTGGCCCAGGGATGCCAAAAGATTGCACACTTTTGCTAGGCATTACGTTATATATACATAACTTACAAAGTCTACTGGTTTGACATTTTTCCAGTTTGAATTAGGTGTAGAAACCTTCCCTTCCCTTACCCATCCCAAATTATAATCAAGTTAAATATTTCTTTTATATACATTGGAAACCACCTAAGAGTGATACAATTTTTGCTTCAGTTGTCAAACATAATTGAGGAAACTCAAGATAAGGAAATTACCCGTAATTTTGCTGTGTTTCTTCTACCTTCCTAATTTTCCAAGATTCCTTGTTTAATATTTAATTTCTGTTCTCAGATTTTCTTTAGCCTTTCTTTTTTCTTTTTCTTCTTCTTCTTCTTCTTTTTTTTTTTTTTTAATACAGAGTCTCTGTCTATCACCCAGGCTGGAGTGCAGTGGCACGATCTCGGCTCAGTGCAACCTCTGCCTCTGGGGTTCAAGCGATTCTCCTGCCTCCGCCTCCTGAGTAGCTGAGACTACAGGTGTGTACCACCATGCCCAGCTAATTTTTGTATTTTTAGTAGAGACGGGGATTTCGCCATGTTGGCCAGGCTGGTCTCGAACCCCTGACCACAAGTGATTGGCCTGCCTCAGCCTGCCAAAGTGCTAGGATTACAGGCATGAGCCAACCCACGCCCAGCTAGCCTTTCCTTTATGGTAGGTCTGCTGGCAACAAATTCTCCTAGCTTTGTTTCACCTGAGAATGTTCTTGATTTCTCCTTCTTTCCTGAACAATATTTTCATTAGGTATGAAAGTCCACGTTCTCCATTTAGTTGGCATTGACACCATACAGGAGGGGCTCATTATTGCCTGATGAAAATGAAAGACCCTGGTTTCACACTGGGCTTTTTCTGAGACTACTTGGTCAGGAAGTTTGGACACCTTGTTACAGCCTATAAAGGTAAAAGTCTAGACTCTCCACTTGGCCTTTGGTGTTAAGAGTGGTGGTGGGGCCACAGATTTTTCTGTGGCATTTGGCTGAAGTAAGGGGTTATTTAAAAGTTTCCTGTCTTGGCTGGACGTGGTGGCTCATTCCTGTAATTTCAGCACTTTGGGAGGCCAAGGTGGGCAGATCAATGGAGGCCAGGAGTTGAAGACCAGCCTGGCCAACATGGCAAAACCTCATCTCTGCTAAAAATACAAAAATTAGCCGGGCATGGTGGTGCACGCCTGTAATCCCAGCTATTCGGTAGGCTGAGGCAGGAGAATTGCTTGAGTTCAGGAGACAGAGGTTGCAGTGAGCCAAGATTACATGACTGCACTCCAGCCTGGGCAACAGAGGGAGACTCATCTCAAAAAATAAATAAAATAAAATAAAATAATAGTGTCCTGTCTTGCTAGACTCCCTTTCCTGTTTCTTTAGCTATACAGAGTAGGCTTTTCTTTAGAATTTTTTTTTCCATCTCTGAATATTGGCATTTTAGGGTTGCCAGCTTCTTTAGCTCCAAGTCTGGGATATAAATAAAGTCCATGGAACTTCACGACTATGTCATTTCTTGGGTCCTGTGGTCCCTAGCCAGTCTGCTCTCTTCTCTCCACCTTTCAGAGTCATCTTGTGTTTGTTTTATATATAACGTTCAGAGTTTTCAGTTGTACTTAGTGGGAGGAACAGGGAAAAGGACATCTCTTCCATTTTCCCAGAAATGGAAGTCCCTCTATTAAAGATTTTATTTCCACAAGGACATTTAAGTAATTTTTGTAATCTCTAGTTGATTTTGTTATAGAGATTTGCTATTTCCCATCATATCATTTTGAGGATGCTATTCCTACTTACTCTTAATATTCGTACTTAAACAAAACTCCCGTTTCATTTATTCTACTACTGCCTTTATAGTATTTCCCATTGGATCAGCATTGTTTCTCTATTATATGGGAGTCAGCTTTTTTGGAAATGTTTGGTAATTCTGATATGTGTTTAGTTTCACAGTGGAGAGTACTTTGGATGTAGTCTGCTTCAGTGCAGGAATAGGATGTGCTGCTCTGATGTGCACTCTGACTTGTTTTTAGAGACAGAGGAGTGGCAGGTTTTTTGTGCTGCAGCATGCCTGGCCTGCTAGCCCCAGGCATAGGGATGCTCCTATTTCCCCTAGGACAATACCAGTCAGTGGCCTCACCTCCTCCTCCTGGAAGCAGGGACTAGGGCTTGCTAACTGGGTTAAGGGAAGGTGATGTGCCAGGTTAAATCACTTTACTTCCCCAAGCAACCAATCTCACTATTGGTTGTGAGGACAATCTCACTGTCCCCACTTTTGCTTCTTGTGACAAACCCTAGGCCCAGGCCACCCTTATTATGTCACATTCACCTTTCAAAGTAGTGCACACTCTTGTGTTTTGTTTTCTGGTTCCCTTAGATGATCTAATACCAGTGCTTCCTCTATTTCAGGTATTCTCCATTGTTCCTAATTCACCAAAAGTTGTTTATATTTTCGGGAGCTGTTTATATGTGTGTGTGTATATGCATGTGTATATAATAGTCCCAATACCATTTATAAAAATTTAGGGCTGGCTGCAGTGGCTCACACTTGTAATCCCAGCACTTTGGGAGGCCAAGGCGGGTAGATCACGAGTTCAGGAGTTCGAGACCAGCCTGGCCAACATGGTGAAACCCCGTCTCTACTAAAAATACAAAAATTAGCCGGGTGTGGTGGCAGGCACCTGTAATCCCAGCTACTCAGGAAGATGAGGCAGGAGAATCGCTTGAAACCAGAAGGCAGAGGTTGCAGTGAGCCAAGATCGCACCACTGCACTCTGGCCTGGGTGAAAGAGCAAAATGCTGTCTCAAAAAAAAAAAAAAAATTAAATGAAAACATTATTAAAATGCCTTTGCCCTGACAGTTGTTTTCAGGAAATTCTTGTGAACATTAAATTCAAATAAGTCTTTGTGTCTGGTTTGTGTATGTGCATGTGTATATATACATACACCATATCCCATCAAATATAAAATGCTTTGATACTGGCACAAGGCTTATCTTACTAAAAATATCAATGAACGTTTTCACAAGACATTGTATTAGTCCATTTTCACACTGCTATAAAGAGCTACTTGAGATTGAGTAATTATAAAGGAAAGAGGTTTAATTGACTCACAGTTCCACATTGCTGGGGAGGCCTCAGGAAACTTATAGTCATAGCACATGGTGAAGGGGAAGCAAGGCATGTCTTACATGGTGGTAGGAGAGAGAGAGGGGGGTGGAGAACTGCCAAACACTTTTAAACCATCAGATCTCATGAGAACATACTATCATGAGAACAGCATGGTGGAACCACCCCCATGATCCAGTCACCTCCCACAGGGTCCCTCCCCCAACATGTGGGAATTATAATTTGAGATGAGATTTGGGTGGGGCTTTTTAGCATTGATGAAATCAGGAGGTATCAGTGATAGTAAGGCTAATATATATATATGTGTATATATATATATATGATAATGAATCTAGATGATAATAGGACTGTAGCAATTCTTTTTCCATAATTTAAGCTGCATATGTATAGAACCAGAATATTCCAGTGCCTGCACATTTCAGATATATTTACTGAAAAATTGTATCATTTTGCTGACATTTTATTTAGCATTTTGATTTTTCTCTTTAATTAGGACTCATTTAAATTTTGGTTTTTAGTAACTATTCTCTCTAGTTTTATCATTTGGATTATGTCAGCCATGTATCATGAGCTGGGAAAATTCTGGTAACAATTATCCTTGAAGTTTTTATTAAACTAAAACAGATTGTGCTAGCAGACTGTGTTGTTCTAGCTTGTTCTATAGCTTAAGCTGAATTTACGTTTTCCATTTACTAGTTCACTCAAGCATGATTATGTTGTGTAAATTTCAATGAAGTACATTTTCTAGAAAAGACTTCATTAGCTCTGGAATTTTATATACATTGAAATGATACTACTTTCTTATAATTTGACATCCTAAAAGTAATGGTAATACATATACCCAAAGTACTAAAATCACACCCTAAAAATTAACAATTCCATAGAATCTTATAATATCCATTCCATGTTGAAATTTCCATAATTGTTCCAGGAATATATTTCATAGATATTTAACAAGGATTTACTCTCAGGATCATACATTGTAACATTTTGGTGGTTCTGTCACTTTTTTTTTTGAGACGGACTCTCGCTATGTCGCCCAGGCTGGAGTGCAGTGGCGTGATCTCGGCTCACTGCAACCTCCGCCTCCTGGGTTCAAGCAATTCTCCTGCCTCAGCCTCCCGAGTAGCTGGGATGACATCGATATCTCTGGTAATGTCCTTTTTAAATTCGTGACACTTATAACTGTGTCATCGTTTTTTTCTTTTTACTGGATTTGGAAAAATTGAATAAGTCTATAATCTGCTTATTACTTAATTTCTAATTTTAATTGCATTAACTAGTTCCTTCTTTTAGCATCTGCTTTATTTGGTACCTTTTTTTGTTTCTTGAGTTAAATACTTATTTTTTCCCGAGTTTTATCAAGTGCCTACTATGCAAAAGGCGTCACAGTCGTGTTGAGGATACAGAGAACAAAATGTTCTATCCCCAAATCGTGGTTTTCTGTATGCATTAAGGGATGTTAATTTACCACTGAGTAGAGTCTTGGCCACATCCTACAGATTTCAATATGTAGGCATTTCAATATCACTGCTTTCTGTTAAATCAATATTTAACTTTTGATTTCCAGTTTAATCCATGACTTGTATTATACATGTAGATGATTGTAAATTTGTAAGAGGAGGTGCAAATTATCACCAAATTACTTACTAATTGCAAAGAAAATAACATACCTTTACAATGGAGAGATCTGGCAGTCACTACCTTAACCAAATGTAGCATCACTAATAAAAGGACAACCTGCCATTATATGCCTCCTGTGTGTACAGACTGTATTATACCTATGAAGTATTCTTGCTAAAAATGTTTGACCAGAAGCAAATCAAGCTGCTGTTTAAGTTTCAGTTTGGAGACAGAGGAAAAAGAGGAACAACATTATGCAGAAATAAAATACGACAAACCCAGAATCCAGGATATTCTACGACAACTGTGATGGACTCTTCTAAAAGCCAATAAAATGACATAAAGATGAGGGGCTGTTCAGTTTAAAAGTGACAGAGCAGGCCGGGTGCAGTGGCTCACCCCAGTAATCCCAGCACTTTGGGAGGCCAAGGTGGGTGGATCACAAGGTCAAGAGATCGAGACCATCCTGGCCAACATGGTGAAACCCCATCTCTACTAAAAATACAAAAATTAGCCGGGCGTGGTGGCAGGCGCCTGTAATCCCAGCTACTCGGGAGGCTGAGGCAGGAGAATTGCTTGAACCCAGGAGGCGGAGGTTGCAGTAAGCCGAGATCACGCCACTGCACTCCAGCCTGGGCGACATAGCGAGAGTCCGTCTCAAAAAAAAAAAGTGACAGAACCACCAAAATGTTACAATGTATGATCTGGAGAGTAAATCCTTGTTAAATATCTATGAAATATATTCTTGGAACAATTATGGAAATTTCAACATGGAATGGATATTATAAGATTCTATGGAATTGTTAATTTTTAGGGTGTGATTTTAGTACTTTGGGTATATGTATTACCATTACTTTTAGGAGATACAAACTGATTTAGGGGCAAAATGATATGATGTTTATAACTTAACTCTCAAATGGTATCGCAAAAAAATGTATTTTATAGAAAAAGCAAAATATACATTTTCAAATCTAGGTGGAAGGTAAAAATGGGTGTTCATTATAGAATGCATTCTATGTTTCTGTGTCTCAGAGCATTTTCATAATAAAATTAGTAAAAACTTTCTAAATAGACAGCTTTTTTCTTTTTTTGAGACAAAGTCTTGCTCTTGTCTCCCATGCTGGAGTGCAATGGTGCAATCTCAGCTCACTGCAACCTCCACCTCCTGGATTCACGCGATTCTCTTGCCTCAGCTCTTGCCTCAGCCTCCCGAGTAGCTGAGACTACAGGTGCCTGCCACCACACCCAGCTAATTTTTGTATTTTTAGTAGAGACGGGGTTTCTCCATGTTGGCCAGGCTGGTCTCAAACTCCTGACCTCAGATGATCCACCCATCTCAGCCTCCTAAAGTGCTGGGATTACAGGCGTGAGCCACCATGGCCAGATCTTTCTTTTTTCTATCCATTTAATTTCTGTATTATTATGGGTAAATTCCCTCACACCTCTCTTTGATGCTTCAACAGCTACATTCTAAGGTCCTCCCACTCACTACATCCTTAGGGTTTCTCTTCATCTTTAATTTTAGAACTTAAGCAATGAGGTCTGAATTTAGATCTTTACATTTTATTTATATTCTAATGGAGTGCCTTAGTTATCTGGGCTGCATAACAAAATATCGTAGACTCAGTGGCTTATAAACAACTGAGGTTTATTTCTCACAGTTTTGGAGGCTGAAAGTCCAAGGTCAAGGTGCCAGCATGCTTGGGTTCTGGTGAAGGCCCTCTTTTGCACTGTAGACTGCTGACTTCTTGCTGTAACCTCATGTGGTTGAAAGAGCTAGCTGGCTCTTTGGCTTCTTCTTATAAAGGCAGTAATTCCACTCATGAAGGCTCCACCCTCATGACCTAATTTCCTCCTAAAGGCCCTACCTTCAAATACCATCACCTTGGGATTCGTGTTTCAACATAGGAATTGTTACGGGAACACAAACATTCAGCCCATAACAGATTTTATCAAAGAAGTACTTCATGAAATGTAAGTGATGAGTGGTTTTTCCAAATTTGTCATCTCCATTGCATCTTCCTATTAAGAAATCCACTAATAATAATGTTGATGATAATAAAAACAGTAATATCCAATATTAATCCAAAGCAGTTTGGGCCAGATAGTTGTTGCTGTATTATACATGTTGGAAACAACCACACTTTTAGGTGTGTTTCATTTTACAGCTGAGGTACCAAGAAGCAAATATTTTGTCTAATATCACACAGATAGTAGAGTAGTGGAAAGGCAATGATGATAAGTATATGCTGTTGCTAGAACACTTTTCCACAACTGTTACATTAACAGCTTTATTTTCTAGTGTGAATTTTCCTAAATTTAATGAGAACTAAGAGGTATTTAAGACTCATACATTTATTAAGTTAATATGTGTAAAAAAACATCAACACATTGACAGAACTTCTGGCCATAAATATTTTGATATTCTATAAATAGAGCATGACATGGAAACCTTTTCTTATATTAAATTACATTATGAGTTTTCTGATGTTGATAAAGATGTGAATATTGTCTAAAGGCCTTTCTACATACCTTACACTCATAGGGTTTCTCACCAGTGTGAATTCTCTGATGTTCAGTAAGGTGTGAATTAAGTCTAAAGGCCTTCCCACATTGTTTACACTCATAGGGTTTCTCACCAGTATGAATTCTTTGATGTATTCTAAGGTCTACACTACGACTAAAGGCCTTCCCACATTCTTTACATTTGTATGGTTTTACACCCGTATGAATTTTCTGATGTTCAGTGAACTGCCCACGCCGACTAAAGGACTTCCCACATTCTTTACAGTCATAGGGTTTTAAACCAGAATGAATTTTCAGATGTTCTTTAAGATTCCCTCTACGAATAAAGGCCTTTCCACATTCTTTACATTTATAGGGCTTTTCACCAGTGTGAATTCTCTGGTGTTCAGTAAGGTAGAAACCAAATCTAAAGGTCTTCCCACATCGTACACATTTGTAGGGCTTCACATCAGTATGAATTTTCTTATGTAGACTAATTTGAGAACGAACTCGAAAGGTCTTCCCACATTCCTTACATTCGTAGGGCTTCACACCAGTATGAAGTCTCTGATGTTCAGTAAGGACTGAACGAAGCATAAAGGCTTTCCCGCATTCCTTACATTCATATGGTTTCTCTCCAGTATGAATTCTAGAATGTACTCTGAGGTCACCACTATAACTAAAAGCCTTCTCACACACCTTACATGCAAAAGGTTTTATACCAGTATGGATTGTTTTATGCCGATTAAGCTGTCCACGCACATTAAATGATTTCCCACACTCCTTACATTCATAAGGTTTCTTACCTGCATGAGTTCTTCTGTGTTCAGTAAGGTAAAAACTAAGTCTAAAGGTCTTTCCACATTCCTTACATTCGTAGGGTTTTACACCAGTATGAATTTTCTGATGACGGGTAAGTTGTCCGCATACACTAAAAGCTTTCCCACACTCCTTACATTCATAGGGTTTCTTACCTGTATGAATTCTCTCATGTTCTTTAAAGTAGAAAATAAGTTGAAAAACTTTTCCACATTCTTTACATTCATAAGATTTCTTACCAGTATGAATTCTTTTATGTTGAGTAAGTTCTAATCTACTAAAAAAACCCTTATCACATTTCTTACACATATAGGGTTTTTTACCAGTGTGAATTTTCTGATGTCGATTAAGTTGTGGGTAAAGAGTAAAGGTCTTCCCACATTCTTGACATTCATAGGGTTTCTCACCAGTATGAAATCTCTGATGCAGAGTAAGTTGATAGCTATGACTAAAAACTTTCCCACATTTCTCACATTTACAGGATTTTTCACCAGTATGAATTTTCTGATGGAGAGTAAGCTGATAGACATTATTAAAAGTACTCCCACATTCTTTACAATCATGTTTCACATCAGAATCTATTTTCCCATGTTGAACCAAGTGTGAGTCACAGCTTTTCTCACTATTGTGAATTCTCTGATTCAGAGTAAAAGAGGGACGTTTTCTATCAGTTGACATTTTTTTAGAGACGATTTTCTTTTGACTGATAGATCTTTCTTTAAGTCCCTGTTGACCCTCAAACTCACTTTTGTTCTGCCACTCATTTCTAAAAATGGATCCTTTCAGACGAAGAGTTTTACTTTTTTCTATTATACTCTCTTTGGATAAACTGATTTCATGAATGTCCTTTTCTGAAGATAATTTCTTGGTCTTATGCCTGGATAACAAACCTGAAAGAAAACATAAAAGCAAACAAAAATTATTTTCCTGTAGCCAGCATAACATAAAGTTTACATTTTCAAAATAGGAAACAAAGTGAAAACGGTTCTTACTAGAAGTCAGTGGCTTAAAGAATATTTCAATAAAGTTATATAATTTGAAATTAGGCAACATGAGCTTAGAAAATGAGAGATTATAGCCGGGCGCGGTGGCTCATGCCTGTAATCTCAGCACTTTGGAAGGCCAAGGCAGGTGGATCATCTGAGGTCAGGAGTTCAAGACCAGCCTGACCAACATGGTGAAACCCCATTTCTCCTAAAAAAAAAAATACAAAATTGGCCGAGCATCATGGCAGGCGCCTGTAATCCTAGCTACTCAGGAGTCTGAGGCAGGAGAATCACTTGAACCTGGGAGGCGGAGGTTGCAGTGAGCTGAGATTGCGCCATTGCACTCCAGCCTGGGCTACAAGAGCTAAACTCTGTCTCAAAAAAAAAAAAAAGATTATATAAGATTGTGGTGATATGGCAAATAGTTTATTTACGTCAGTGGTTCTAAAATTTTATTGTGTATGAGAATCATCTGGGGAACTTTATCACAAATACTGCTATTTAGTTACACACAAGTCAAGTGAACCAAATCTACAGGAGTAATTTGGTATCTGAATTTTTAATAACTCCACTAGATGATTCTGATATAGATCAAAGTTTGAGAATCTCCACTTAACAATTTTAACAGTTTTTCTTTACTCTTAGAATAAAATCCAAACATGTTACCATATAATATAATATGGTCTTTGGTTACCTAAAGACCTCTTTCAAAGACATTGTCCTCCTTACTCCCTCTTATTATGACTTGCTTCTATTCAGCTCCTCGATTGTGTCATAACATTTCCCATTTCATATAGTTTTCTATGGGATTTTTCATCTCCTAAAAATAATCTGTCCAGGGCTCTGTGAAAGGCCAACTCCTTCTCATTCTTAATGGTTGGTTAAATATCTCTTACACAGAAAGGCTTGCCCTACCGACTGTAAGGCAGTCTATGTCCTTTATTCTCAATTCCAGCATCATGTTTCATTTCTTCATTTCACAATTTTCAAACGCATATCCACTGATTTTTCTTTTTGCTCTTTTGTTGATTTTCTGATCCCTAAACCTTCCCAAAGGAAGATGTAATCCTTATTTCATTCAACAGTGAATAACTACCCACTAGCATACAGCAGGCATTAAACAACTGACTGTACAATAAATTAATCATTGTCTTAAAGGAAATTATGATGATGAATGACAGATAAGTCATGTATAGGACAGCTGAATATCAGGACAATCACTTAATTTTTATATTTTTGTAACAATTACAAAGGAGCTCTAATCTCTCTCACCTTATTACAGTGATTAAATGCACTCTTTCCTACCTTACTTCCTTTACAGATCAGAACAAAAGTAAATCCAAGGTAGTTCAACCAAATGTATAAAATGAAAAAGCCCTTGTTTTGCCTACTCATCCTTTAAATGGCTATCCAGTTAAACAGAGATGTTTCCAATCCTGTTGTTCACTGCCTCCTGTGCAAAGAGATGTATGTTTACACAGCTGAGTTTTACTATTATTCAGCCACCTACTGGATGCTCACTCTACTGTTTTTTTCTTTTCTTTTTTTTTCTTTCTTTCTTTATTTTTTGAGATGGAGTCTCACTCTGTCACCCAGGATGGAGTGCAGTGGCACAATCTCGGCTCACTGCAACCTCTGCCTCCCAGGTTCAAGCGATTCTCCTGCCTCAGCCTCCTGAGTAGCTGGGATTACAGGTGCATGCCACCAAACCCAGCTAATTTTTGTATTTTTAGTAGAGACAGGGTTTTACTATGTTGGCCAGGCTGGTCTCAAACTCCTGACCTCAGGTGATCCACTTGTCTCGGCCTCCCAAAGAGCTGGGATTCCAGGCATGAGCCACTGCGCCCGGCCACTCTACTTTTTTTGCCCCCCAAGACAGAGTCTTGCACTGTCGCCCAGGCTGGAGTACAGTGGCACCATCTTGGCTCACTGCAACCGCTGCCTCCCAGGTTCAAGTGATTCTCCTTGCCTCAGTCTCCCAAGTAGCTGGGATAACAGGCACCCACCACCACGCCTGACTAATTTTTTGGTATTTTTAGTAGAGACGGGGTTTCACTATATTGGCCAGGCTGGTCTCAAACCCCTGACCTTGTGATCCGCCCACCTCGGCCTCCCAAAGTGCTGAGATTACAGGCGTTAGCCACCGTGCCCGGCCCACTGTACTTTCTTTATAAGCTTTCTCAGATGATATCTCTTCTGTTCTCTTACATCTAAAACCAACCATTCCTATACTTGATAGAGAAGTATTTAAATGATTTGTATAGATATTGTAACAGGTATGTGCCATGTTGAATGGTTTCTGGAAAAAATGAACAAAGAAACTCAACAATTTTAGGGAGAACAGAGTAACTGAATAGTATGAAGAGATGGCTGGGAGACTAGAAGTGTCAAGGAATCTTATTAACACAGATAAGTTAAATGAAAGCTGGAGGGTGGCAATCTAAATAAGAAAAGAGCCTAAAAAAATCTAAATACTGGCC
The DNA here is from genome assembly GCF_000001405.40 of Homo sapiens. Lineage (NCBI taxonomy): Eukaryota > Metazoa > Chordata > Mammalia > Primates > Hominidae > Homo > Homo sapiens. The sequence goes on along the minus strand of NC_000019.10, from coordinate 37,608,936 downwards.
GGGCGCAGTGGCTCACGCTTGTAATCCCAGCACTTTGGGAGGCCAAGGTGGGTGGATCACCTGAGGTTAGGGTATTTTCTCAAGTAGATAGATCATAACCTGCTGGGGTTTTATTAGAGCCTAATGATATAGAGGAATGAAAATACCCAACTCAGCCCTCTAAGCTATCCTGTCACACCTAGCGATGGGGAAAAAACTGGAAGCACTGGTTAAGGTCCATCAGGTGGCACAGGTGCACCGAAAGACTGAGACCTAATTCTGGGACTGCGGAAACCTTATCACTGCACTCCTAAAGGCCTATTTACTATGTTTCCCATTACCCAGTACATCATGTTCACCTTCCAACAAAAAATTAGAAGGAAAACTAAAAGGCGAGAAACACTTTGATGAGACTAAACAAGCATCAGAATGAGAGTCAGATATGGCAGGAATGTTGGAATTATCAGACCAGGAATTTTAAAAGACTATAAGAAATGTGTTAAGGGCTTTAATAGAAAAAATAGACAACATCCAGATGGATAATGAAAACAGAGAGATGAATATTCTAAGAAAGAATCAAAAAGAAATGCTAAAGATCAAAAACACTGTAATAGAAATGAAGAATGGCTCTGATGTGCTCACTAGTAAATGGACACAGCTGAGAGTCTCTGCACTTGAAGATGTGACAAGAGAAACTTCCAACACTGAAAAGAAAGAGAAAAAATACTGAAGGAAACAGAACAGATATCCAAGAACTCTGGGGGTAAGCATAAAAGGTGTAAATACACATGATGAAAATACCAGAAGGAGGAAAATGAGAGAAAGGAAAAGAAGCAATATATGAAGCAACAATGAATGAGAATTTCTCCAAATTAATGTCAGACACCAAACCAGAGATCAGGAATGTCAGAGAACTGCAAATTAAAAACAACGAGATACCACTTCACACCTGTTAGAATGGCCAAAATCGAAAACACTGGCAACACCAAAGGCTGACAAGGATGTGGAGCAACAGGAACTCTCATTCATTGCTGGGGGAATGCAAAAATATTATAGCCACTTTGGAGAACATTTTGTCAGTTTCCTACAAAACTAAACCTATTCTTATCGTACTACTCAGCAATCATTTCTTTGGTGTTTACCCAAATAAAATGAAAGCTTATGTTCATACAAAAACCTGCACACAAATGCATATAGCAGCTTTATTCAAAACTTCCAATACTTAAAAAAAACCAAGATGTCTTTTAGTAGGTGAATGATTAAGCTGTGGTACATCCAGAGAATGGACTATTATTCAGTGCTAAAAGAATAAGCCATCACAAAAAGATGTTGAGGAAACTTAAATGCATATTACTAAGTGAAAGAGACCAATCTGAAAAGGCTACATACTATATGATTCCAACTACATGATAGTCTGAAAAAGGCAAAACGATGGAGACAGTAAAATGCTCAGTGGTTTCTAAAGGTTAGGGTGGAGAGAGGGATGACTAGGCCAAACACAGAGAAATTTTAGAGCAGTGAAACTACTCTGTATGATACTGCAATTGTGGATACATATCATTATATATTTTTCAAAGTTAATAGAATTTACAACACCAAGAGTGAACCTTAATGCAGACTGTGGACTTTGGGTGGTAATGATGTGTCAATGTAGGTTTATCAACTGTAACAAATGTACCACTGTAATGTGGATTGTTGGTAGTTGGGGAGGGTGTGTATGTTTGGGGACAGAGAGTATACAGGAAACCTGTACTTTCTGCTAAATTTTCCTGTAAACCTAAAACTGATTTTAAAAATAAAGTTTGTTAATTAATAGAAAGTTACTCCAGAAACTAGTAAAATATTGCAAAATATATATCTAGTATCTAAACTAATAAAATATTGCAAAATATATATATCTGATAAAGAAGTTGATTATAAGATATATAAAGAACTCTTACAAATCAAGAAGATAAAATGGATAATATCAATGGGAATTTTTGTGTCCTTGTATGAGAAAAAGAGTTCTTCAATACAAAAGCACAATTCATAAAAGAAAAAAAAGATACATTTGGCTTCATCAAAATGAAAAATATTTGTACTGCAAAAAATAAGATTAAGAAAATGAAAAGACATGCCATGTACCGCAATCTGGGAGAAAGTATTTGCAGATCATATATGTAAATAAAATGCTTATATTCAGAATATATTTTTAAAACTCTTGCAACTCAATAATAACACAAACAACCTAATTTTAAGAATGGGCAAAACACTGAACAGTCTTTCCACCAAAGATGTACCAATAGCTAATAAGCAATTGCTCAACATCAACCACAATTAGATACCACTACACACACACTGGAATGGCTGTTCTCAAAAAGACAGGTAATAGCATGTGTTGGAGAGAAGACAGAGAAACAGAAACCCTCATGCATTGTTATTGGGAAGGTACACCGATATAGGTAGTTTGGAACACATTTTGGCAGTTTCTTATAAAGTGAAAGTTATATTCGTCATATAACCCAGCAGTTCCATGCCTATGAATCCAACTAAGATGAATTAAGACATATGTCCACACAATGATATGTATACTCATGTTTATAGTAGCATTATTGATAACAGCCCCAAACTGTAAACAATACAAATGTCCATCGCTGGTAAATAGATAAGTAAAATAAGGTATATCCCTACAACAGAACATATTCAGCAATAAAAGAGAATATATCACTGATACATGCTGCTTCATAAATGGACCTCCAGAACATTATGCTAAGTTAAAGAAGCCAGAGTCAAAAGACTGTACATTGCATGATCCCATTTATATGAAATGTTCAGAAAAGGAAAATCAACAAAAATGGAAGGTAGGTCAGTAGCTGCCTAAAGCTGTAGATTGAAGAAGGGATTAACTGCAAAGGGGCACAAGGGAAGTTTTGGGGGTGATGGAAGTATTCTAAAACTGGATTGTCATGATTCCTGCCTAACTATAAATTGACTAAAAGTCACCAAGTGTGCACTTACAGTGAGTAAATTTTATGTTATGTAAATTATACCTCAATAAAATTGCTAAAAATTTTGATGGATAAAATTTCTGAACAGACACTTTTTACCAAAGGAGAAAAAGGAATGACAAATAAATGAAAATATGCTCATCACTAGTCATTAGTTAAATGCAAATTAAAATCACAATGAGATACACCTACACATCCACTAAAATGACTAAGATTAAAATGACTGACAATACAACAGGTTGGCAACAATGTGGAGCTATTGGACATCTAGTGGGAATGCCAAACAATATAGCCACTTTGGACAGTTTCTTTCTTTTTTTTGCGACAAGAGTTTCACTCTTGTTGCCCAGGCTGGAGTGCAGTGGCGTGATCTTGGCTCACTGCAACCTCCGCCTTCCAGTTTCAAGCCATTCTCCTGCCTCAGCTTCCCGGGTAGCTGGGATTACAGGCACACGCCACCACACCCGGCTAATTTTTGTATTTTTAGTAGAGACGGGGTTTCACCATGTTGGTCAGGCTGGTCTCGAACTCCTGACCTCGTGATCCACCCACCTCGGCCTCCCAAAGTGCTGGGATTACAGGCATGAGCCACCGCACCCAGCCCAGTTTCTTTTTTTTTAAATAAAGTTTTTACAGGTGTGTACCACCATGCCTAGCTAATTTTTGTATTTTTAGTAGAGACAGGGTTTGCCATGTTGCCCAGGTTGGTCTTGAACCCCTGGGCTCAAGCGATCCGCCTGCCTTAGCCTCCCAAAGTGCCGGGATTACAGGCATGAACTACTGCGCCCAGCCCAGTTTCTTATATATACTTATATAATCCATGAATCCCACCCTCAGGTGTTTAACCCGAGGTAACAAAGCATACATTAAAACAAAGACTTGTAAACAAGCACTCATAATAGCTTTATTCATGCCTGCGAAAGACTAGAAACAACTTAGATGTTCATAAACTGTTAACTAATAAGCAGATATGAAATACTATTCAGCAAGAAAAAGGAATTAACTACTGAGACTTCTAACTACTTGGATGAATCGCATAAATATCAGAAGTAGAAGTAGTATGACACAGAATACTGCATATTCTGATTTATTTGATATGAAATTGTAGAAAAGACAAAATTAGGGAAAGAAGGCAACTTAGTTGCCTGTCACGGGCTGAGCTGAAAGTGGGGGAAGGGTACTGACTGTAAAGAAACATAATGGAAAGTTTTGACATGATAGACATGTTCTACATCTTGACTGAAGTGGTGATGATTACAAGACTCACGTGTTTGTCCAAAATAATTAAACAGATACAATTAATGAATTTTATTCTATATAAATCATATCTCAATAAAGCTGATTTGAAAAAAAATAGTAAGGCTGGCCAGGCGCGGTGGCTCATGCCTGTAATCCCAGCACTTTGGGAGGCCGAGGCGGGCGGATCACAAGGTCAGGAGATCGAGACCATCCTGGCTAACACGGTGAAACCCCATCTCTGCTAAAAATACAAAAACTTAGCCAGGCGTGGTGGTGGGCACCTGTAGTCCCAGGTACTCCAGAGGCTAAGGCAGGAGAATGGCGTGAACCCGGGAGGCGGAGCTTGTAGTGAGCCGAGATCGCACCACTGCACTCCAGCCTGGGCGACAGAGCGAGACTCCGCCTTAAAAAAAAAAAAAAAAAAAAAAAAAAAAAGTAAGGCTATTTTCCAAAGCTCTATGTAATGCTCTAAACAAAATAATCCTGTATATTCCAGAATAAAAAATTTTAAGGAAACTATTAATTTCCTGTATTGACCACAGAAGAAATAAAAAGCCTAAGCAAATGAAATTCCATTGTGAAACACCTATCCTTGCAAACAATTTCATAGACGTCTATCAAAGTTTTAAAGAACAGATAATTTTAAAGTTAGTTTAGCTACTCGAGAAAAGAGCAAAAAGAAAAGTTATCTTATCCTTTTTATAAAATTATGATAAGCAAAACAACTAAGCAGAATTAAGAACTTTAGAGGCAAACATTTTTAAGAAAGAATGAAAAACTATCATGATTTGCAAATGATCTGATTATATACAGCCCAAGAATTTCAACTAAAAAAAATCTGCAAATAAAATACAAATCAGAATTTGGCTTGATATAGAGGAATCAACATACTATATAGAACTTAATAGCCTTTTCTTCATAGTTTTAAAAATGCATTATTTTTTACATTGACAGATAAATTTTATGTATTTACTCTGTACAACATATTTTGAAGAATATATACATTGTGAAATGACTAAATCTGGTATACAGTAAATAATCAATGTTAACTGTTATTATTATTAACTCCTGATTAACAGAAAATAAAAAGTGAACGAGCTATTGAGATGCAAGTAAACTGAACACCAGTATTCAAAATATATTTACATCTTTCACCTCAAACATAACTCTCCTTTCCCTCCTGCCAATTCTTAGCTGATGATCTCCCTTATTCCTCTAATAAAAATGAAGCATTGAAAAGAAATACATAATACCACATCAATCAACCCACCTATATCCATTGTCGTATCTATAGTTCTCTAAATTTTTCTTGTGCACTGGATCCTACCTCCTTGTCCTCCAATTTCCATAATTATCCTTCCCTCTACTACAATTTTTCCCCTTTCTATAGAATCATTTTCATCTTAAAATCTCACATCTTGAAATAGACTCCTGGCCAGGCATGGTGGCTCACGCCCAGCACTTTGGGAGGCCAAGATGGGTGGATCATCTGAGGTCAGGAGTTCAAGACCAGCATGGCCAACATAGTGAGACCCCGTTTCTACTAAAATACAAAAATTAGCCAGGCGTGGTGGCAGGCGCCTGTAATACCAGCTACTCAGGAGGCTGAGGCAGGGGAATTGCTTGAACCCGGGAGGTGGAGGTTGCAGTGAGCCGAGATCATGCCATTGCACTGCAGCCTAGGCAACAAGAGCAAAACTCTGTCTCAAAAAAAAAAAAAAAAAAAAGACTCCTTACATCCCATATCCTCTTCTAGCTACTAACCTCTTATCTAGTTCCCTCCTAACAGATTTCCCATTAGAAAAGTTTTCTATCTCACTGTCATCACTGCCTCACCTCCCATTTTATTTCAGCCACATCTAGCAGGCTTTTTTCACCTCTGACTCCACTGAAACCTTGTCCTCTTAACACAAGGTCACCACCAGCTTCTTTCCTGCCATATCCTATAGGCAGTTTACAGTTCAGTTGACCTCACAGATGACTACTCCCTTCCACTTGAAACATTTTCTTCATTTGACTTTTTTGGTACCACTCTCCAGGCTACTTGTTCTCAATCTACTTGCTGCCTCCTCTTCCTTCTCTGAATAGAGTGCCCTGGGCCTCAGTCTCTTTCTCCTCTGGCTCCCTTCATTCTATGAAACTCATTCGCTAAAGGGAGGGAATCAGCAAACTTTCTGTAAAGGACCAGACAGTCGATATCTTATGCACTGCGAGCCATATGACTTCTGTCTCAACTACTCAACTCTGCCATAGACAACACATAAATAATTAAGTATGGCTACGTTTCAATAAAACTTTATTTACAAAAACAGGTAGTAGGTCAGATCAGCCCTAAGTGATCTCATCCAGTCAGTTGATTGGCTGGACACCCAAGTTAATATAACTCATCCTACCATCTCTGTTCAACATCTCGATCTTGATGACAAGTAGGCATTTTAAATATATATACCTAAATCAGGACTCTATTTCCATCTTCCAAGCTATCTTTCCCATATGTCCATCTCAGCAAATTATATACACTTAGCTGCTTGTTCACCTATGATTTCTTGTTCACTCATACCCCATGGCATGTCTGTTAGCTCTACTTTCAAATCATAAGATGAATACAGCATCTTCTTACCACCCCTCACCACTACCATCCCAATCCAAGCTACCTTCACTGCTAATCTAGACTTCTGAAATAGCCTGATAACTGATCTTCCTACTTCCAATCTTGCCCCTGTTTAGTATATTCTTCACAGAGCATCTACAGTGATCATTTAAAAACATATTTTTGATTATGGCTTTCAATCACTCTTGGAAAAGAAAAATCCAAATTTCTTACTATGATAAACAGAACCATATAAGACCTGGCCCCTGCTCAGCTCTAAATTCATATTTAGTTACTCTTCCCCACTCTGAATCTGCTCTGAGCTTTTCCAGTTCTTCAAACACACAAAGCTCACTTCTCTGCTGTGCTTGGAATTATTTTCTTCCAGATATTCACATGGCCTAAGCCTATACTGCACATCTCTGCACATATATTCTCTCTTCGAAGAGCCTTCCCTGGGCAGCCCACCTCAATTAAACCTGCCCAAACTCTATCTCTTTACCCTTCATAGGTTTCTTTCATAGCATGCATCATTATTTAATATTATATATTCATTTGTTTACAGTTTACTATGTATCTCTGCTACTACAATGTTAATTCCATTAGTGTAGGGAGGTTTTGGCCTTATTCACCAAGGCACTGATAACACTTGGCACAGAGTGAGCACTCGGTAAATATATGCTGAATATGTGAAAGACTGAACTTTTAGGCATTAGAAACAAGCACACATGTCAATGGAGAAAAGATAGGAAGCAATTGATTGCACTAGGAAAGAGCATTCCCTTTACTGAAATGGAGAGTAATACGAGGGGAAACAAAAACAAAGACAGGTGGTAAGTAGGAGCCAAGATGAGGTTCTTTTGATAGTTCATGCTCAGATGATCTGTTTTCTTCCCTGTCTTAACCTTTACTCCAAAGGCCTGAGGCCTCTGAGAGTAACTCCCTAAACAGCATGCAAAGCCTGTATATGCTCCCTCACCAGCTGGCCGTGACTGGCAATGAGGGCTTCCATCTGCCTGATGAACTCTCAACTCACCGGGGCACTGTCTTCCTGTCACATCCCTCGCCACCACGCAGGGCTCTTTCCCTTGCTCCAGTAAGGTAATCACATCTGGCTTTGAGCCAGAATATCCTGCTTACAAGAAAGAAATAAAAGAATATATAGAAATAAAACATTGCACATTCAGAAACATTTTGAGACTTGGTTAAATTTATATGGATCAACATGATTTCGATGAAGACTTCGGAAAAAACTGACAGGATTAAAGAATATTCAACTTAGTGTAACCTCAGGATCCCAGAGAATAAAGAAACTTGATGGGCAGGGGAATTAAAATTCATCTAGGAGAATTTTAATTCATTTTGGAATTAAAACTCATACAGACTGGCTCTATTGAGAGGCAGTAGTTATTGAGGGCATAGCCTCTGAAGCCAGACTATGTGGGTCCAAATTCTACTCTACTACCTATTGACTAATGATTGTAAACAAACTGGTTAAATTATTTGGGCCTCAGTTTTTTCATCTGTAAAATGAAAATAAAAGTAGTACCTTTTATTTTCTTTTTTTCTTTTGTATCTTGTAGCTAGTACTTAGAATGATGCCTGGTATATAGTAAGCACTCTATTAGCTATTATTATTTTTGTTGTTGTTAATTTACTTAGAGCAAAACAAGAAGCTTCCTAAAATATTTCTAGGTTCTTGCTAAGATATTCATTTAAAGTTAGATGCTAAGTTAATAAATTTTATTTTACTTTAACTAATTTCAACTTTTATTTTAGATACAGGGCCATACGTGCAGGTTTGTTACCTGGGGATATTGTGTGATGCTGAGGTTTGAGGTACATTTGATCCCACCACCCAGGTACTGAGCATAATGTCCAATAGGTAAAATTTTCAATCACAAATCAGTAAGAGAAAATATTTGTTTTAGGAAGTAGAATGCATTCACTTTAATTTTAAATCAATGTTATTGGTCTGAACCATGACATGTAAATTGTAGACCCTGGGTAGGGCTGTTATCCTTATAGGCATGTTACCAAATAACAGAGCATCCATAGCAATTCTGAGCTCAAATGCAATGTGAAACCTGATTTCATTGACATTGGCTTTGGAGTAAATGCCCCAAAATTCAAATCCAGTCTCTTAACTATTAAGGAAGAAGTAACTACAGTAATGGATTAAGGAACATTTCATGAGGCTCAGTGAGGTATGGTGAAAATGAAAGCATTTAGTGGAAGTGCCATTCACAAACCATCAAAGTTCAGTCCATTCCTTGAGGAAGAGAGAAGAAATTCAGCTAGTTTCTTAATAATTAGTCCTAAATTTGTGGAAGAGAAAGCTACTATTTCAGATAACAGAGTCTACATTATTTGACATAGGTGACCTTACCCAGTGAGACCAAGTTATTATAATTCTCCAACATCACATCTCTGTACAATTTCCTCTGGGTAGTGTCCAGGCACTCCCATTCCTTCTGAGAGAAGTCTATAGCCACATCCCTGAACGTCACCAATGCCTGAAACCATAAACCAACATATTACTGGTGAAATTACAGAACAAGTATTTTAAAAAGAAGAAAAGGAGATAAAAGGTTTCATTGCAGCAAGGGGTACTATACTAAACTCTAGGCTGGGGCTGAAAGCTTATGATAAAGATAGAAGAAAGGAACCAGGTGTTCTAAAGCAGAGTCACCTCATTTTCTTGAAGAATCCAGCCACTATATGCAAAATTTCCTGTATATTATGGGGTTCTTTAACTACTCAAAACATTTCTGGGAACAAATAAATGTTTCCCAATTCAATTAAACAGTGGATACAAGCAAATAAACTATATTTCTACCTCAAAAATTCTCAATAAATTATTACTTAATAATAAATACTTTAAGAAAAACCACTTAATACATAAAAAAGAATCCTATATCCTCTTTTTCCTTTAAGTTTATCTATCTATCTATCTATCTATCGATCAATCGATTGATCAATCGAGACGGAGATCTCACTCTGTTGCCCACGCTGGAGTACAGTGGTGAACTCAGAAGTTCGAGGCCATAGTACCTCACTGCAAATCTGGGAGAATACAATTAACTAATATTTATGTATCTGGATGATTTTCTTATAAGTACTACACACCTTCTTTTTTCTTGAGATTAAGAATATTGATGTAATGAACCAGAATCATACTGATGTCAAGACTAGCACATTCCGTTTAACCACAAAATGCGTCTTACTATGGGTTTTCACCTCAGAGATTCTCAGGAAAGATCCCCTGGCCTCTCTATAAGCAGGCCCCAACCACATACTGAAACTGAGGCCAATCAATATTAAACTGCATTTATCTACAGACACAGGATCTGTGGAAAACTGCAGTGCTTTCCTACGTGTAGTCAAATGATTCCATTCTTGGTTTCATTACACCTCAGATCTGACAAAGGATGGTAAAGTACCTCCCCCTCTAGGAACTTCATGTCTGTTCCATCTCTGCCCTAGACAGAGACTGAGTACCCTGAATGAGTTGGTCAATGTGCATGTGGATACTGGTTAGAAAAGAGAGGGGGCCCATGGGAGGAGCTTGGAAATGTGGGGATGAAGAAAAAATTCTTAGGAAGTGTCAGCATAAAGAGTGAAAATGTTCACATGATCTTTAAAAACAAAATAATCTAAAAAGGAAAGAGAAACTGTGACTTACATGGGCCATGGTTTTACACTCACAAGAACTGCTCAGTCTTCCGCAGGATTATTCTGCTGGAGAAGCAAAGTTCTGAGAAGCCTGAGTTAGAGGAGAAAAAAATGAGACAGTGAGACTAGGTCTGCCTCAGAGGTAACAATATGATATAAATTAATAATCTTTTATTTTCCACTGTTGCTTGCAAATACCTCCCCTACACTTCCCTCACCTCCCTCCGACACACTCACCACAGCAAGGGAACCTGGCTGTACGAGGATGGACACAGTGCAGAGGTTATCCTGCATTAGAACACATGACCAATATTTCAGCAGGAGAGTTCTGGGCCAATCCCCACTATGAGGATACTGATCTAGGCCCAAGGCTGGGATGTTCAGAATTGCCCAGAGTAGATTCTCTTCCCTCAATTCTCACCATCCAAAGGGGACAGACCACATTATCCAAAGCAGACTGCCTTCATGGCCTTAGGAGCTTCCTGGCCTCCCCAGACTTAAAAACGAAAGATAGAACAGACTAGGAGTTTGCAACCTATGGCCCATGGGCCAAATCTGGCCCGCCCATATGTTTTTGTAAATAAAGCTGGAATGGAACACAGCTATGCTCATGTGTTTACTTCTGACTATGGCTACTTTCAGAAAGCTACCATAGCCAAGTTGAGTAGTTGCAATGGAGATTGTATGGGCCACACAGCCTAAAATACTTCCTATTTGGTCCTCTATAAAAAACATTTGCTGGCTGGGCGCAGTGGCTCACGCCTATAATCCCAGCACTTTGGGAGGTCAAGGCGGGCAGATCACCTGAGGTCGGGAGTTCAAGACCAGCCTGACCAACATGGAGAAACCCCGTCTCTACTAAAAATACAAAATTAGCTGGATGTGGTGGCGCGTGCCTATAATCCCAGCTACTCAGGAGACTGAGGCAGGAAAATCGCTTGAATCTGGGAGGGGGAGGCTGCGGTGAGCTGAGATCGCCCCATTGCACTCCAGCCTGCGTAACAAGATTGAAACTCCGTCTCAAAAACAAACAAACAAAAAACCAAAGAAACAGTTGCTGATCCCTGGCATAGACAATCCATGATGGCCTTTATCATTGCAAAATTATACTTGCACACTGGGATCCCTTTTCCTAGCCTGAACTGGAACTCCCACAATCCTCAGGGCTCACCACTCCCCATTTCCCTCAATCAGAAGAGTCCCCAGGGTCCCTGCAGGACATCATTCACCCTCCCTTCTCCCTCAGTACCCAAACTAGAGGGAGAAGTAAATTTATGGCCCTGGAAGCAATAAAAAAAAAATCAACTTTTATGTGATGCATACCTTATATATAGCTATTTAATCCTTAGAACAGTTCTACAATGTCATTATTATCTCCACTTCAACATCAGAAAAACAGAAACCTAAATCCACTGTTAATAAACAAGACATCTGAGTTCTGAATCCACAATTCTCCAACTACAAAGCCAGTTCTTTTTCAACTGTGCTCTTGTCACTGATACCCAGAATTTCTTATTACGCCTAATAAAACCCAAGCGTGAATAATGACTTGGGTTTAATGACTAAAAGCTATTAAATGTTGCTACTTATTAAGATAATATACGTTAAAGTGGCAAATAGCATTTTATATTTACAACACGGGAACATTGAATAGACTGATAATAACATGTTAAACTGGAGTAAAATAGATGCCCTCACGCCATGTTATACACTGGTGCCACCTTAAAGAGGGTAAATTAGAAATTTATATTAGCAGAATTTAATAATATGAGCCAGATGTTTCAGTAATCCCACTCCTATGACCCTGTCTAAGGAAAATAATTATATATGTTCACTAGGATATATGCAGACAGGTGCAGATAGACTAATTTTAAAATGGAAAAAGCTAGATACAAACATAAATTAGACTTCAATAAAGAACAGGTTAAATAAATTCTAGTGTATCCATATAATAGAAAATAAAGTAGCCATCAGAAATAATATAGATTGGGAGTCTGCAAACTTTTCCTGCAAAGAACCACATAATAAATATTTCAGGCTTTGTGGGCCAGCTGGAGGATCCCTTGAACCCAGGAGTTCGAGACTGCAGTGAGCTATAACTGCACCACTGCACTCCAGCCTGGGTGAGACAGTGAGAGCCTGTCTCTTTAAAACAAACAAATACAGTATCTGCAAAGTGCAATAAAATGATGCACAATAAAATGAGGTATGCCTACATTATCATTAATGTTGACGCGAATATCTTCAAACAAGAGGGAAGAAAGTGCATTTGTCTATAAAAGGGCAACACAACAGATCCTCGAGGTGATGGAAATGATCTATCTTGACTATCAATGTCAACATCCTGGTTGTCATATTATACTACAGTCCTGCAAGATGTTGTCATTGGAGAAGACTAAGTTGAAGATAACACACAATGTCTCTATTATTTCTTACAACCTCATATGAATCTACAATCATCTCAAATTTAAAAAAAAATTTAAGGAAGTTTTAAGAATTTCATTTTCAAATATTTGCTAGATGAATTAAGTTTTTACCCCCTTCAAATCTTGAAGGCAAATTAATGCTCCAGGTTGTACTGTTCAATAGGAAGACTATTAGCCATATATAGCTGTTTACATTTAGATTTATTAAAATTGAACACAATTTAAAAAATTCGTTCCTCAGTCAAACCAGCCACATTTCAATTTCTCAATAGCCATATGTAGCTAGTGGCTACTATATTGGAGAGCACAGATATAAAAAATGGAACTCAGTTTTGCAGAAATTCCTATTAAAAAGCATTGTTCCAAAGCGTTACACGACTGACACCCTCACTTTACAGGTGAGAAAACTGAAGCCAGGAGATATCACTATAATACAGCGCTGCACACAATCGTGCTCATTCTCACCATATTATGCTCACACACTTCTTTCCCCACATTCACTGCCACAGGCGAACTCTCAATGAATCATTCACTACATTTATATAATTTCATGGGAATCTATTTTAAATTCATGACCATGCAAAGAAAAATCAATTTCTTACAGGTTATAAGATACTCAGTCGCAGGCTGAATCTGATTAAACAGACATCAGTCACCCTCAAAGCTATAATCAAACCATTCCCAAGACCCTTCCGCACACAATACTAAATGCGCCACTAATAGCCTCAAGCATAATCTGACGCACATCACACAGGCATGGCCACTACCCACTCTGCACCCACAGAGGACACTCGGACACGCGCGCGCACAGACCCACACACACACGCACACACACACACATGGCCGCAAAGAATGCGTCACACTTCCGAACCCCGTTGAGCAGCAACCCGGTATCGTGGCCACTGCGTCACGGCCAGAGCTGTCAGAGAGAAATCCAGACCTTACCTGACAGCCTTTTGCAGCTCTTCTAGCCCGGGATGACATTCCCCTGAAGGCACCACGGCAAGACTCAACCTCTTTGTGTGAGATTCTCTGGAATTTCTGGGGCGTTACTTGAGTATAATGAAATAGGGTAGGCTCGGACCATAGTAGGGTAAGTCCCACAGTTCGAGCAAGGGAGCCTCAGGGATCGTTCTGTTCTGGAGCGCCGGACCCGATCTTAGCTGCTGGGCCTGCGCAGACACGATCCGGCCGGTTTCCAGTTGTAGACTACATTTCCCGAAGGCCCCCGCGTCGCTGCGCAACGTCGTACACTTACGCTGTTATGTCTTGACGCACGGAGCTTGTCTGCGCCGGCCAGGTGAGTGGGCGGCCTCACCGGGAACCGCTCGCAGCTTTTGGGTTGCTTCATCGAAAAAGTAGTTCTTGTATGGTGCTGGGAATACCGGTGTCCTGGCTGGGGCTCGGTGCTGACAGGAACGGGACGGTGCTCTGGCTAATTACTTATGGAAGTCGGCCTTGCGCTTGCGGAGGGGTGTCGGCACCGTCACTTTGGTTCTGGCAGTGGCGGGGGTGTGGTGCTGCTAGTTGTGTTCCTCCGCACCGAATTTATGAGTGTGCCCCTGGAGCCCCTGCCGCGGACAAAATCGGCACCATAACTTTGGGATAGGGAGGCTAGAAGGAGGCGGGTGTTACTAGTAGTGTTCCTCCGCCCTGGACGTGTGCGTGTGCGCTTGTGCGGCCGCGGGGTGGGCTCACCTGCCGCCTGTTAATGCTCCTAGCGCTTGGCCCCTCCCGGGCCGCAGTACTCCTCGTGTGACACGGACATCATTAAGCCAGCTGAGAATCGTGCGGTTACAGCTGCTGCAGTTTCTTTGCAGAGTAAGAGGCTCTTTTTGAAGTTTCCCTGATGGTGAGGCTTTACCCCTGGAAGTGTCTTAGGAAGAAGACCACTGTTAAAGATGTCCTATTCTAGCTTGACAGCCCTGTGGGGAAGACTAATCCCTTTCTAGAGGTTGGTGTTATCCTAAATTGTTTCGTCTGCTCCGAGAGCTCTGATGTTCTATGATGCTTATTTCTTTTCTCGGTTCTGCGTTTTCCAAGAGAGGCACCCAGAGGAAAAGAATATCGCACTTCTGAAAGTCTTGTGTGAAGTTCCTGTTTTCTTTCTAACCTCAAATTTCTTCCTTTCCGAAACGTTTTCTACCTCCAGCAACATCTTCCTAAGGAAGAACCAGCCATGCTAGTGACTGGTCCTTAGGCACCCCATAAATGATGCTGCGGGGATGGGATCATCAGTTTAGCTCTACTCCCCAGCCACACTACACCTCTCCTTTCCACCCAATGATACAGCAGTCCTTTCTGGTCTAAGATTTTTTTGTTTGTTTGTTTGCTTTTTGAGACGGATTCTCGCTGTGTCGCCCTGGCTGGAGTGCGGTGGTGCGGTCTCGGCTCACTGCAAGCTCCGCCTTCCGGGTTCACGCCATTCTCCTGCCTAAGCCTCCCGAGTAGCTGGGACTACAGGCGCCCGCCACCATGCCCGGCTAATTTTTTGTGTTTTTAGTAGAGACGAGGTTTCACCGTGTTAGCCAGGATGGTCTCGATCTCCTGACCTCGTGATCCACCCGCCTGGGCCTCCCAGAGTGCTGGGATTACAGGCGTGAGCCACCGCGCCTGGCCTGGTCTAAGGTTTTGATGAAAAATAACTGTACTTTCTGGGGGAAATTTGAAGAGTTTTAAAATTTTAACTTTATTGTGGATGTTTTCAAGCAGGCTAAAGAATAATACGAACCCCAACATGTTCAACACCTAGCTGTAATTAAAAACATTTGTAAATACCTTTGTATCAATCCTTCCCCGTTTTTTCCTATAGTATTTCAAAATTGTATTTTATCCTCTTATAAGCATATATTACCAAAAAGGACATTATATTTTAAAATAACCATGATGCTGTTATACCAACATAAAAAAAAAAACTAACAATAAGTTTAAAACAATAAATTTGTTTCTTATGTTGGTGTAACAGCGTGGTGGTTATTTCATAATCTTGTATACCCCCATATTCAGATTTTCCCAATTATTTCAAAGACATATTTTTACAATAGGTGTGTTCAAATCTGGATCCAGATAGAGTCCACACATTGCATTTGGTGGCCAAACCTGTTAAACTTACTTAATGCATGATAGTTTCCCTCCTGTGTTTTGTTTTGGTTTAATTGGTGCTGTTGATTTGTAGAAAAACTAGATCATCTGTCCCGTAGAATATTCTGTATACTGCTTTTAGCTAATTGCTTCTTTGTACTGTCTTATAATTTGTTTTCCGTTCCTTCATATTTCTGTAAACAGGCAGTTAGATCTAGAGGTTTGATGGAATTTGGATCAGATTTTCCCTAAATCACCTTTAATTCATAGTTGGTGCTGTGTACTTCCTATTACATCACATCATGAGGCCCTTACAGTCTGATGTCCCACTTTCAGTGATGTCATATTGATGTGTTTAAATGCTGTCCATTTAATCCTTTCCTTTTTTTCACCTAAAGCATGCATTCTCAATGAGGGTGGAGGATATCACCTTCCAAGTGGGTGAAACTTGGTTTTTGAGAAGGAAGAGGACAAAAACTCATAGGTATTACAATGATCTGTGGTCCTCCAAAGGGCCACAGTACATAAACATATATACAGTATATCTATGGTAATAAAATTTCATGAGAGTGGTGGCTATTAGAGAAAAGTATCTAAAAAGGTTCCTAGGGATATGACCGTGAAAAATTTTAGAAGGATTGAGAAGCACTGACCTAAAGGTTATAACGTCCACTTATGATTGATACCAAGATCCATTCTTTATTTTTTTTTCCTCACTCTGTCGCCCAGGCTGGAGTGTAGTGGTGTGATCTCAGCTCACTGCAGCATCCACCTCCCAGGTTCAAAAGGTTCTTCTGCCTCAACCTCCCGAGTAGCTGGGATTACAGGCATGTGCCACCACACCTGGCTAATTTTTGTATTTTTAGTAGAGACGGGGTTTCACCATGTTGCCCAGGCTGGTCTGCAACTCCTGACCTCGAGTAATCCACCCACCTCAGCTTCCCAAAGTGCTGGGATTACAAGTGTGAGGCACCGCGCCTGGCCCATTCATTAACAGTTATATATGGTGATTAAAAAAAAATTCTCTCAATTCCTCCTGTATTCATTAGTTACAGTTCTTCTATATATAAGAACTTTTTTTCATCAAGTATTTGGTTATCTTAAAATACGGTTCATGGCCATGTGTGGTGGCTCACGCCTGTAATCCCAACACTTTGGGAGGCCGAGGCAGGCGAATCACCTGAGGTCGGGAGTTTGAGGCCAGCCTGACCAACATGGAGAAACCCCGTCTCTACTAAAAATACAAAATTAGCTGGGCATGGTGGCACATTCCTGTAATCCCAGCTACTCGGGAGGCTGAGGCAGGAGAATCATTTGAACCCGGGAGGCCGAGGTTGTGGTGAGCCGAGATTGCGCCATTGCACTACAGCCTGGGCAACAAGAGTGAAACTCCATCTCAAGATAAATAAATACAGTTCATATGGAAAGGCAGAGTAATTGATTTGATTCTTTCCCTTTATATATTTTCAGAGAAATGAGTTGGTGCCCTACAACCTTCTAAGGAGTCCCAAAAGGGAGTGTCTGTTTTGAATACCATATGTTTCGAACTATTGTGATCATTATTCTTTTTTATATCAAACTGCTCTTTTTTAAGCCAGTGGTAGTCCTTTCCAGGCAGTTCTGTGTCTTTCTGTCATGATTCTAGTAGAGTTGATAGCTTATTTGCTTTCTGGCAGAACAAATGATCCCAAGATCAACTTCTACATTTCCTGTGCCAGCCCTGAAATGAGCCATTTCTCTAAGGAGTTCTGATTCCTCTTGTGGTATACAGTGTACAGTGACCACTGTCTGGGCATTAGAGTTTCTCATTGCCATAAGGCTGTCGTTTATTCTAGGCCATTTCAGGGAACAAAGCTAATAACTTGTTTTTAAAGTATAAATCATGAATCATGAATTTATAATAATAGTTCAGACAAATTACAGAGTATTTTCTTGTTTGATTTTATACTTGTATCTCTGTTTTATGCTAACAATCTTGGTTGCTAAAACATTAATATAATTTACGTTCTTTATTCTAAAATATAATTGTTTGAAAACAACAGTAACTGTCACTACTGTTAAGATAGAGAATGCATTTTAGATTTCTTTTGGTTTTTATGTTTTGCTATATTTAAGGTTCATGGATTACATTTGGTTATGCCTCTTTAGTCTCTTAATTAAAAATCAGTACTCACATAGCATTGGTTTTTTAAAATTTTTATTTTGATATAATATTACACTTACAGAGAAGTTGCAAAAATAATAGAAAAAACTGTCCTATGTCCTTACATATTTACCAGTTTTTAACATTTTGCTTTTTTGTTTGCTAATTCTCTCTACATATATACTTCTGAACTACCTGATAGTAATTTTCAGACATCATTTTCCTTTATCTATAATTATATTAGTGTATTTTCTGAGCACAGGGGACTATAACTATAGTTCATTTATTAAAATGAAATGTAGCAGAGATGTAATAATTGTCTAATCCAGAGTTCATAGAAAAATTTCACCAATTGTTACAATTTTGTCCTTATAGCTTTTTTTTTCTTCTTCTTTTTTTTGAAACGGAGCCTCACTCTGTCCCCCAGGCTGGAGTGCGGTGGCGAGATCTTGGCTCACTGCAAGCTCCGCCTCCTGGGTTCACGCCGTTCTCCTGCCTCAGCCTCCCAAGTAGCTGGGACTACAGGTGCCCACCACCACGCCCAGCTAATTTTTTTTTATTTTTATTTTTTTTTACTAGAGACAGGGTTTCACTGTGTTAGCCAGGATGGTCTTGATCTCCTGACCTCGTGATCCACCCGCCTTGGCCTCCTGAAGTGCTGGGATTACAGGCATGAGCCACCGCATGCCCAGCTCCTTATAGCCTTTTTTTGCCCCTTATCTGGCGTCCAATCCAAAATCATATCTAGGATCAAACATTTAATTTAATTAAATCATCTCTTTAGTCTCTTTTAATGGAAAACAATTCCTGGACTTTTCTTTGATCCTTTGTGATCCTGACTTTTTTGAAAACTACAGGCCTGTTATTTTGTAGATTGTTCCTCAGTTTGTATGTGTTTGATGTTTCCTCATGATTCAATTCAAGTGTGCTTTTTTTTTTTTTTTTTTTTTTTGAGATGGAGTCTTGCTCTGTTGCCCAGGCTGGAGTGCAGTGGCGCGATCTTGGCTCACTGTAACCTCCAACTCCCGGGTTCAAGCAATTCTTTGCCTCAGCCTCCCAAGTAGCTGGGATTACAGATGCCCGCCACCACGCCT
The DNA here is from genome assembly GCF_000001405.40 of Homo sapiens. Classification (NCBI taxonomy): domain Eukaryota; kingdom Metazoa; phylum Chordata; class Mammalia; order Primates; family Hominidae; genus Homo; species Homo sapiens. The sequence goes on along the minus strand of NC_000019.10, from coordinate 37,589,722 downwards.
GGCTAATTTTTGCATTTTTTTGTAGGAATACTGCTTCAGTTCATTGGCCAGCACCTTCAGTTAGTTGCTTTTTGTATTATGTCCAGATCTGATAGGTGTATCTTCAAGGAACTTAGTCCAGTAGGATCTTAATGATATTGGATTCAGAAGTCTTCTCAATTTCGTTTCAATTTGAATTTCTCTTTATTTAAATGATGAGCATTTTACATGTTGAATGACCGTTGACTTTTTTTTTATGAATTGTCTGTTGTCCATTTAAAATAATGATTTTTTTGTCTTTCTCTTGTTTTCCCTCGATTTTTAAAATACAGCTCTTTGGATTTTAGGACTCTGTTTTTTATTTAAGTTGCGCATATTTTCTCCCATTTTGTCATTTGTCTGTGTATTCTTTTAGGCAATTTTTAAATGTAGGAACATTTATTCATATGATTGTGAGATACAGAATTTTCCCCTCTGAAGTTAAGAAGGAACAGTCTGTTTTTCCTTCTAGCATTTTTGTGATTTTTTTTTTTTTTTTTTTTTGAGACGGAGTTTGGCTCTTGTCGCCCAGGCTGAAGTGCAGTGGCATGATCTCGGCTCACTGCAACCTCCGCCTACTGGGTTCAAACGATTCTCCTGCCTTAGCCTCCCAAGTAGCTGGGATCACAAGCACCCGCCACCACACCCAGCTAATTTTTGTATTTTTAGTAGAGATGGGGTTTTACCACATTGGCCAGGCTGACGGTGAACTGCTGACCTCAGGTGATCCACCTGCCTCAGCCTCCCAAAGTGCTGGGATTACAGGCATGAGCCACCACTCCCTGCCAATTTCATTTTTTAATATTTAGATATCTTATATATTTGGAGTTAATTTGGGTATGTGTTATAAAATGGGGTTCCAATTTTACCTTTCTCCAATAACATTTACTGAATAATCCACCTTTCCCCAGAGATCAGAGATTCTATTCAGTTACATTAATCTTTTCTTTCTATTCATATGCAGTATCCAACTTTTTAAAAATAAAATTTCAACTTTTATTTTAGATTCAGGGGGTACATGTTCAGGTTTGTTATATGGCATATTGTGTGATGCCGAGGTTTGGGGTATGATCCAGTCACCCAGGTAGTGAGCAGGATACCTGATAGGTAGGTAGGTTTGCTCCTTTGCCCTCCTCCTTCTCTCCGTGCTCTAGTAGTTGCCAGTGTCCATGTTCTCATCTTTATGTTCAGGTGTACCCAGTGCTTAGCTTCCAGTTATAAAGGACAACATGTGGTATTTGGTTTTGTTTCTGTGTTAATTCATTTAGGATAATGGCCTCTAGCCACATCTGTGTTGCTGCAGAGGATATGATTTTGTTCCTTTTTACAGTATCCAACATTTTAATGATAGGAGTGGTATTTTGAAATCTCTGTTCTCTTTATTATCAGGCATTTTTTTCCAATTCTTGCTTTTTAATTTTCTTGCTTGTTGAATTTAAATTGAATGTATCTGCTTTCATACTTGTACTTTTATTGGGGTCATATTTAATTTGTATATCATATGTCAAATATCCTATTAACTTGCAGAGGTTAACATCTTTATATCATTTTATATATATTATTTTAACCCATGGGATTTTTTTTTTTTTTTTTTTTTTTTTTTTTGAGATGGAGTCTCGCTCTGTCACCCAGGCTGGAGTGCAGTGGCGCAATCTTGGGTCACTGCAACCTCCACCTCCCGCGTACAAGTGATTCTTCTGCCTTAGCCTCCCAAGTAGCTGGGACTACAGGCATGTGCCACCATGCCTGGCTAATTTTTGTATTTTTTAGTAGCCATGTTGGCCAGGCTGGTCTTGAACTCCTGACCTCAAGTGATCTGCCTGCCTCGGCCTCCCTGGGACTACAGGCGTGAGCCACTGCGTGCAGCCAACCCATGTATTCTTAATGACGATGATATTGCCTCAAAGGAGGTGAAAATTGGTTAGCGGGGAGGACAAAATCTTAGTACAATGGCTTATGGTGCTTCAAAGCTCAACTATACCCAACAAAATCTTACTTAAATTATTTACCTGCTCTCTTACTGGGTTTTCTTGGTATCACACAAGTAACATTGATGTTAAGTTCATGGATTATACATGTATGCAAGATCAATGCTACCAAAAAAAAAAAAAAGATCAGTGCTACACAACTATGGCAAGTAGGTGGCTCTAGTTGGGGAACTTGCTCAATCTTGAAGTCATATTGCAAGAGGGGGCGTGCTGTGCGCACATTGGCTGTCATGTGGATGTTGCTCCTGTTTGACCCTCCGTGCTTCTGTGTGTGCCATGGCTTGGAGAATTAGGTTACAGTTAAAATAGTTTGTTTTGTTATTCTACAAAAGTTATTCAACCTGTGAAATAAAAAAACAAATCCAGACTTTGGTAAGGAATGACTTTATTCACAGGAACACTGCAGTAAGGGAGGAGGTGTTGTAATTGGGAGAATACTCCAGCCATAAGATCTGCAAGCATAGCAAAGGTCAGGCATAAAGGAATTTTCTTTTATAGGGAAGAGTAAACAGGCAAGAAAGAACTAGATTCAGGGGAGTGGGATGAGACTGTTTTGGATCTGTTGACCCTGATATGTCTGTCAAAATGTCTGTGAGTCTAGCTGATGTTCATGACGTCTGAAAGAAGGCCACATTTTGGTCTCTGAAGCCCCTTCCTAAGATTGGGAGCAAAGTACCTGACTTAGTGTTTGGGTCCAGGAGGATGGTGGGGGGCTCCCTGGGCATGCCTCTGTTCTACTGTGGAAGAGGAGATGCCATGGGAAAGTAACAGCACCTAGGGTCCTGTTCAACATGGACATTAAGGAAAGGTCTGCCTGAACCCCTTCTGCAGTAGCTGGCTTCCATTGGGTTTGTGGAAGAACTGAGATTTTTTCCAAATTCCCAAAAGAGGAGAAGTAAAGGTAGTTCTAAGTAGTTTATTTTGTGGGCTGTGAGCCAAGTCTAATCTTGTGGCTTCTTTTCCTTGTCCAGCACTGGCTTCTCTGGACTTTGCACACCTCCAGGAGAAGAACCCAGAAAATTGATCAGTTCTAAAAAACCATGCCCCACGTGAGTTGCTGTTTCTTTCCTTCTTGAAGTACAATCATTTTGTTGTGTAATGTGAACACCAGATTTATCCCAGAATTTCCTGCCTTGTTTGGTTCCTTAAGGGAACTGCTTCCAAACGTCTCCCATTCTAGCGAGTAATAGTAGCAAAGAGCCCAATTCTTCTCAATGCTTTTCCCCTCTCCAAACAGTTTTCAGATATTCATTCAGCAGATAATTCTACATTGTCCACAGGCATAGTCTTCTGCCCAGAGCTCTGAGGGAACAGAAATACCTCCTTTTAAGATTGGTACACATTAGTACCACGGTTTGGTGAGGTAGAGATGAGTGTTTAAATGTGATACATGACAAAATTTGATCTTCTCTACAATCCTGGGTTTTCCATTTGAAAGTGATAGCATTTTTTTGTTGGATGTTCCTAGTCTCAGTGTGTGGCAAGATTTTCTGTGAAAGTTTGAAAATTGGTTGGGAATTGGGTTCTATGAAGGAAGGAGTCTTGTTGCTGATATAGTTTCCTGTTGCTGCCGTTACTAATAACCACTAATTTAGTGGCTTAAATCAATATAATTATGATTTATACCTCTGCTGGTCAGAAGTCTGAAATCAGTCTGAAAGGGCTAATATCATAGTATTAGCAGAGCCATGTTCCTTCTGGAGGTTCTAGAGGACTGGAGAATCTGTTTCCTTGTCCTTTTCTGGTTCTAAAGGCTGTCCACGATCCCTGGGGTGTGGCTTCCATCCATTTTCAAAGCCAGCAATCACATTTTGACTTGTGCTTTCATCATCACGTTTCCTTTTTTTACTCACCTGCCTCCCTCTATCACTTACAAATACATTGGGCCCAACCAGATAATCCAGGATAACCCCCTCTCAAGATCCTTAATTTAATTGCACTTCTAAAGTCCCCTTTGCCATGTAAGGTAAGGTATACATAGGTTTTGTAACGAAATTCAGGTCCAGACCACTTGTCACTTGAAAGTTTAAGAGATGAGCATTGGTGAAAGGATGGTTAGCTCTATTCAGGAATCCAACAACCCAGGGGAGGCAGTGAACTAGTGTTCAAAGACCGCCGAGTTCTGTCTCCATATCAGGGGTTTTTAAGGGAAATTAGAAAAAATGATGATCAAAACATTCTTGTGAAATGTGCAGTCTCAGGTCATTGCTTTGTTGGTCATTGCTTTCTTGGTCAGTGTTTTGTGGCCTTCTGTAGGTGCCATCAGCCTATTCTTATCAGGCTGGTCAGCCCATTCCCAGAGTTGTTAGTCTGCATATTTTAATTCTCTTATCTCTGTTGAAGGTCCTGTTTTCCTGAGACTGTTCTTACTGAATAATCTACAAAGTCAAGCAAAGTAATTATATTTAAGCAAGCAAGCTTTTCTTTATCATTGAGTCAGTACTGTTACTGTTTCAGGGATTAGGTTGTGGACATGTTTGGGGGGCCTTTATTCTGCCTTCTACAACCCTCTTGCCCAGGAACCAATGAGAGAGGATGATCATAGTCAAGTTCACCTTGGGATTTCCCGGAATGTACCAGTTCAGAGTGATGTCTCTGTGTGCCTGGACTGGCATCCAGTACCTTGCTATAGCCTAGGAACGTGGAAAATAGGAGCAAATAAAACATGCCAGATGCATACTCTCAAGAATTATAGATTCTAAGAGCTCAAAGACATTAGAGAATTTGTCTAATTCCTTTTTTTTTTTTTTTTTGAGACGGAGTCTCGCTCTGTGGCCCAGGCGGGAGTGCAGTGGCGCAATCTCGGCTCACTGCAAGCTCCGCCTCCAGGGTTCACGCCATTCTCCTGCCTCAGCCTCCCGAGTAGCTGGGACTACAGGTGCCCACCATCACGCCCGGCTAATTTTTTTTGTATTTTTAGTAGAGACGGGGTTTCACCGTGTTAGCCAGGATGGTCTCGATCTCCTGACCTCGTGATCCGCCCGCCTCGGCCTCCCAAAGTGCTGGGATTACAAGCGTGAGCCACCGCGCCCGGCCGAGAATTTGTCTAATTCAGATACTCCCAAATAAGCAGATCATTTTGTATGTAAAATGGAAATATGTCCATTCTGTTCTGTGACATAATATAACTTGATGAATCTGAGTCTTCAAAAAATTCTTAGGTTATATTCAAATTTTATTTTCTAACCTAGAGATTTGGTAAACATTGTTTGGAAAAAAATTCATCTTTTTAAAAGTATTTAAAGGCAGAAGGGAGAGCAAGAACTTGTATTAATTGAGAGTATATTAGTTATTGAGGATTTGGAAGCCTTATCTGCTGTGCAATTAAAACCTGTTGTGAAGAAAACGCTTGCAGTATTTTCTTTAATCAAGAAACTGCACACATCTGGCTTTTTAAATTCTCAGACCTTTCTGGATAATGGAATTGTTCTATTGTACAGAGGAAGTTTTATCTGTGGCAATAGGAATGATAGAGAATCAGGTTAATACTACTGTTTAGGCAACCAATTTCCTGTTGTTTTGTGTTACTTGCTTCCTTCAATTACCTCCTCCATTTTCTTCTCATTTCACTTCAGAATCATTCCTGTAGAATCATCCTGTAATGGATTTGTTGTTTCAGTTGTTGGTGACTTTCAGGGATGTGGCCATTGACTTCTCTCAGGAGGAATGGGAATGCCTGGACCCTGCTCAGAGGGACTTGTACAGGGATGTGATGTTGGAGAACTACAGCAACCTGATCTCATTGGGTAAGATCATCCTACGTAATATTCAGAATTTGTTCCCCATAATTTCTGCCTCATTCATTGTGAATTTCTGATCTCCATTCCCTAAGGAAAGGCTTACGTTTGAGTAGAAGTAGAAATGGACAGCTCCACCGTGTACCTTTTTATCTCTTATCCTTTAGACTGTCACATCTTTCTCTGTCACTTCCTGTCAGTGTCTCCCTTCTTTGATGCCAATGGACTAGATTTGAATCTGGGAATCCCCTAGCATGACCATGCACCATTTCCTTTCTTTTAAGCTGTATGTGCAGTCCCTAAGCCAAATATACTTTCCTTACTGGAGCAAGGAAAGGAGCCCTGGATGCTGATGAGAACCATGACATAAAGACAGAGCTCAGGTGAATAAAGGCTGGTCACAGTGTCAGCTATTGCTAATAATACAGCTGATCCGTAGGTGGCAGCACTTTGAGGTGTGTGCCTGAAGCTCTCTTCAAAGGCCTGTGGAAAGAAGGCTTGAGACATAGGGAGAGCAGGAAGGTTATGTGTGTGAGTTCCCCGTGGAACCTCCCTCCCAACTCCCATTTGCCACTCTTCTGTTTTACATTCCCTTTTTGTTTTAATAAGGGAGCTACCTTTGGTCTGATCTCTTTTGGGGACAATGCTTTTATCTATTTTTTGAATTACGTTTTTCCTGGTTGCTCTTTTATAGTTAAACTTGGATAAGTATCTCTAGCCAGCACATACGTACTGAGAGCTTGCTACGTTCATAGGTTAGGAGGACCAGGAATGATAGCTCAGGGGAGGTAACATTTGAATTAAGACCTGAATAAAGTTGGCTGTAAATCAGGGAAAGGTGTGTTCAGGCAGAGGGAAGAGAAGATCCTGAGAGAAACTGAGCTTCACTTGTTTGAGAATCAGCAAGAAGGCCAGTGTGGCTACTGAAAGTGGAAATTTGAGGTGAGGTTAGAGAAATAGGCAGAGGTCAAATCATGTAGGACCTTGTTGGTTGTTGCAAGCAGTGAGATTTTATTCTAAGTGTGATAGGGAGCCCCTGGCTGACTTTTTGCAGACAAGTAAAGGATCTTTGTTTAGAGGTCACTGAGTGCTATGTGAACAGTGAGGATAAAAATGAAAGCAGGAAGACTAATGAGAGGACTAGTTCAGAAGTTCACACTAGAGATAACAGTGGCTTGGAATTGGGTTTAATATGTGGAGGTGATGAGAACAGGCTATATTTTGAAGGTAGAATTAATACCTTCATAATGGAGTTATTTTGAAGATTGGCAATAGAGGCATCAGGGTTTGGAAGGCTGGAGAAGGAAGTCAAGAGTTACGTATTTGATATGCTCATTAGATATCTGTGTGGTGAAGTTAGATAAGCATTTGGAAGCCTGTGGGTGGAGGGGATAGTCAGGACTGAAGAGATAAATATGGGATTACTCTCTGTACCGAGGAACTGAATGAGATTATGGAGCGAATTGGTTTAGACGGAAGGCAAGGTACAGCTCAAGGACTGAACCATGGGGTGTTCCAACATTCAGTCAGGAAAACAATCTAGCAAAGGAAATTGAGGACTAACCTGAGTAACCTGTGACCTAGGAAGAGGGAATGCAGTGTATTGGAAGCCAACTGACAAAAGGAGGAAGCAGTTAGCTGAGAGAGATAATGCTAGGAGTTCAAGTAAGAGGAACGCTGAAAATTGGCTATTGGATTTGGCAGGATGAAGGGTGTTGGTGACCCTGACAAGGTGGGTTTGGCAATGAGAGGAACAAAAACCTCATTGTGGAGTATTTAAAAGAGAGTGAGAAAGAAGTAAGTCAACAATAAAAACTAGAGTGGGACAGTGAATTAACTCACCAGGCACTGTTGAAGGCCCATTTGAGGAACCCTCAAAGTTACAAATAGAGTTTACAATATTTTAGAAGGTTTTAAGAACACTGTAATAATTAGGGGAAAGAAGTGTGATTAGAGTTTATATATGCAGTATTATTTCAACTACATAAAAATCCATGGAACAAATTTAGGAAGGAAATATGGCAAAATGTTAATTATGGTGGTAGGAGAGAAAGAAAAGCAAAAGGTATAGACAGGAAGCATGCATACCTCTTGAGAAGTTTTGCCATTCTCCTGGTTCACCCTGCAGCTCCTGTCCACTGCAGGGTGAACCACAGAATCAGGAGAGGTTTTTGTTTTTTGTTTTTTTTTCACAGGAGAATCTTTAAAATGGTGGTAGGCTGGGCACAATGGCTCAAGCCTGTAATCCCAGTACTTTGGGAGGCTGAGGTGGGTGAATTGCTTGAGCCCAGGAATTCAGGACCAGCCTGGGCAACATAGCAAAACCCCATCTCTACTTAAAATAAAAATTAGCAGGGCATTATGTCACATGCCTGTGGTCCTAGCTACTTGGGAGACTGAGTTGGGAGGATCATTTGAGCCCCGAGGTCGAGGTTGCAGTGAACCATGATCACGCCACTGCATTTCAGCCTGGGCGACAGAGCAAGACCATGTCTCCAAAAAAAAAAAAAAAAGAAAGAAAGAAAGAAATGGAGATAAAATGCTGGAGGGGTGGTATAAAGGTAAATGATCTGGTAACTTCAGTGGTGGTGGTCAAAAAGGACGGTTGCTTGAAAGTGTGCTTTAAGACGTGTTGCTGTTATTGGTAATAACATCCTTTGACATTATGTATTATTATGTTAGTACAAGTTGTGCTAATCATTATTAAAAAGAGACTAATCTATTATGGATTTGGCAATTGGGGGTAGGAAACATGATGTTTGGGAATGAAATGATTAGAATATAAATAAATTGTCCTATTATTGTAGGAATAGTGAAAGATGTGAATAAATTTTAGCTTGTCTTTTTCCCAAGGGGGTCTCACGTTTTAAGGCTTCAGTGTTCTTTGGTGATGGATTTTAAGAATAGGCATATTTCAAAAATTTCAATTGAAGTAAATAATGCTAGAATTATTGAAAAAAATTATGTGGATGTTTCTAGTTTTGGTATTTAAACATAGATGCTGGTCACTTTTCAAAGTGTTATAGTGGAACTAATTCAAGTGTAATAGGTGTCTTAGTTCATACTGTGTTACTATAAAGGATACCTGAGGCTGGGTAATTTATACAGACAAGAGGTTTATTTGGCTCGTGGTTCTGCAGGTTGTACAAGAAGCATGGCACCTATGTCTGTTTGGCTTCTGGTGAGGACCTCAGGCTGCTTCCATTCATGATGGAAGGTGAAGGGGAGCCAGTGTGTGCAGAGATCACATGGTGAGAGGGGAAAGGTGACAGGCTTTTTTAAAAACCAGCTCCCTTGAGAACTAGTAGAGCGAGAGCTCAGTCACCCTTGAGGGAGGGCATTAATCTGTTCTCGGGGACCAGCCCCCATGACCCAAGCACCTCCCACTAAACCCCATCCCCCAAGACGCCATACTGGGGACTAAATTTCAACATGAGATTTGGTGGGTACAAACCACATCCAAACCATAGCAGATGGTATTTCATGTTGTATATCCATCAGTGTAGTTATTGTCATGGCATGCCTGATAAATCAAGAAAATGTTGTGGAAAGAAAGTCAAGCTAACACCTACAAATACAAAATGGATTTTGGCTCAGGTTGAGTGTATAACCTGAAAATATGGGAATCAGTGAATAAATCCTGTGATGGTGAAGACTGCAGCTATTGATAGAACATGTTAGAAATGTGCTGTAGCACAGTATATATCATGAGGATTGATGTCTGCTGATGAGTTAGAACAGTTCCTGTTAGGCCTCCAACTGTCAGCAGGAAAATAAAGCCTAAACCTGATAATATAGCTGGAGATCATTTAGTATTACCTCCATGTAGGGTTGCTAGTCAGTTAAATACTTTAACTCCTGTTGGAATAGCAATAATTATAGTAGCTAGTGTAAAATACATTCAGGTATCAATGTCTATCCGTGCTGTAAATATAGCCTCATACGATAAAGCTTATGAGCTAAATTGATATTATGGGTCATATTATTTCTATATAATCAAATGGTTCTTTTTTTTCCAGAATAATAGGTAGCAATATGTGAGATTATTCCAAAACCTGGTAAAATAAGAATGTACACTTTTGGATAGACAAAAATATCAGAATAAATGTTGGCCTAAAATTGGATCTCCTCCTCCAGCTGGATCAAAAAAAGTATATTAAGGTTATGGTCTGTCAGTAGTATGGTGATGCTGGTTGCTAGTACTGGGAGAGAGAGTAATAAAAGCACAGCTGCAATTAATAGTGGTGTCTGGTATTAGATATGGCTGGTGGCTTTATAACTGTAATAAAATTAAAATTAGTAGCTCTGAAAATTGATGAAACACCTGCAAAATGTAATGAGAAAATGGTAAGATCTTCAGAGGCTTCTGCATGTACTAGATCAGGCCATCTTAAGTTATTTTATACGGTGAAAGGTAGGGTCCACTTTCATTCTTCTGCATATGGCTAGCCAGTTATCCCAGCACCATTTATTGAATAGGGAATCCTTTCCCCATTGGTTAAGGGTCACCTGTTTTCCGATGTCACAGTACTGCTGCTTCCTGTAGAAGGGGCTTCCTCCACAGGGCCTGTGTGAATGGGTGTTGTGCTGGTGTCAGCTGGTTGGGTTGGTCTGACCTCAGGCCCTGGGGGAAATGGTCAGGCGCCAGCAGAGTTGGAATGGGGCAAGTAGTTCCCCAGTTCCCCCCAGGCCCCTAGCTGGCCCACTGGACAACCTGTGTGAGACCTGAAGGGGCTGGACTGCAGTCGGGCTAGCCCAGAGTTCAGGTGCTGGCTATGATGTGGGGAGGTGGGACAGGTTGGTTTCCAGGTCACTGGTCGAACTCTCATGCAGGGTCCTACAGAACACTTAGGTGGTGGGAGCCCAAGGGAATATCACGGTATGTGGGGTTTGGATTTTCAGAAGGGCTCTGGGCTGCAGGTGAAATGTTCAGGTGGGGGCAGGGCGGCTGTGCTGTGGGCCTTTCACTGGAGCAGGACTCCTGCAATGGAGACTGACAGCTGCGGAGCACGTGGCGCGCTTGCCCTTCCCTCCCTTCCAAACAATGCCGAACTTCACTGTTTAGGGCATACAGAGGTGCCAAGTGTTATCTGTTACCTCTGGGAGTTCTGCCCCAGAGGAACACAGAACCTCAGGCCACCAGAGTTTAGGCGGAGGTGCGGTTGCTGCAGAGGTGCGGTTGCTGCGCTGGAAGAGCCTTAGCCGCCTCAGAGGAGGTAGGGCAGGGGTTGCATGGTCTGCTATCTGGGAGGTTCCTGGGGGAATGTGGAGCTGTGCCTGCCTGCAGAGTTCAGGTGGGGACAGGGTCGCTGTGCTGGGGAGCTCAGGCGGGGGCAGGGTGAAGCCGAGCCTTTCCTGGCGAGGAGGGGCTGGGCATTCTGACCGCCCCTCAGCACTGTGACTGCGGCTTCCACTGGGGTTATGGCAGCTGGCACCAAGCTGCTCAGGGATCCGGGGCTTGTGGTGCTCCACATGGGCTTGAGCAGTGCCTCTGCAAAAACTCTAGGTGGCTTTCTGTGTTGGTCTAGTGGCCCAGGGATGGGAGTTGGGGGTTCCTCCTGTGCCCAGGATTGCAAAGGGCCATGTGGGAAGTGTGGCTTCCCCAGGGACTCTCACTCTCTCACCGTTTCACCATGTTAGGGAGCTTCTCCCACTCCATGCCAGTCCCAGGAAGGTGGCTGCCTGGCTTGTCTCTCTGTTCTCTGTGAGTTCCCTGGCGTCCGTGGTAAATCCTGACATGGTCTTCTAGACCAGCGCTATCCCAACCTTTTTGGCACCAGGGACTGGTTTCATGGAACACAGTATTTCTGGCCGTGGGGAGTGGGGCGAGAGGGGAAGGGCGGACTGGTTTGGGGATGAAACTGTTCCACCTCAAATCATCAGGCATTAGTTAGATTCTCATAAGGAGCCCGCAACCTAGATCCGTCCTGTGCACACTTTACTATAGGGTTCGAGCTCCTATGAGAATCTCAAGCTGCCGCTGATCTGACCGGAGGCGGAGCTCAGGTGGTGATGCTCACTCGCCCACTGCTCACCTCCTGCTCTGCAGTTCGGTTCCCCACAGGCTGCCAAACAGTACGGTCTGTGGCTCCGGGTTGGGGATCCCTGTTTTAGATGATCCACTTAAAAGAGACAGTATTTACTTCCGACTTTGTTTCCTCTCCCTGAGAGTGGTGCACACTAGCTGCTTCTAGTCAGCCATCTTGAGTGCCCCCCTAGAGTTACATTTAAATTTACATTGATTAAAATTTGAGTAAATTTAAAGTTGAACTGAAATTCTGTTCTGAATAGCCGGCTATCACCAGATTTTCACTTCTACTCATGGATCTTCTCACTATTTTGCTACATATATGAGTTAGTCTGTGGGTAGCTTGTCTGGTTTTGGGGTTTTTAGCTAAAGTTCTCTTTGTAAAATTGTTGTTAATTCATTACATAAAAGGTATAAAGGATTAGCTTTGCTTTTTTTGTCCTTAATATTCTTTCATCTTTGCATTATGATACTTTTTCTGTAGCACCTGAAGAAATTCCCTTCTCCTATACTTTATGTTGTGAGTAAATGTTTTGGTCTAAATAAATATAATTGTTAGGTTCTGTTGATTTGGGGCTAGGTTTGGTTCAAAGTGGTCAAATCAATATGAAACCTTCCAGATGTAGGCTGGTTTTAATAAACACTTTGGTTTATTAAAGCATATAGTATGCTTACTTTGTTATGATTTACCTCATATAAATTTATGTTAATTATAAATTTGGATATATTGAAATATTTGAGGAGGGTGATGAAAGGTTGTGTGCGTACTTCATGGCCCTATTCAATTAAGCTCTCTGTTCTTAATTTACTATGAAATTTTCCTTTCGCCTTAAATTTCATTAAGTTTGTTGTAAATGGAATGTTCTTTAATTAGAAAATATAGCCCATTTATTTCTGTTTTATAAGCTGCACCATGACCTAACGTTTTATGTAAATACTTGTGTTTAGTACCTTTTAAGGTTTTGCAGAAGATGGCGGTGTATAGGCTGAATTAGCAAGAGATAGTGAGGTTTACTGGGGTTTATTGATTACAAAAAAAAAGGGATATAAGCACTGCCAAGTCCTTTGTGTTTTAAGCTGTTGCTGGTAGTACTCTGGTGAATTAACAAAGTTACTCTGGTGAATTAACAAAGTGAATAACTTTGTTAATTTAATTAAGTTTATGGCTAAGCATATTGGGGTATTTCTTCCCAGTTTGGGTCTTTGCTATCATGTATTCAGAATATATTAAATCACTTTCATAGTTTATTTTTATATTAGCTGTAGCTTTTTATGACCTAGTTAAGGTATAACTTTGTTTATAATCTTAAACATGTTTTATGCTGAGTTTTGTTAAAAACATGTTTTATGCTGTTTTGTTAATTTGGGTTAGTCATATGACTGCAAGCATGAAATTTTACAAACCCTAAGGAAAATTAGTATAACTTAGTCAATCTTGTGTTAATTGCTTAATTTTTATCATTGCTGTTTTCTGTGGCTGTATGGTAGAGTAAGGTTTTACGAGCTGCTAATTAGTGTGCTTGAAGCCTGCTCTATTTTATTTTTGTTGATCTAGAGGACATTCTCACTAGAATGCAGATAGTTGCAAGTGTTACTAAAAATGAATAAAGAGGCCAGGACCAAACCTATTTGTTTATAGAGTTATATGAACTCATTTAGGCATTGTCAGTGCCTTGCTTTGTGAATTAAGCTACATTAGCTTATATGTGGAAAATTCTCTCTCAAGAAAAAATGGCTAAGTTTAAATGCTGTGTCATTATTGGTGGATTTTTTAGTAAATTTAGTAAAAAACAAACTTTTAACCCAGAAAGCCTAATTTTTAATTTATTTTTTGGATTTTGATAAATTCTTTAGGAGTTGGGCTAAAACTTAGTTCTAGATGAACTTGTGTGTGTGTGTGTGTGTGTGTATGCATGTATGCCTTACCTGTAGTTAATAAATACAAGATTTCCTGTTTTGAAGTTTGGCAAGAATAAAAGCCTTATATCCACAAATACTACAATAGCTTGAGATTGTGGAGTTAATTAACGGAAATTGTGTGTATATGTTTGTGTCATGTTTTTTACTATGTCCACCGAACATGGAGTAATTAACACTTTATGGTTTCAGTGTAGAGAAAGACTATTCAATTTCAGCTCAGCTACAGTTTGCTTTATTGCATCAAGTCCGTGACAGCCATGTTGGATCACAACATTCCCTAAATTAAAAAATACCAAGTGTGTGACACCATCACAGTGATGTGTGATCATGGACTGGTTAGCCATTAGTCCACCAAGATGTCTTATTAAAGAGGAATGAATGGGCAATCTTAAGTCCGTGACCCTGAAGTAAGAACCAGATGGCAGGCATAGTTTCATCCAAGTTTCATGGGCCCAGAACGAGAAGTGGGACACATCTCAAGCAAGTTGCTGGTTTCTTGAAGCTTAGTACTAAAGAAATCCTGTTGGCGGTAATAAGCTTGTTGTCAAGGATTGATTTGACTGAATGTACTGTGAATAATCAATAATTTCATGTCCTATGTAAAATATAAGGATTTAATGTATTGAACAGTATTTGTATGGTAAATCTGACATATGTGGGTATGCCATTCAATGGGTTAAGCACTGTTTGTAATTTCATGTATATGCTTATATGCATGGGGAGTGGATCTTAATGTATGATTACACATGTATATACAATGTACAATCAAGCATAATAGTACTAGTACATTATTATCAGGAAAAGCACATAATGCATCCATAAAGTAGTTAGATTTTATTTTCTCAGTACTGACATAGCATTTAACAATAATTTTTCTCAAGTAGCAGAGTCAGGTTATAGTTTAAGTGGAACATCAGCTTCAGAACTCTGAGACTTGAGGTTCTAGTTTTGTTATTTGGGGTGTTGTATTGTTAGGTTTGTTCATAGAGTTATTTATAATTATGTGAATAACAGGTTATGAAGTGGAGGTGATTTTTGATTTTGAAAATGTAAAGGATTGGGTAATTTTTGAGGGTGAAGAGTTTGAACGTCTTCAGGAAGTTTCTGTAGGTATAACAGCATTATATAGTTATGAAGGCCGACTCATGGCTGTGGCCAGTTGATCTTTATTTGTTGGTATCTTTATTGTTACTGAGATTACTCTGGGAAATTAGATAGCTAGGAGTATAGCCAGTAAAAGTGAGATAAGGAAGGAGAAGAAAATACTTTCATTAGGAGATGGTTATTGAAACTATCATTTGGAAGTTAGAAATGATTTTTAGAGTGACTTTTTCTAGTCATATCTACTAAAACTGGTGCTATGTTTAGGTTTGTTGAAAAGTTTAGGTATGGTGATAAACCATGAACAACTGTTGGGAAGAAACCTAGAAGGTTGGAAAATTTGTGTATGTATGAGGATTCAAATTTAAGATTTTATGTTATTAGTTGAGTTCTAATGTTATAATGAAACTTAAGGTAGTTAAAGCATGAGCTAAGAGTTTTAGGTAGAGTGGCATAGTCATTTGGGGAATAGTTATGGGAATAATATTTTTGGAGATAAAAAAATTTAGTGAAAATAATACTGATTGCAAGACATTCAATTGAATTAGCTCGGAGGGGGCTGTTTTTGTTGATTTGAGTTAAAGTTGAAAAGCAGGGTTGTCCCAGGACTGGAAAGAAAATAATTTGAGTACTATAGACAGCTCTTAGGGAGGTGACAATAAGCATGATTTAAAGGGCTCAGGTGTTAGCATACGTTGCGGTTTTAATAATTAAATCTTTGGAGTAGAAGCCTTTAAGGAAAGGCATATCTATTAAGTGTAGACTTCTAAAAATGAGTAAAGACATAAAGAGTATAGTTTTAAATAGGCCTCCTAGTTTTCTAGAATATTTTTCATCATTCAGGGTACGAATAATGGATCCAGAGCATAGAAAAAGTATATGTTTCAGGAATACATGTGTACAGATGTGAAGAAATGCTAAATGTGGTTGATTAATGCCACTAGTGACAATTAGGAGACCTAGGTTTGAGGTGGAAAAGGCAATGATTTTTTAAAATGTTATTTTGTGTTAGGGCACAGATTGCTGTGAATAAAGTAGTAATAGCAGCTAAGCAGTTTTGTTATTTTCTTTTTTCTTTTTCTTTCTTTTTTTTTTTTTGAAACAGGATCTCGTTCTGTTGCGCAGACTGGAGTGCAGTGGCACAGTCACGGCTCACTGCAGCCTCACACTCGGGCTGAAGTGATCCTCCCACCTTAGCATCCTGAGTAGCTGGGACTACAGTTGTGCACCACCATGCATGGCGGATTTTTTTTTTTTTTTTTGTAGACACAAGGTCTGTGTCTACTGTGTTGCCCAGGCTGGTCTTGCACTTCTGGGTCCAAGCGATCCTCCTGACTCAGCCTCCCAAAGTCCTAGCATTACAGTTGTGAACCACTGCACCCCACTGTGTTTTATTTTCAATTAGTAGATAAAAGTGTATTAATAAGAAAATTCTTGTTACAGCTATTGTGCTGAAATGAAGTAAGGCTAAAACTAGTGTTGAGCCCTCTGTCACTGATGGCAGTTATGGGTGAAAACCAAATTGGGCAGATTCACCAGTTGCTGCTGCCAGGAGAAGCCTAATTAGACAGTGTCAGGGTTGGGGTTGAGTGTGGAAATTTTTTGGAATTCTCAAATGCTTGAGTATAACAATCATGCCGTTAATAATAGGAATCCAGTATCTCCAATACTTTTATATAGAATTGCCTGGAGGCTGCTATGTTTGTGTTTGTTAGGCTGTGTTATCATCCATTAAGTAAAAATGATATAATTTCTGTTGTTTTTCATCCAATAAAGAGTTGGAAGAAAAAAAAAAGAGTTGGAAGAGGTTGGTGGCATTAGCTAAGATTAGTGTGGTGGTGAGGAATATAAGTATGTACTTAAGTAACTGATTAATATTTAGATCTGAAAGTATGTATCACATTGAAGATTCTATAATCAATCATGTGATGAAAGAAGCTACTAGTACAAATATTATTGAGACGTAGTCTAACTTAAAGCTGAGTGTCAGTTTTAAAGTTTGAAAGTCATTCAATGTCAGTTTGAAATAATTATTTCTTGCCCTGAATGAATAAATATTAGGGTTGGAAATAGGCTGGTGGCAAATGAGTATTTTTGTAAATAGTTATAGTAATTGGTAAAAATAAGTTGGTAAGTAAAATTATGATAGAAGAACAGAAGAAATTAATTAATTTTATTTGAAGTTGCACCAATTTTTGGCTCCTAAGGCCAACAGATTACTTCTAACCTTTAAAAGTTCAGAAAGCCACATTGTTATATATGGAGGCATGAGTTAGCAGTTCTTGCATACTTTCTTAGCAAAAACAGCAGTTCCCCCTTATCTGCGGCGTATACATTCCAAGGCTCCCCCAGTGGATGCCTGAAACCAGAGCTAGTACTGAGCCATATATATTATGTGTTTTTTGAATCTGATAAAGGAGATAGCTACTGGGTGGTGACTAATAGGCAGATCCTATTTGGATAATGGCAAAATTAGACAATATGCTGGTCAGAGGGATGATTCATGTCTTGAGCAAGATGGAGTAGGATGGTGTGAGATTTCATCATACTATTCAGAATGGCACACAGTTTAAAACTTATGAATTGTTTATTTCTGGTATTTTCCATTTAATATTTTGGACCTCAGTTAACTATGAGTAACTGAAACCACACAAAGTAAAACCTTGGTAAGGGGGAACTACAGTAAAGAGTTTTAAGCTTCTATATAGATTGACAACTGAATGTTTTATTTAAACTATGTTTACAGTGTATGGGTCCTAGAATAATTTTGGAGTTAAGTGATAGGGGTAACAGAAGTAGGAGATGTATAAATATGAGAGTATTTTCTCATGTGAATGATGGTTTGATGTTATTAATGTGATATGTGAATTTTTCTCATTGTGATGTGATTGATAGATAGGACTAATGTACTAATTATGGCCATATAGTCTATTTGGATAATGGTAAAATTAGATCATAAAAAAAGATATAATTTAAAATAATTCTCCATTCTGGTTAATAGTTGATAGTAAGGCTATCAACTGCTAACTCATGCCTTCATATGTAACAATATAGCTTTCTGAACTTTTAAAGGTTAGATGCAATCTGTTGGCCTTAGGAGCCAAAAAGTTGTTGCAAAAGGCTAGGTCAGTTAGGCTAGCCCATACTTATCATGTTTCTGTTAAAGGAAGTAATGTCTGTAGTCTGCGAGCTAGTAGTACAGATGCTCCTCAACATATGTTGGGGTTACTTCTGGATAATGTCAAAAATATTGTAAGTAGTTCTGTGTAACCCCTTGGTAAGTCAAGGAGCATACTGAATGTGTATTGCTTTCTTACCATGGTAAATTTGAAAAATCTTAAGTCTAAGTATCATAAGTTGGGGAACCTTGTGTATGGTTTGGCTATGGATTTGTTCATAGTTTGAATTTGTTTTTTTGTTTGTTTTTGTTTTTTTGAGATGGAGTCTCGCTCTCTCACCCAGGCTGGAGTGCAGTGGTGTGATCTCGGCTCACTGCAACCTCCACTTCCTGGGTTCAGGCGATTCTTTTGCCTCAGCCTCCCAAGTAGCTGGGATTACAGGTGCCTGCCACCATCCCTGTCTAATTTTTGTATTTTTAGTAGAGCTGGGAGTTTCACCATGTTGGCCAGGCTGGTCTCAAACTCCCGACCTGAGGTGATCTGCCCACCTCAGCCTCCCATGCTGGGATTACAGGCATGAGCCACCGTGCCTGGAATCGTAGTTTGAATTTGTAAGGCAAAATCATTTTGATGTTGTGTGGTCATGGGCAGTTATTAGGGCTCCTATAAAACTTCATGGCATTTGGATGAGAAATGCTATAATTAGTAATGCTGTATGAGCTACAGATGAATACACAATGAGTGATTCTAAGTCTGTTTAGTATGAACAAATAGAATTTGTTATAATTATTCCTCATAGTGATATTAGAAATAGGCTATATACTGTTAGTAGATTTAAAATTAGAGTAATTTGTATTACACCACAGCCTATTAATTTTAGTAATGTGGCTGCAAGAACTGTGGGTGCAGCATTTGGGGCTTCTACATATGCTTTTGGTAATCAAAGATGGAGGATATAAAGGGGTGGGTTTTTTCGTTGTTTTTCCTTTGTTTTTACTATGAATGCTATAATGCCTTCTATTTATAGGAGACTATTCAGAAGTTTGGTAGTATTTGAATTCAGTAGTAGGTTATTAAGATATTTAATGAATCCATGGTGTTTTAGATATAGATTAATTCTATGAGTAGGGGTAAAGAGCCAATCAGTGTATACAACAGGAAATGAAAGTCCTGTGTTTAATCATTCTGTTTGGTTTTCTCATTGGGTAGTAACAATTACAGTTTGAATTAGAGTTGCTCCAAAGAGACTACAGAATACAATTAGTTCTATGATGGTAAATGTCATGATTAGGAATATTTGTAGAAAAATTAACATTGAGTATATTTTTTTGTATATCTGATTCCTTGAGTTGGTGTTGACTTGCTATAATTATGTCTATCTTGGGAGAGGTTAGGTGAAGCGAGGTGGAGGGAAAGACATGAAGGAAAACATTGTTTCTGGCCAAGTAGTGTGCTCAAAGTTTCAAAAGGATCAAGAAGGTGAAGAAAATAATCACAGGCGGGGCAGAGGTTGTAGACGATTTGTAGAAAGTACACTGTGAATTCCAAAAGGCATAGTTTGGAGTGAAGTAGGACATGGATGGGATAAGAGTCCTAGTGATGACCAAGGACCCAGGAAACCAAAGCTTTTAAGGTAATTGAGATAACCCAGAGATGTCAGGCATTAAAGGATTGGCCTCTAGTGGTCTTTTAGGGGAGGGTGGGTGGTTATTCTTTTTATAACTTAAGGATAGTAAGGCTATTACACTAAGAGCTTATGGAAATTGAGATCTCTGTGGAGAAGCCAGCCTTAATAGCAGAATGTGGAGGTCTTACCACAGCTATGGAGGCTTTCCTTGTAGACTGCAGTGGGTGGAGTGGCTGTCTTACAGAAGAGAGATTACTGGAACAGCATTGCTAGGAGCCTGGGATTGGGGACAGCTTCTCAGGAAGTGCAATGGTACATGAAGTTTCAGGTGAGCCCTGAAAGAATGAAAAACAGGTAAGGAGACTGAGGATAGAGAGAAGAGGGAAGAGCATTCCTAGCAGAAGTAACAGTGTACTGCAGGCCATAGGAGGATGGAGCTTGGTTTGTATGAGGTATTGAGAGAAGGCTTTTGCAGCTGGAGCCTAGTGAGGCAGAGGTGCCACAAGGGAGTCGGAGAGGTTGACTGGAGCCAGGCCGGGCAGAACCTGCTAGAGGTTATGAATACAACCTAGTAGGTTATAAGCAGCACTTGTTGTTTTTAATAAAACAGGAGATAAAATAACAAAATATGAATATATAATACATATAGCAAAGATAATTTTATGACATCCTTGTTTTATGTTTGAGTGTGTGTACTCAGTCATAATATGTATTTCTTACTATGAAATTTTAGTCAAAAGAAGTTTGAAAAATACTGCAGAAGAGTTTAGATTTTATCCCTCCAATTTTTGCAGGCTATTGAAAAATCTTAAGATGGTGACATAATGTGATTTTCATATTTACTATTCCATTCTATCTGCCAGATGGAGATTAGAACAAAGGGTCTCATAACATTACTGAGTAGGTTTTTGTTGTGGTTCCGGATGCTTTGGGGCCAGGCGCAGTGACTCATGCCTGTAATCCTAGTGCTGTGGGAGTCCGGGGCAGGTGGATCACTTGAGGCCAGGAATTTGAGACCAGCCTGACCAATATGGTGAAGGCCTATCTCTACTAAAAATACAAAAATGAGCCAGGCATGGTGGTGCACACCTGTAAGCCCAGCTACTCAGGAGGCTGAGGCAGAATTGCTTGAACCTGGAGGCGGAGGTTGCAGTGAGCTGAGATGGCACGACTGCACTCCAGCCTGGATGACAGAGCGAGACTCCATCTCAAAAAAAAAAAAGATGCCTTGGGCTTCCCGAGTGTCAGCAGTGGTGTTGGTGATAAGGTAACAGATTCGAGAGCTACTTAGGAGATATATTCAGTAGGACTTGATGGGGGCAAGAATAAAAGAAACCTCCTAAAATGACTCCTCCTTTTCAGACTCCATTTTGTTGTCTTCACTCATCACCCCTTTTGCAGTTTTCCCTTTTTTCACCATATAGTTTTTTCATTAATTTAATGACAATAAAAAGAGCTGCTACTTAATTGAATACATTTTTATATGTACTCCTCATTCTGGGCACAGTTCTGAGACTTTGGTATTCTAATCTTAACTTTTTCTATATTCCTCTAGATTTCTGTTTAGCACCATCCTGTGTTCTCATAGTGCCTCCTACCCCAGAATCATATTAGATTAATATTTCTTCCCATTTTTATTAGGGCACTAGCACATAGGTAGCTATTTTGGGTCCCAACTGAATTTATTTGATTCCTTATAGTGTTCCCTTAATCACCATAAGCCCATTGATTTCTTTCAGTGTTTTATAAACCATATTGTTCTTCTATGAAAGAAACAAAAGCAGGGTCTATCTTGTTCTAGGATGTGTTGCTGACATGAATTGGTGTTAAACTGAGCTGTGGTGTGTATATGGCAAGTGGGGGGGGGTAGTTGCTTTTGTTTTTATCATTTCTTTTTGCTTTTCAGCAAAAGTGTGTTTTCTCAAGTTTTGGAGGCTTATTTCTAAAAGACTGTTTAAATTTGAGCTTACTGATGTGTATTTATTTTTCTTCCCATGACCAGTCTTTGTTATTCTACAGCCTATATACAGTGGTCAGAGACCCTGTGCCTGCTGATCCAGTTACATCAGATAGGTTTCTCTGCATTTGAAAAGTACACTTGTTTCTCAACTTCTTTCTTCGGAATAATATAAGATCTTTATTGTGTAAACTTGTCACTATTTCTAGGAGATTTTGAGGTACTTCTTTGGGAAATATAAGAACATTTGGCCTTAAGTAATAAATATTGGAAAGTAAGACATGAAAAACTATATTAAAGGAATAAAACATTATATGTATACTGTGTTCTGGGGACTAGCTATATAATAAAACAGGCATTTTCCCCCTACACATGTAGAGCTTGAGGAGCAGAAAGATCAACAGATAAATAAATGAAATTTTAGAATTGCAAAAATTCAAACAAGAATTAGGAATAAATTACAGGTATAGAAAATACCTGGCATGGACCTAATTAAAGTGATCCAGGATAGTCTTTCTGAGCAGCTGACATTTAAGCTAGGACATTTCACACGCAAAGGAGGTGGCCACTTTGAGAGCATTCTTGGCAGATGGAACAGCATATGGAAAATCTAAAATGGGAAAGAATTTGACATGTTCTTGGAACTTAAATCAGGCCAATAAGATTAGAGCATTGTTCTGAAGATAGTAGTGGCTCAATTTGAGGCTTAAAAGGTACGTTGAAGAAATTGGAGAAATTTAAGAAAGAACTGGATCGTAAAGGGGCTTGTAGGCCATGAATAGGAGTTTGGATTTTATTCTAAATACAAGGGTAAACCATTGAAAGATTATTAGCTCTATTCTCAAACTTTGTGTTTTATGAGAAGCATCTAAGGAGATTTATGAATGAAGGAACATATATATTTTAGAAATTGTTGACAAATATTGAATGCCAGCAATGTGTAAGTAATGATGTTAGGCACTAGAGATAAAGCAGTATATGAAACAAAGCCCTTGCTTTGATTAAGCATGGGACAGACAGACAATAGTCAAACTTTAGAAATGGTATATCCATTAGTGAAAAATGCAATATAGGTACAATTATGTGTTGGATGTTTTGATAATGTGACAGCTGAGCAGAAAACTGAAATGAGGGAACAAGCCATGCAGGTATCTAGAGGAAGGGCATTCTAAAGACAAAACTGTAGGCATATGCTTGACACTTTTTTAACACCAAGGAGGCCAT
This sequence comes from Homo sapiens, assembly GCF_000001405.40. Classification (NCBI taxonomy): domain Eukaryota; kingdom Metazoa; phylum Chordata; class Mammalia; order Primates; family Hominidae; genus Homo; species Homo sapiens. The sequence continues at coordinate 37,567,003 of NC_000019.10, read as the reverse complement.
TATGACCACAGCCAAATGAATAATTAGGGGAGTGGTAAGTGATGATATCAGAAAAGTGGCCAAAGTGGGAGATGACATAAGAAAAGTGGCCACAGGCAAGCTTGTGTAGGGTCTTGTGAGCCATATTAAGGACTTTGGATTTTATCCTGAGATGGCAGACCATTAATAGGGAAGATTTTTAGCAGGGGAAATCATGTTATATAAACCACATTTTAAAAGAATTCCTCTGGCTGCTGTATGAAGAATAGATCATAGAAGCAAGGATGAAAGCAGAGAAACCAGCTAAGAGGTTATGACAATGAGAGAGGGGTGACTTGGCCTAGGATGGTGGTAGTAGAGGTGGTCAGATTCTTAATGTTGACAGGAGAGCTGATAGGATTTGTTGATAGATTGTATGTCCAGCTACACATCTGTTTGTTTTCAAGAGGGTGTTTTTATTACTATTTTATAAGCCTCCTGGGTGTCTCTAAGCCATTCCAAAGTTTGAGAACCACTGACTTAACCTATTTTTCTAATTACCTTCTTTCCTATAAGCTCTCCTTTTTCTTTATTCTCTCCTTGTGCCTTTAAAGAAAAATGGCAGAAAATATTTCTGTACTGTTTAAGCCATTCTATTCTTAATGAGAATTATTTTCATCTATCATTTTTACCATAGAATTTTTATTTCTCCTTGTAAACAAAAGCAGGAATTTGCTTTCTTTTTATTCTACAGACTTGGAATCCAGTTGTGTGACCAAAAAGTTATCTCCAGAAAAGGAAATTTATGAAATGGAATCACTCCAGTGGGAGAATATGGGGAAACGTATCAACCATCACCTTCAATACAATGGTCTTGGAGACAATATGGAGTGCAAAGGCAACTTAGAGGGTCAAGAAGCAAGTCAGGAAGGGCTTTACATGTGTGTCAAAATTACCTGTGAAGAAAAGGCCACTGAAAGTCATTCAACCTCTTCTACTTTTCATCGGATAATTCCTACCAAGGAAAAATTGTACAAATGTAAGGAATGCAGACAAGGTTTCAGCTACCTGTCATGCCTTATTCAACATGAGGAAAATCATAATATAGAAAAATGCTCTGAAGTTAAGAAACACAGGAATACCTTTAGCAAAAAGCCAAGCTATATTCAACATCAGAGAATTCAGACTGGTGAGAAACCTTATGAGTGTATGGAATGTGGAAAGGCCTTTGGTCGTACTTCTGATCTCATTCAACATCAGAAAATTCATACTAATGAAAAACCTTATCAGTGTAACGCATGTGGGAAAGCTTTTATTCGTGGTTCACAGCTCACTGAACATCAGAGAGTTCATACAGGAGAGAAACCATATGAATGTAAGAAATGTGGAAAAGCCTTTAGTTATTGTTCACAATATACTCTTCATCAGAGAATTCATAGTGGTGAAAAACCCTATGAATGTAAGGATTGTGGGAAGGCCTTTATTCTTGGCTCTCAACTTACTTACCATCAGAGAATTCATAGTGGTGAGAAACCTTATGAGTGTAAGGAATGTGGAAAGGCCTTTATTCTTGGTTCACACCTTACATACCATCAGAGAGTTCATACTGGTGAAAAGCCTTACATATGTAAAGAATGTGGGAAAGCCTTTTTATGTGCCTCCCAACTGAATGAACATCAGAGAATTCATACAGGAGAGAAACCCTATGAATGTAAAGAATGCGGGAAGACCTTTTTTCGTGGCTCACAACTTACTTACCACCTGAGAGTTCATTCAGGTGAGAGACCTTATAAATGCAAAGAATGTGGGAAAGCCTTTATTTCTAATTCTAATCTTATTCAACATCAAAGAATTCATACCGGAGAGAAGCCCTACAAATGTAAGGAATGTGGAAAGGCCTTTATTTGTGGCAAACAACTTAGTGAACATCAGAGAATTCATACAGGTGAGAAACCCTTTGAATGTAAGGAATGTGGAAAGGCCTTTATTCGTGTTGCATATCTTACTCAACATGAGAAAATTCATGGTGAGAAACATTATGAATGTAAGGAATGTGGGAAGACCTTTGTACGTGCTACACAACTTACATATCATCAAAGAATTCATACAGGTGAAAAGCCCTACAAATGTAAGGAATGTGACAAGGCCTTTATTTATGGCTCACAACTTAGTGAACATCAGAGAATTCACAGAGGTGAAAAACCTTATGAATGTAAACAGTGTGGGAAGGCTTTTATTCGTGGCTCACACCTTACTGAACATCTGAGAACTCATACTGGAGAGAAACCCTATGAATGTAAGGAATGTGGGAGGGCCTTTAGTCGTGGCTCAGAACTTACTCTGCATCAAAGGATCCATACTGGTGAGAAACCCTATACATGTGTCCAGTGTGGTAAAGACTTTAGATGTCCTTCACAACTTACTCAACATACAAGGCTTCATAATTGAGAAAGCCTTGAATGTGATTAAATTTAAGAAAATCTTCATCTATTTCATATCTATAATGAATGTAGAACATCTTGCTTCTGCTCAGAATCTGCTCATTCTTAGAAGGCCTACATTAACATGGATGCAGAATAATTTCAGAAACCCCTTAAATAATTCCTTAACATCTCTATAAACGCTAGAATATAATGCTGAATTATATCCTTTATTAAGCATCATCTCCATTTCACCATATCCTAACTGAAATCCTATATATTTCTTGTGTGTTCTTTTCTATTTGTAAAATACTGTAATTGTATTACAATGACTAAATTATAATTAAATACATATAATTCCCTTTCGATAGCATCTGATATTTGTTGTTAAAATGATTGCCATTATCATCATTACATACTGTTAGAGAACTCAAATGGTGGGAATATTTTATGATTACAGTAAAAAGATGCAACCATTCTCTTATCATGTAGCCCCTTTAGAACAACAGATACTTTATTTTAGACAAAACCTTTAAAGTATAGTAAAGGTATGAAGGACTTCTGAGCATCAGATAATCCACACCAGGAAGAAACTTCCAAAAATTGCTTTAGGGCTGTTGTTTTTTGTTGTTTTGTTTTTTAAGAAAGTGAAAGATTATTTTTCTACAACAAATTCCAAAAGCAAAAGTTTTTGGCCCACATTTTCTGATTGTTACTTTAAGGGAAAAAGAATTTCTTAACAAAATGATGGCCAAGGTAGTTCCATATATATACATATATTCCACATGTGTGTATGTGGAATATATACATATATTCCACATGTGTGTATGTGGAATATATACATATATTCCACATGTGTGTATGTGGAATATATTCCACATGTGTATATATTCCACGTGTATGTATTCCACATGTATATATTCCACATATGTATACATTCCACGTGTGTATATAGTCCCCATATGTATACATTCCACGTGTGTATATATTCCACATATGTATACATTCCATGTATGTATGCATATATGTATTCCATATATGTATATATTCCATATACCATATATGTATATATTCCACATATGTATTCCATATATATATTCCATATGTATATGTGTGTGTGTATAAAATATATATTTGCCTTAAATGGAAATATAAACAAAATTTACCAACTACAGTTTTTCCTCATTTGAATCTAACCCATTTCTGATATACTGAATGGTAAATTTTTAGAGACCCAGATCTCGGAGGCTACATTCCATTTTTTGGTCTTTTTGTCTTTTTTTTCTTTTTTTTTGAGACAGGGTCTTGCTCTCCTTGTTCAGGCTGGAGTACAGTGGCACAATCACAGCTCACTGCAGCCTTGACCTCCTAGGCTCAAGCTATCCTCCAACCTCAGCCTGCCAAGTAGCTGTCACCATAGCTGTTCATCACCATGCCTAGCTCATTTAAAAAAAAATTTTTTTAGAGATGGGGTCTCACTATGTTTCCTCATCTGGTCTTAAACTTCTAGGCTCAAGCATCTACCTGCCTCAGCCTCCAGAAGTGCTGGGATTACAAATGTGAGCCACCACATCTGGCCCCATTATTTTATTTTTGGTTTGTATTATTTTTATTTGGCCCCATTATTTTAAATAGGAAAAACAGTATGTTTTCAGTCCATTAAAAAATCCTAACCAAATTTAATTTGAATTCAACTTAATTTAAGCCACCTAAATGACCTCTATCAGGGATTTCTGAATAATGTAAAACACTCAAAAGCCAGTTAACAGTTAATTACCAGATATGTTTGTGCATGCAGTGATTTTGAAAAATATAATACATGAATTATGCTTTCCTTCTATGCTTTAAGGAACAGATACTATAGTGACAATAAATGTAATACATTAGTACATAATGGACGCAAATGACAGATAAAAACAGCTTTAAATAATTTGAACTTGTTAATTAGAATGTTGTTGAATGAGGGCTGATGGTCAGAAATTAATGATGGTGAGAAGAGGTTAATGGTGTTCAGTGAGTGAAGGTGAGTTAGAATAATATATTGGAGCAGCAATCAATCAATGCCTACAGTTCTTCTATGATTCCAAGCATCTGGTGCACAGAACTCAAGACCTCAAAATTGAGTTACTGTATACAAAGCTGTTCATAGAAAAACAAATGTTACCAAGAAATACTTACCTTTTCTATATGCAGTGTTATCTCTTGTCTTCTAATACATTATCTTTTTTGGTTTCAAACAAAAAAAAAACGGAGTTTCGCTCTTGTTGCTCAGGCTGGAGTGCAGTGGTGTGATCTTGGCTCATTGCAACCTCCACCCCTGGGTTCAAGTAATTCCCCAGCCTCAGCCTCCCACGTAGCTGGGATTACAGGTGCGTGCCACCATGCCTGGCTAATTTTGTGTTTTTAGTAGAGGCAGGGTTTCTCCATGTTGGTCAGGCTGCTCTCAAACTCCTGACCTCAGGTGATCTGTCTGCCTCAGCCTCCTGAAGTGCTGGGATTATAGGCATGAGCCACCGCACCCGGCCTACATTATCTTTAATGAACATTGCAGCCCACTGAATTGTCATCACTCTGGAAACCACTGATTGTATATAGTGTATGATTATAATCTAAATGTTAATTCACTGTTTTACAAACTATTGTCCAAAAAAAAGTGGTAACTGAGAATCATTAGAACTCTGAATAATCAGTGTAACCACCATGATGCCACAACACTCATGCATTCTTCGTCTCTAAAGTACATTTTGTTCAGATTGGATAAGTTATGCCTTCATTATTCAGTCATTAACAATTGAGAGATTAACATAATTGCAAAATTATAAATTTAAAGGAAAAGTTAAATGTCAGTAGACTGTTAGGTGCCCTTCTACCATCAAACATACTTGCATATTAACTGCCATTTGCAGACAATATCTTGAGCCAGACTTTTCAAAAATATGTTCAAGAAATAATTCCCAAAATACGTAGAGCGGGTTCTACCTCATTGCATATGATACAGTGCATAACCAAATTTCCTTACTGGCATTGTGAATTCCACTCTGAACAAACCAAATTAAAAGGTTGAGAAGACCTGCAGTAAAGAAAATACTATCTTTTGTTTAACCCATTGTTTCCCAGTCCTGACCATTAATCCTTTCTCTTCTGTATGCTTATTAATATCTTTGGCTTGTGAACACACTTGCAGAATTTCTTTTTAACCATAAAGAATGATGGTAAGGGGAAATTTTAAGCATTATGTCAGTTATTTAAATTTGATGGATGATATAGTGCTTTTCTGTTCTTCAGTCATGGACTACACTAGAGAGGAACAATTTCTGTAGCCAAGGTTTTTACAATCCTCTACACTCCATCATTGTCTAGATCAATTTTATAAGGGTTTTGTCTTTTTTTGTTTAGAGGTGGGCTCTCTGTCACCCAGGCTGGAGTGCAGTGGCATGGCTCATTGCAGCATCAAACTCCTGGGCTCAAGTGATCCTCCTGCTTCAACCTTCCAAGTAGCTGGGACTATAGGTGTGCACCACCACACCTGGATAATTTAAATTTTTTCTTTCTTTTTTTTTTTTTTTTTTTTTTTTTTGTAGAGACAGGGTCTTATTTTGTTGCCCAGGCTGGTCTCAAATCCCGGGCTTCAAGTGATCCTCCTGCCTTGGCCTCCTAAAGTACTGCGATTACAGACATGAGCCATACCTGACCAAGGCTTTTTCTGTTGTTACAAGATTGTTTAAAAGAAGAAACTTAATAACTGTTAACTCTTTCAGCACTTATGTTTATTTCATAAATCATGTTTTCAGACAAATTTCTCTCAAAATGGTTGGTGGGGGAGGAATGTACACTAATCAGAATTACTAAGACAGACAAAAGTGGTTGCAGCACTGCTTTAGTTGCTCCTTTGAGTTTTGTTACCATCATAACTGTTCAAAACGAAGCTTTACTTTCTTTACATCCATGTTTTTCTTTTTAAAAATCATTACATTCACGCCTGTAATCCCAGCACTTTGGGAGGCTGAGGCTGGTGGATCATGAGGTCAGGAATTCAAGACCAGCCTGGCCGATATGGTGGAACCCCGTCTCCACTAAAAATACAAAATTAGCCAGGTGTGGTGGCACATGCCTGTAATCTCAGCTACTCGGGAGGCTGAGGCAGGAGAATTGCTTGAACCCAGGAGGCAGAGGTTGCAGTGAGCCAAGTCGTGTCACTGCACTCCAGCCTGGGCAACAGAGCAAGTCTCTATCCTAAAAAAAAAAAAAATCATTACATTTATCTTACAAAGTTACATACGAAGTTTATCCTATACCAAGGAAATAGTGTAAAATTTATTTTTATTTATATTTTTATTTTTTTCGTTTTGAGACAGAGCCTCATTCTGTCACCCAGGCTGGAGTGCAGTGGCGCAATCTCAGCTCACTGCAATCTCTGCCTCCCGGGTTTAAGCAATTCTCCTGCCTCAGCCTCCTGAGTAGCTGGTATTACAGGCGCCTGCCACCATGCCCAGCTAATTTTTATATTTTTTGGTAGAGATGAGGTTTTGCCATGTTGGCCAGGCTGGTCTCAAACTCCTGGCCTCAAGTGATCCACTCGCCTTGGCCTCCCAAAGTGCTGGGATTACAGGTGTGAGCCACCACGCCCAGCTAAAAAAATTTTTAAAAACCACCTTCATTGTATTGCACTCATCTGCTGTTAAAACTTTCGTGTTTATTTTTTGATGTTTTCTTCTGTGCTCAAGTGTGGGTGTCATTTCAGTCTGGTGACAGTATACTATAATAGGATAACTGCAAATATATCTGTCACTTTAATTTGTTTTAACTTTAGAAAATTTTAAACATGGGCAAAAATAAAATAGTACAGTGTACCCATAACCTCTTTAATAATCACCCTATTTTTGCCTTTCTTGTTTTCTCTCCCAATAAGTTTTCACTGGGATATATTAAAGACAACCAGCATGCTATATACCTTTTCCCCCTAAATATTTTCAGTATGTATCTTGAACAGATAAGTCAACCTTTCACAATAATAGTTGGTTTGAGTCCAGATTTAAATAAGGTCTGTACATTATATTTTGTTGGTATTTGTCTTGTGCACCTTGCTTTTCTTTTTCAAAATGCCTGCAGAATTACATGTAGCAACCTAGTAACAGCAATGCCATGATATACTCTATCCATTCCCCATAAGCTGAGTATTCAGGTTGAGTTTTCTATTTCTGCAAACTAGTGCAATAAATATCTTTATATGTTTATTCTTGGATTTTATTTATATAGAATATATTACAACTGATTATACTGCCAAGTCAAAAGTATTTGTGCATTTTAAATTTTAATAGATCATGCCCAATTACTTTTGAAAATGTCAATTTACATTCTCACCAATAATGTGTGAGAGTGTTTCTTTCCAGTGACATCACCAGTGTCAAAAAACATGAGCTTCTGTTGGAGCCATGATGGAATAATTGGTTTGTATGACTGTGATCCCTGACAGAAGAGAATCATGTGGGCCAGGTGTGGTGGCTCATGCCTGTATTCCTCGCATATTGGGAGGCCAAGGCAATCACTGGAGCGCAGGAGTTTGAGACCAGCCTTGGCAAGTTAGTGAAAACCCATTTCTATAAACAATACAAAAGTTAGCCAGGTGTGGTGGTGCATGCCTGTATTCTCAACTACTTGGGAGACAGGTGGGAGGATCACCTGAATTTAGGGAGGTCAAGATTGCAGTGAGCTGTGATCATGCCACTGCATTACAGCCTGGGTGACAGAGTGAAACACTCTCTCTCTGTCTCTCTCTCTCTCTCTGTCTCTCTCTCCATATATATATATATAGTGAAGTTGTGCAATAGTCACACAAACTTTCTACTTGGAGACACATTCTGGATAATGAGAAAGCTGATCCCAAACAACATGAAGTTCTTACTGTGTTAAGAAGATAACAGAGACATGCTGGCTGGTGCAGGACAGAGTTCCAGAGAGGAAGGAGATATACAGAAAAGATTTTCAGAAATGTGCACAGAGGTCTTTCTCTCTACCCGGCCTAATTGGGACCCAAATTCCTCAAGTGGAGGGAGAGCTTTGGATGATTTCCACCGGTATCTCCTCGCAGGTATTAAGGGAGCTGCTCGGAAACCCATAAACTTGTCTAAGGCGAATGAAGTCATCCAGGGGCATGATGAGTCACCAGGACCGTTTTTAGAGCACCTCCAGGAGGCTTATCAGATTTACACCCCTTTTGACCCAGCGGCCCCCGAAAATAGCCATGCTCTTAATTTGGCATTTGTGGCTCAGGCAGCCCCAGATATTAAAAGAAAACTCCAAAAACTGGAGGGATTTGCTGGAATGAATATCAGTCAGCTTTTAGAAATAGCCCAAAAGGTTTTTGACAACCAAGAGTTTGAAAAACAAAAACGAGCAACACAGGCAGCTGAAAAGGCTGCTGATAAAGCATTCAAATGACAAACAAAAATCTTAGTGGCGGCTATCCAAGAGGTACAGAATGAAATGGCCCGTTAATTTGGACAGACACACAAGAACAGGCTTTTTGAAACCTGAAAAAGGCATTAACTGAAGCCCCTGCTTTAGCCCTCCCTAATATCTCAAAGCCGTTTCACCTGTTTGTCCATGAAAGCCAGGGAGTTGCTAAAGGGGTGCTTACTCAGACCTTAGGACCCTGGAGACGCCCAGTAGCCTATTTATCTAAGAAACTGGATCCTGAGACCTCTGGATGGCCAAGTTGTCTGCGAGCCAAGCAGTAGCCGCTACAGCAAGCCTAGTCCAAGAGGCTGATAAGTTAACTCTGGGCCAAAATTTAACCCTTAAGGCTCCTCATGCCATAGAGACTTTACTTCAAAGTGCTTCTGGCGAATGGATGTCAAATGCTCGCATCTTGCAATATCAGAGTTTACTGTTAGATCAGTAAACTGACTTTCTCTTCCACACGGTGTTTAAATCCAGCTACTATCCATGACTGTCAGGAACTGTTGGAAACTACCGAAACTGGCCCATCCGATCTTCAAGATGTGCCCCTAGAGAAGGCGGACGCCACCGTGTTCACAGACGGTAGCAGCTTTCTCGAGCAGGGAGTACGAAAGGCCGGTGCAGCTGTTACCACGGAGACAGATGTGTTGTGGGCTCAGGCTTTACCAGCAAACACCTCAGCGCAAAAAGCTGAATTGATCGCCCTCACTCAGGCTCTCCGATGGGGTAAGGATATTAACGTTAACACTGACAGCAGGTACGCCTTTGCTACGGTGCATGTACATGGAGCCATCTGCCAGGAGCGCAGGCTACTCACCTCAGCAGAAAAGGCTATCAAAAACAAGAATCCCCCGTCTTCAAAGCCTAACAGATCAAGCAGCTCTCTGGGGAACAACCTGCGACCAGGTAAATGCCAAACAAGGTCCTAAACCCAGCCCAGGCCACCGTCTCCGAAGAAACTTGCCAGGAGAGAAGTGGGAAATTGACTTTACAAAAGTAAAACCACACCAGGCTGGGTACAAATACCTTCTAGTACTAGTAGACACCTTCTCTGGATGGACTGAGGCATTTGCTACCAAAAACGAAACCGCCAACTTGGTAGTTAAGTTTTTACTCAATGAAATCATCCCTCGATATGGGCTGCCTGCTGCCATAGGGTCTGATAATGGACCGGCCTTCACCTCGTCTATAGTTCTGTCGGTCAGTAAGGCGTTAAACATTCAATAGAAGCTCCATTGTGCCTATCGAGCCCAGAGCTCTGGGCAGGTAGAACGCATGAACCACACCCTAAAAAACACTCTTACAAAATTAATCTTAGAAACTTGTGTAAATTGGGTAAGTCTCCTTCCTTTAGCCCTACTTAGAGTAAGGTGCACCCCTTACTAGGCTAGGTTCTCACCTTTTGAAATCATGTATGGGAGGGCGCCGCCTATCTTGCCTAAGCTAAGAGATGCCCAATTGGCAGAAATATCACAAAAGAATTTATTACAGTACCTACAGTCTCCCCAACAGGTACAAGATATCATCCTGCCACTTGTTCAAGGAACCCATCCGAATCCAATTCCTGACCAGACAGGGTCCTGCCATTCGTTCCAGCCAGGAGACCTAGTGTTTGTTAAAAAGTTCCAGAAAGAAGCACTCACTCCTGCTTAGAAAAGACCTCACACCATCATCCTCACAACGCCAATGGCTCTGAAGGTGGACGGCATTCCTGCTTAGATTCATCACTCCCGCATCAAAAAGGCCAACAGAGCCCAACTAGAAACATGGGTCCCCAGGCCTGGGTCAGGCCCCTTTAAAACTGCACCTAAGTCAGGTGAAGCCATTAGATTAATTCTTTTTATCTACCTCACTTGTTTGTTTTTGCCTGTTATGTCCTTTGCGCCTTCCTACTCCTTTCTCCTCACCTCTTTCACAACAGGATGTGTATTTGCAAACACCACTTGGAGGGCCAGTACCTCCAAGGAAGTCTCCTTTGCAGTTGATTTATGTGTACTGTTCCCAGAGCCAGCCCGTACCCGCGAAGAGCAACACAATCTGCCGGTCCCAAAAGCAGGAAGTGTCAACCTTGCAGCAGGATTTGGACACTCCAGGAGCCAAACTGGATGTGGAAGCTCCAAAGGTGCAGAAAAAGGACTCCAAAATGTTGACTTTTACCTCTGTCCTGGGAATCACCCTGACACTAGCTGTCGAGATACTTACCAGTTTTTCTGCCCTGATTGGACATGTGTAACTTTAGCCACCTACTCTGGGGGATCAACCAGATCTTCATTCCATAACTCGTGCTTCTCGTCCTAAATTATGTACTAGAAAAAATTGTAATCCTCTTACTATAACTGTCCATGACCCTAATTCAACTCAGTAGTATTATGGCATGTCATGGGAATTAAGATTTTATATCCCAGGATTTGATGTTGGGACTATGTTCACCATCCAAAAAATCCTGGTCTCATGGAGCCCACCCAAGCCAATCGGGCCTTTAACTGATCTAGGTGACCCTATGTTCCAGAAACCCCCTAACAAAGTTGATTTAACTGTTCCTCCACCATTCTTAGTCATAAAAGATACACTCCAAAAGTTCGAGAAAATCTAGATAGGCGCCAACAGGAACGAGAAAACAACATCCCCTGGTATCAAAGCATGTTCAACTGGAACCCCTGGCTAACTACTTTAATCACTGGGTTAGCTGGACCTCTCCTCATCATACTATTAAGTTTAATTTTTGGGCCTTGTATATAAAATTGGTTTCTTAATTTTGTAAAAGAATGCATAGCTTCTGTCAAACTTATGTATCTTAATACTCAATATAACCCCCTTGTTATAATTGAGGAATCAACGATTTGATTCCCCAAAAACACAAGTGGGGAATGTAATGCCCAACCTTGTTTTTACTAACCCTGTTTTTAGACTCTCCCTTTTCCTTTAATTACCCAGCCTTGTTTCCACCTGAATTGACTCTCCCTTAGCTAAGAGAGCCAGACAGACTCCATCTTGGCTCTTTCACTGGCAGCCGCTTCCTCAAGGACTTAACTTGTGCAAGCTGACTCCCAGCACATCCAAGAATGCAATTAACTGATAAGATACTGTGGCAAGCTATATCTGCAATTCCCAGGAATTCATCTGATTGATAACGCCCAAAGCCCCCGGTCTATCACCTTGTAATAGTCTTAAAGCCCCTGCACCTGGAACTGTTTAATTTCCTGTAACCATTTATCCTTTTAACTTTTTGCCTACTTTATTTCTGTAAAATTGTTTTAACTAGACCCTCCCCTCCCCTTTCTAAACCAAAGTATAAAAGAAAATCTAGCCCCTTCTTCGGGCCGAGAGAATTTTGAGCGTTAGCCGTCTCTCGGTCGCCAGCTAATAAATGGACTCTTAATTCGTCTCAAAGTGTGGCGTTTTCTCTAACTCAGGTACAACAAGGGAAAAACACTGTAAAAGAGTCTTGGTGATCTGTGGGAAAATATAAAGATATATGTAAATGTGAGTCTGAGAAGCGGGGAGAAGGCAGAAAAAATATTTAAAAATAATGGTTGAAAATACTCCAAATTTTTTGGAACCTATCAGCCACAGATCTAAGAAGCTCAAGGAACTCAAAGCTAAACACAAGACAAATTGCTGAAAACTAGTGGTAAAGGAAAATCTTGAGAACAGCCTGATGGAAAAAAGATACATACATGGGGACAAAAGTAACAAGATTCATAAACTCCTTGTGAGAATCTATGCAAGCTAGCAGAGAAAGGAATAGGGAGGAAACTCTATCTGGTATTTCTGCACTTGGTAATAATATGAAAAAAGTGAAAACTTTTATAAACAAATGAAAGCTAAAGCCTCAGGGAAAAAAGAAATTGTGTTCTTTGCAGCAACATGGGCACAGCTGGAGGCCGTTAAGTGAAGGCATGCAGGATCAGAAACCCAAATACTGTTATGTTCTCACTTATAAGTAGAAGCTAAACATTGAGTACACATGGACACAAAGATGGGAACAATAAACACCAGGGCCTGCTTGAGAGTGGAGGGTGGAAGGAATGTGAAGGTCAAAAAACTGTCAGCTACTATGCTCACTATGTGGGTGGCAAAATCATTTGTACACCAAACCCCAGGGATATGCAGTTTGCCAATGTAACAAACCTGCATGTGTACTCCCTGACCCTAAAATAATAGTTTCAAATGAAAAAAGAAATGAATGGTAAGAGAATTCATCACCAACAAATGCAGATGGAAACATGGATTCATACATACGAATGGAAATTAACAGAAAAGTTAAATATGAGTAAATATTGTTTTCCTCATATTCTCTTGAAAAAGTAATTGAGTTTTTAATGCAAAATCAATAATGTAGTATAGGGATGGTAATATTTGTGGCAATTAAAATATGAAAATGGCTCAAAGGTGAGAAGGTGGAATGGAAGTATTATTTGTGTGAGATCCCAGCAAATATACGATAGGGTATAATATGTAAAACTAGACATTGAAAGCTAAAAATGAATGTTGAAAGCCTCTAGGAAAAAAAGCACTCAAAATTCTAAAAAGTGCCGTAATATTTAGCCAGTAGTAGAAGTAAAATAGAATATAATTTAAAAAATACAAAAATAGGCAGAAAATTAGAAAAAGAATTAAGGATAGATAAGAGAAACAGAATAAAGAGCAAGATGATTGTTACAAACCCAAATATATCAATAATTACAAACAATGTTAATGGCCTAAATACTTCAGTAAAAAAACACAGAAGAAAGCCAGGCGTGGTGGCTGATGCCTGTAATGCCAGCACTTTGGGAGGCCAAGGTGGGCGGATCACCTGAAGTCAGGAGTTTGAGACCAGCCTGGCCAACATGGTGAAACCCCATCTCTACTAAAAATACAAAAATTAGGCAGGCGTGGTGGTGGGCACCTGTAACCCAGCTACTCAGGAGGCTGAGGCAGGAGAATCGCTTGAACCCAGGAGGTGGAGGTTGCAGTGAGCCGAGATCATGCCACTCCACTCCAGCCTAGGTGACAAAGGCGAGACTGTCTCCAAAAAAAAAAAAAAAAAAAAAAAAAAAAAAAAAAAAAAGATGTTAGGTTATATAAAAAAAGATTAAAATATGAAGACTCGGATTAAAAAGTCAAAAGTATATACCAACTCAAATAGGTTAAAAGTTAAAAAAAAAAAAAAAACACCATGCAAACACTATACCAAAATGGCTATGTGAACATAAAACAAATTGTCTTTTTTTGTTCGAGACAGAGTCTCACCCCGTCACCCAGGCTGGAGTGCAGTGGTGCCATCTTGGCTCACTGCAACCTCTACCTCCCGAGTTCAAGTCATTGTCCTGCCTCACCCTCCCGAGTAGCTGGGACTACAGGCGCACGCCACCACACTCGGCTAATTTTGTATTTTTGGTAGAGATGGGGTTTCACCATGTTGGCCAAGCTGGTCTCAAACTCCTGACTCCAAGTGATCCCACCACCTCAGCCTTCCAGAGTGCTAGGATTACAGGCATGACCCACTGCACCCGGCCCTCACAACAAATTGTCTTTGAAACAAAGAATATTACCAGGGATTTATTCTAAAAAGGCATATTTTATAATACTATAGAAGTGTATTGACCAAGAAGACAAAGCAATCATACAAGTACTTGTGCCTAGTACCAGAACTAAACAATACATTAAAAACTGCTAGAAATAAAAATAAATGAACTCAGAATCATATTTTGAGATTTTAATACTGTTCTCTCATTAACTTTTAAAAGTATATAGAAAATCTATAAAGATATAAGATACCTGAACGGTGCTAATAGCCAACTTGTTGTAATTGATACTTATAGACTAGTCCACCTAAGAGCAGCAGCAGTGTTTTCACTTATACAAAGAACTTTAGCAAGCTTGTTTATATTCTGAGCCATAAATTGTCAATATATTGAAAAGGATTGAAATCAGAAAATCTGTTTTCTAACCACAGTAGAATTAAGCCAGAAATTAATGTCAAAATTAAAAAATGTTTGCAAATTAAGCAACACACATTTAAGTAAACTATGGGACAAGTAAAAAATTACCTATTTGGAGTCAAAAATAACAGCATATAAAATTTTGTGGAATGCAACTAAAGCAGCACTTTGAGGGAAATGTATGCTTTTAAATACATATCAATGGTTTAAGTTCCCACTTAAAGAAACAGGTGAGACTCAGAAAAGGAATTAAGCTTAGAGCTGAAATCAATGACCCCCAAGAAAGCGAAAAACAAGAAAAGCACACTTGGGACCACAAGAGGGCGCATAAGAGAGCCCGCGGACTACAGAGAAACGGCGCTCCACCGCACGAGACACATTCTTTTCACCAGACACCACCCCCCCCACACACACAGACATGCAACACTTGCACAGAAACACACACAGAGATATGCAACACTCGCACAGAAACACACACACCCAGGCAGCTCCTGAGGCTGCTTGGTTCTCCTGTCCGCCAGAAGCCCCTCCCCGGAGACAGCAGCCCCGGTACACACAGGCAGGCGGTACCTACCTCGCAATCCCAGGCGGGACAACGTTCAAGGAGACGCGCTCCCAGCACCGTCTAGGCAGGCCTGACGCGTCGGGGAGATCCGATAGGGATCACGCGGTGCATCCTTGAAGCTACGCTGGACGTTTCTTTAGCCTGGTTCTGCCCTGCCCGACTCCTAGGGTCGGGGGACCAAGGCGACGATCCCCCGGAGAGGAGGGGGCCATAGCCCAGCGCCGACGCACTGCCAGGGAGGGCTCCAGCTCCGCCAAGCCGCTAGGGCCCGTCCCCAGGCAACGGTGGCTGTCACTGTGACGCGAGCCCCGGCTCAGCCGTCGCGCCTGGTGACGCGCGCCTGGCGCATGCGCATTCGCGTGCCCGGCTGGCGCTGCCGCAACGTCAGGGCTCTCAGGGCCCATAGGAAAACGGTGGAGGCCGTGCTGGCTGCGGCCCGGGGAAGAAGGCTGCGTGAGACCAGCAGCGCAGGACCCTGACAGTCCTGACCTCAGTGCCTCCTTCAGCCCACTTCGTGTACGGGTCTGGGTGGAGGAGGAGGCGCTTCAGACCTTGAGGTGGGCACTCGGGACTGCTCTCTGATTTGATTCTAGATTGGAGGGTGTGGGCAGGAATCAGGTCCCATGGGGCTGGGGATCCAATCTGGTGAGGAGTTGAGGGGTCGCTGGGGTAGGAAAACATACCTGAGACCCCAGTGGAGGGTGTGAGCAGGACATTCCCTCGCCCCATGAGCTGACTGGCCCCCTTTCGACCTGGGCCTCCCAGGGCCCTGTCCTGGTCTCCAAGACCAGGGCCTTCGGCTTCTCAGCATTGCTGTCCAGAAAAGGCGGGAACAAGGACAAAGTCAAGCCCGATGTGAAGCAGAGGTGGCAACACCTAAAACTGGCATCCCATGGGGGCAGAAAATGTGGAGAGAGTGTCTCAGAGGCCTTCTGGGGTGAATCCAAGCCCAAAAGGGATATCCAGGCATGCTGGCGAGGGCCACTGAGGATACCCCCAAGAAAGCGAAGCACAAGCAAAGCACACCTGAAACCATAGGAGGGCCTGTGCCGGAGTCCAAGCCTCCTCCAGGGATTCCTGCCAGAGGAGCCAAGAGGATCCTGCAAAGTGATCCAGCACCCACACCGGGATCACAACCCACCACCGGGTCTACACCCAGCTAACCCCCAGTCCCTTTTGCTCCGTGAAATCCCTGGCAACGAAAAGGTGCAGTGCTGAGAGGCAGTCCCAGCCAGGAACAGAGCAATGGGAGACCCCTCAACAATGAGAAAACACCAGCAGATGAGATGAAACATAGCCTTCATTAGAAGGCAAAGGCCAGCTACGGCTGGCTACCTCTCATTCTATGTGAATCATGCAGCCATCTGATGCAATGGGGAGACCAAGAGTTTCCTTATTGGGGAAAGCTACGGGCACCCACGGTTCCAAGAGCATCACAGCTACCCAGTCATTAAGAAATGTGAGTGTTGAGAAGGAAACACTCATCACCTACGTCCCCGCCAAGGTGGTCCTGGACGAACTGGGAAACATTTGCTGTGAAGGACGTTCTGGAGGACTGTGAGCCAGACCAAGGAAAACCTGGGCCGACGAGAATCAGGGAAGGCAAGAAAAGAGGGAGAACAGAGTAGAGGCCGCAGCCCAGGCAGGATCAATCCATCCCACTCCCATGTGCCTCGGGGAACCAGGGTCCAACAGGGGACCTGGCCAGAAAGGCGACAGTCTTCGGTCCAAAGGTTCTCCGAACACTCGTGTCTTCTATCGCCAGCACAGCGCCATGGTGTGGACAGGTTGTACAGTGAAGAGGAAAAGGGGATGGCGTTGGAAACAGTTTCTTTGACATCTGTCTGCACCTGTTCTGCAGGTGAAGGTGCGAGACCTCCTCCACACCTCAGCGGATTGTATCTTCACCCCCATCTGACCTTTTTTCTGCACACATCCTTTAATCCAGAATGAAATCTGAAGAGGATGAAGGAGTGCCCGCCTCAGGTCCTGAAGCTGCGACTCCGCCAGCCACCGAATTAGAAGTGGGCTCAAGGGGGTACTGAGGACAGGACAGCTAGGGTCCGTCCAGCCTTGGGTGTGCCGCAGGACCATGGGCCCCTGGAGGAATTTGTTCTTGGTTGTCGTGTGCTGGTCTTCTTTCTGGAAGAGTGGGCGGCTTGGGAGGGGAGGTGATTTGGACGTTTGCGGGTCGCAGCCAGCCCCCCACTTCACCGAGGCTTTAGGAACCAAGAGCGAAACAAAGAACGCTTGCCCCGCAACCCAAGCCCGGCCAAAGAGACGGGCGCATCAGAGCGTAGGCGAACTACAGAGAAACCGCGCTTCACTGCACGAGCCACATTTCTTTCACCGCACACCACACACACACTCACACGCACACACAGAAAGACACACGGAAACATCCAACAGTCGCACAGAAACACACACAGCCAGGCAGCTCCTGAGGCTGCGCGGTTCTGCTCTCTGCCAGGAAACCCCTCCGGAAAGAGAGCGCCCCGGGGAACACAGGCAGGCCGTACCTCGAAATCCCAGCGGGGACACCTGTCAGGGAGACGCACCCTCACACCGCCCATGCATGCCCGACGCATCTTTGGGATCCTTAGGGATCACGTGGTGCTTCCTTGAATCTCCGCTTGAGGTTTCTTCAGGCAGGTTCGGCCTTGCCCGACTCCTAGGATCGCAGGACCATGGCGACGATCCCGCGGAGAGGGGACGCACTGCCACAGACGCCTGGGGGCCAAGCCGCTGGGGCCAGTCCCCCGGCAACGGTGGCGGTTACTGTGACGCGAGTCCCCCCTCAGCGCTAGCGCCTGGTGATCGCGCCTGGTACGTGCACTTTCGCGTTCCCGGTTTGTGGGCCGCATTGTCAGGGCTCTCAGGCTGCAGCCCAATAGGAAAACAGTGGAGGCCGTGCAGGCGGCGGTTCGGGGAAGGAGACTGCATGCGACAAGCAGCGCAGGACCCTGACTGTCGTGACCTCAGTGCCTCCTTGAGCCGACCTCGTGTTTGGGTCCGGGTGTAGGAGGAGGTGCTTCAGACCGTGAGGTGGGCACTCGGGATTGCTCTTCTGATTTGATTCTGGACTGGAATCAAATTGGAATTGACCCGGAATTGGGTCCCACGGGGCTGGGGAACCAATCTGGTGAGGTGTGGAGGGGTCGCTGGTGCACAGAAACATACCGGATACCCTCGGGGTGGGTGTCAGCAGAACATTCCTCGGCTCCATGAGCTGACTGCCTCCCTTTGATCTGGGCCTCCCAGGGCTCTTCCTGCGTCTCCAAGCTCAGGGGCTCCTGCTTCTCAGCACTGCTGTCTGGAAAAGGCGGGAACGAGGACTAAGGCAAGCCCAGTGTGGGGCAGAGATGGCAACACCTGGAACTAGCTTTTCATGGGGGCAGATAATGTGGAGAGTGTCCCAATTACATCTCCCTTTATTCTATCCCATACTACTAAACCCCACCAGCTATTTGCCTACAAACTGTGTATCAGTCAGGACATCAGGACACCAAGATAAAGGACTAGAGTTTGGTAATCAACTACTGGCTCCTCCAGCAGCTCAGAATGTGGCCTGTATGCATCACTTCACTTAATTCATTCAAGAAATGCTGACTGAGTTCCTGCTGTGTGTTGGACACTTTCTTAGAAGTGGGACACACTGCAGTGTGTGGGACAAAGGCTGGGCCGCTCATTGCTTATGTTCTAGTTGAAGAGAGAGTCAATCAACAACATTCTACTTTCAGACATTGATAAATGCTGTCATGAAAAGACAAGGAACATGAAAAGGTAAGAAAAGGGATGGAGAGAGATGGGATGAGGGGTGCCTGGGCAGACAATGCAATGATCTGGCAAAAGAGTAGGACAATCATGAGACTGCATGTGTTCCAGTTTCTGCTGCTGTAAAACAGCATCCACAGGTTACATCTTTACTATTCTGTTACATACATACTATTATTTAAATAAAAAATAGTACTAGTTAACTGTGAAAATTGCAATTAATAGGGCAGATTAAACAAATCCTTTAAATTTAAACAAATGTTTTATGGTTTTTTATCCTCTGATACATTGTTTCAACTTTAAAAAACCCTCTTTATTTGATATTTAAACTCTATATTAATGTATATTCTTAAGATACATAAATTTAAGATTTTTTTCGAGACAGGGTCTCATTCTGTCACACAGTCTGGAGTGCTGTGGTGCAATTATGGTTCACTGCAGACTCCACCTCTCCAGGCTCAGATAATCCTCCTGCCTCAGACTCCTGAGTATCTGGGACCACAGGTGTGCATCACCACACCCAGCTAATTTCTTGTATTTTTTTGTTGGGATGGGGTTTTGCGATGTTGCCCAGGCTGGTCTCAAACTCCTGGGCTCAAGTGATCTGCCTGCCTTGGTGTCTCAAAGTGTTGGGATCACAGGCGTGAGCCACCACATCCAGCCTAATTTAAGATTTTTAAAAAGCAGAATGTAAATATGGTCATGCATTGTGTAATTCTGTGGATACTTTCTGAGTAATGCATGGTTAGGTGACTTCATCATTATGTGAACATTATAGAGTGTACATACACAAACCTAGATGATGTAGCCTGATGGTACAGCCTATCACTTCGAGGCTACAAATCCAAATTGCCTGGATACTGTAAACAATTATACTCAATGGTATTTGTGTATCTAAACATGTCTAAACATAGAAAGGGTACAGTAAAAATATGGTATAAAAGATAAGAAATCGTATACCGGTATACAGCACTTACCGTGGATGGAGCTTGCAAGACTGGAAGTTACTCCGGGTGAGTCAGTGACTGAGCGGTGAGTGAATGTGAAGGCTAGGGCAGTACTGTATACTACTGTAGACTTTATATGTACTGTATGCTTAGGCTACACTAAATTTATTTGAATTTTTTTGTCGGTAATAAATTAACCTTAGCTTACTATAATTTCTTTATAAACCTTTTAATTTTTAAAAATGTTTTGACTCTCTTGTAATAAATTAGCTTCAAACACATTGTATAGCTGTACACAAATATTTTCTTTATATCCTTATTCTATAATCTTCTACTTAAAAATTTTTTTAATTTTTTTATTTTAATTTAATTTTATTTTATTTTGAGACAGAGTCTCACTCTCTCGCCCAGGCTGGAGTGCAGTGGCGTGATCTTAACTCACTGCAACCTCCGCTTCCCAGGTAATATTATTTAAATAAAAATAGTACTAGTTAACTGTGAAAATTGCAATTAATAGGGCAGATCAAGCAATTCTCTTGCCTCAGCCTCCAGACTTTTTTGTTAAAAACTAAGACACAAACACATTAGCCTAGGTACACACAGTGCCAGGATCATCAAAATGTCATTAGGCAGTATAAACTTTTCAGCTCCATAAAAGTTGGAAAAAAAATAATAATAATAAATACAATTTTATAAAAAGAAAATTTTCAGCTCTGCTATAATCTTATGGGACCACTACTGTATATGTGGTCCCTCATTGACCAAAACATCATTATGTGGCACATGATTATAACAAATGATGGATGGCGAGGTTGTGAAGAAACTGGAACCCTTGTGCATTACTGGTTGTAATATAAAAAGGTACAGCCACTGTAAAAAAAAAACACAGTTTGGTTATTTCTTCATAAGTTAATCATAGAATTACCATATAATCCAGCAATTTCACTTCTAGGTATATGCCCAAAATAATTGAATAAGGTGTTTAAACATAAACTTGTACAAGAATGTTCATAGCAGTACATTTCACAATACTCAGATAATCCTCTCATTGGAAGCAACTCAAATGTCCACCAACTGATGGTATTACCCATGCAATGGAATATTATTCAGTCATAAAAAGGAATGAAGTACTGAGGCATGTTACAACATGAAGGAACTTTGAGGACAGTTTGTTAATACGCTATATACTGTGTAATTCTATTTATATGAAATATCCAGAATAGGTAAATCATTAGAGACTAGAGACAGCAGATTAGTGGATGCCAGGAGTTTGGGGAAGGAAGGGGTGGGAAGAATGGGAAGTGACTGCTTAATGGATACAGGGTTTCTTTTTGGGGTGATGAAAAATTTCTGGAACTAGATTGTAGTGATGGTTGCACAACACCGTAAGTGTAATAATGTCACTGAATTATACACTTTAAAGTGATTTAAATGGTAAATTGTATTATTTATGTATTTTACCACAATAAAGAAGTCACCTATCACCAACCCTTTAGATCCCTTATTGACTCCTTAGACTCCCCACATCCCATATCCCAGAGACTACCACTCTCCCAAATTCCAAGACCTCGGATACCTGACCCACTGGGACACCCATACCAATTATAGCCTTCTCTGGACTCCTGAATCATTGAAAACCAAGTATCTGCATGCAATCATTCCTTGGACCTCTTTATCACTACATCCCAGAACTGATTCTCCTCCCCCAATTCCTAAACCCCATTCCTGCCACCCACTTCCCATTTTCAGTCAATTGCATCCAATTCCTAAGCCCCATCTCTCCGCAAGACCACACATTGCCATGGTTTCCTCAAAGGACATCTCTCCTTCTGTGGCGGCAGGGCCACTGCAACAACCCTCTCCACCTCGCCCCAAGGCTGCCACACACACTCAGGTGTGGCTTTCCGCTGTGTAGCTAAATGCCCAGGGCGCCCCATTATAGTGTGAGATGCTGAGTAATTAATTGCGTCTATGCGGTGAAACCAGGTAGCTGCACCCATTTAGCTGTTTCTCCCTGGGGACGACCATTTTCAAAGATGTGTCCTACAATACCCCCAGCCTATCTTTTTCTGACCCCAAGGTTTTGGTTGTTCTAGGTAGGGATACACAGTTGACAATGACCTGCTACCATCCTTTCTGTTGGAACCCCACTCTGAGGCTGTCACTTCTGCAGGAAACCACTGCCCGCATCTCCTCTCCATCAATATAGTGCTAGTCATAAGAAAAACAGTAGGCCGGGCGTGGGGGCTCACGCCTCTAATTCCAGCACTTTGGGAGGCCGAGGTGGGTGAATTGCTTGAGGTCAGGAGTTCAAGACCAGCCTGACCAACATGGTGAAACCCCGTCTCTACTAAAAATACAAAAATTAGCCAGGCGTGGTGGCTCACGCCTGTAATCCCAGCATGTTGGGAGGCCGAGGCAGGAGAATCGCTGAAACCCGGGAGGTAGAGGTTGCAGTGAGCCAAGCTCATGCCACTGCACTCCAGCCTGGGCGACAGAGTGAGACTCCGTCTCAAAAAAAAAAAAAAAAAGGAAAAGAAAGACGGAGAAAGACAGTAGTGGTCTGCAACCTGCTCTCATTGGTGAATGGTAGGGTATATTGGGCGCCAATATTTTGGAGAAGGTGCTGAACAGCTTCGATTCCACTGCTGGGTGGAGGAACACAGAAAGGCCATGGCAGAGGGGACTCCTTCCTTCCCATAAGCGCAAATGGCACTGGCCCTCCTGTGTGCTGGTCTGGAAAGAGAGATAGCTTGGACAAAGACTTCGGAAGGGCAGAGTGAGAGGGAAGAAGCACAGCTAAGGGGAGTGTGAATCCAATGGCACTTTCAAAATTCCTGACCCATAGACAGCATGTGAGACGTTTATTGTTGTTTTAGGTCACTAAGTTTGGGGGACAATTTGTTATTCAACAAGAATACACCTTCCTTTCTGGTCTCCAACACTCCAGACACATTCCCTTAGGGTGTTTGCATTTTTGCATTTGCTGTTCCCTCTGCCTAGAATACAATTTTCTAGACAGTTGCATTATTACATCTCTCATTCCCTT